>NC_000003.12:137038907-137341937 GCF_000001405.40 Homo sapiens
ACCTTTAGGACTGTAAGAAAATAAGTTTGCATTGTTTTAAACCACTCAGTTTGTGGTAATTTGCAGCAATGGAAGCAGCAATAGGAAGCTAATACACTTCTCACACTCTCTTCTCCCAAAATTATCATATCTAAAATGATGGGAACTCCTGCTTCTTCTGCTGGTCCTTTTCATTCTTTTCCCTCCAAGTTAGGGTGTTTAAGCCTCAACCCATTTCACTTGCCTTGTATTATCATTTTCACAATGAATGTTTGTAGAATAAGTCTGTATGTCTGTTTAAGAATTCTGCCATATTTGGCACATTTAGAGACACCCACCTCACTCACCTTCCCTTCTCAGATAATCTTCCTCCACTCACAGCCCCTGCTGAGTAGACAGCAGGCCATGTGACCTTACCCTTAGTCATATCTGGTAAGTGCCGGCATATGTACCTCTTCTAGGGGGAGATCCTTGGCCTGGCTCAGAAAAGATCCATTGAACTGATCAGATCTCTACTCTGAGGAATCTGTCCTAAATGACCAAGACAATTTTCAGTTCATGGTAGGCGCTGGAGTAGAAAGGCTGTGGTAGAGTTTTGTCTGGGGTGTCAATAAGGGCCAGATAAAGTTAGAGAAGAGGGAACACTCAGAGATGGCTCACTGGGAAGATGAGAAGAGAGCAGAGGTAATCAGAGAAGCTGAGGAGCCACTCAAGGGTGAGGAGCTGAGAGTCTGTTTCTTAGAGCAGCCTTCATTTTGTGAAGCCTTCATGGCTTTGTGTGCTCACAAAACCCCTTTTTCACTTAAGCTAGCTTGCATGCATTTTTGTTCCTTGCATCCAAAGATGGCAACTAGAATGATCTTTATTTGCCCAGTTGCTCAATCCAGGAAGTTGGGAGTTAGTCAGCTTTGATGTTCCTTGCCTGCTCTGTTGTTCTAGAACCTGAGTCTGTGAGAAGGAGAACCCAGGACAGACACTGATGAGTACCAACAGTTAAAGACAGGACAAAGAATCTTCAAAAGAGGATGAGAAGGATCAGGAGGGGTGCAGTGGCTCATGCCTGTAATCCCAGCACTTTGGGAGGCTGAGGCAGGCAGATCACCTGAGGTCATGAGTTTGAGACCAGCCTGGCCAACATGGTGAAACCCTGTCTCTACTAAAAATACAAAAATTAGCTGGGCATGGTGGCACATACCTATAATCCCAGCTACTTGGGAGCTTGGGAGGGTGAGGCAGTAGAATCACTTGAACCTGGGAGGTGGAGGTTGCAGTGAGCAGAGATCACATCACTGCACTCTAGACTGGGTGACAGAGCGAGACTGTCTCAAAAAAAAAAAAAAAGAAAAAAAGAAAAAAAAAAGGATGAGAAGGATCAGCCCAAGAATTTGGAGGGAAACTAGAAATACATACTGAAGCATCCTTGGAACAAAGGGAGGCTGTGGTCAGAAGTGTTACACACCATCAGACCCTAAACCATGTTGCTTTTGTTTCGATGTCGAGAATAGTTTGGGGTGATGAGAAAATAAATATCTTTTTGGAAATTCAGTAACTCAAAACCAAGAGCATTTGAGTGAGGGGACATGTAAATCACCCTCCAGGGGAAGCTAAGGAGACTTGTTTAGTAATACCAACTACAAAATACATACTGGAACAAGAAATTAGAGGTGAGGGATTTCAACTAGATCTGACCCAGAGCTTCTCAGGGTCAGGGTATTGTCTGTCTTACTCACCAACCTATTTGCAGCTTAGGGTCTAGCATTCATTCATTCTATTCACCTATCTTTGTTGCACATGTAGGTACCAGGCACATAGTAGGTAGTCAGTAAATACGTTGGCTGAATTAAGCTATTTATTTACACACACCATGCTCTGAAAAGTGTGCATCTAAAAATCTCCAGATTTACCTGCCTGACAATTTTAGCTCTCAGAATGCATGGGCAGAAGAGACTTTAGAAGTAAAAATATTTTTCAGTTGCCAGTGAAGGAATCTAGATTTTTGAGTAGGTCTTGAGTTGTGTGATAATGAAAATACTTAATGAAAAGAATTGTTATTGGATGAATCTATACAACCCCAATTTTTTATCTGCGAGCAATTAAAAAATAAGACATAGGAATATCCCTTACTAAAAATGTTAAGGAAAAAGGCCACTTGGGCATTGGGTTGAGTGTGACCCTGAATGAAGGTGATGCCCTGAATCTTCTGGGGAACCGCTCTGAAGTCATGGTGATCCGTATGGATTTCTTTGTCCTACCACAGGAGATTTAACATGGACCCTGGATCTTTGATGGGGAAAAATAAACTCCCTTCCTTTGTGATTCATTTTGGAAAAAAAAGAGAAGAGGAACTATATAATAAAATTTACTCTTGGAGATTCTGGGAGCAACAGGACAGAAATCTTGCAGGTAGCATGCTTTGGTTGGGTTGAAAACACGCTGTTTCTGTGTCCATAGGAAGCCCTCCAGTTGGCTGCAGCCTGGCTTTATCAAAGCTGATTAGGATGCAAAGCAGTAATGCAGGCTTGTTCATGGAGCTTGTCTCACCTTTGTCCCCTCAACTCTGCCTAGGCCCATTCCTAAGTGTGAAAGTTCTGATTGTTATCTTGGTTACAGAATCTCATTCCTTGTCTGTTTTCTTTTGCCCTTATCCTCACATTTCTTTGAATGTCCTTTCTTGGGACGCCTTGATCTGCTCCCAAAGAAATGCAATTATCAGAAATCAACCTCTCTCACCCATTTCTGCCCTAAGCAGCTTTTGCCCACTGGTGAATTTCACATTGTACTGAGAAAGTCAGCAACTAATACTAATAACAATAAAATATGTTTGTATTTTTAGATGACTTTTTCCACTGGGGACTCCCTGGTGAGAACCGGGCACTGAGCAGAATGAGGGTGTATATGAGCTGGAAATAGAGAGCGAGAAAGAGACCTGGCCGGTTGAAGCCTTTTCTTGACAGCTAATTTCCATTTTTTGGTATCAAGGGGTCTGTGCCAGTAATTGGCATGCAGATTGTGTCTGATGGGCCTGTTATACAGAATAAAGGAATCTGCTAGTTAGAATAAGCCAACCCCAGGCTGATGGATGGGGCATAAGGAGGTCATTGAAAAAGAGAAATTGTGTGTGTGTGTGTGTGTGTCCCTGTGCGTGTGTGTGTTTCACAAGATTCCTATCCCCTCCCTTCTCACTCTTTTTCCAGCAAACTCTAATCTTTCATATTGTATTGAGACAAATGTTGCTCCATTTCTCTCTCACTCTCTGTTTTTTTTCCTTGAAGGGATATTTGATGGAACCCACTCTAGGTTTTAATAGAGTGTGGGGGCAAAGGAGAAATTAAAGCAGTGTCATGGTTTGTTAGCAGCCCGGGATCGTCCAGGATGGGCCCAGGCTACAAATTATGCTCTGGAATTAATTGGCAGAAGGTAGTTCTCCTGTCCATCATTCTTAATCCAGCAGCTATGGGATATCAACAGGAAAATGTGTGCTGTTATCCATTTCCCCTTTACTTTGTTTAAGTCATTGGTCTGATTAGTCATTTTCTTGATCCCCACCCCATGCATTGATTAGGTAGGAGTTGTGCTATTTGCTGTTACCTCTTAGGTGAGCTGTGCAATTCTATGCATCCTCCTAAGGAGGCTGCTTTCAGTTCAGGTACCCGCCATGGGTCACAGGAGCTGACAGCTAGGCTTCCCATAGCTGTGGGAAGCTGAAAGAGAATTTAGCTTACGTTTTCAAAGCTCTGCTAAAACCAACACCATTACAGGTTTAACTGTTATAAATGTATTTGTTTTAGAAAGACTATGTTTGGATTTAAAGAAATATAAAAACATAGAACCAAGCAGCTTCTGCTCACCTATCCTTGGTACCACTCTCAGACTGCAGTGGCAGTCTCTTAACTCTTTCTTGGCTTGATATTAACTCTTTCATCCAACATTCTGGGATGAACCAGAAAGTTAATCCCAACAGCATTTAGACAGCATGGGAAATTTCATACCATTGGGCCACATGTAGCTTTCCCTAGGAGCCCAAATCCTTACCTTGTATGAGGGAGAAAATGACTTTATACACTCAGAAGACCTGACTCTGTCTTTCCTGGCCACAAAAGGGAAACATTTCTGTATGTCCAATTTCAGGAATTCTTAGGATAAACCTTTCCTGGTTACAAAGAAGTAATCTCCTGTCTAGCTTTTTCTCTTTGTGTATAAAACTTAAGTTTATCTCATTTGCGGAGATGAGTTTTTAAACTCCTATTTACAGTATTTGTGGTCTTCTTTATAGTTTCAGGCCTTGTATCTGATAGGACTTTTGTCAGTAAATCATGTGAAGCTTTTTTTTCTTTTTTTTTAAGTTCTTTTTTTTATGATTATTATTATTTTTATTATTATTATACTTCAAGTTTTAGGGTACATGTGCACATTGTGCAGGTTAGTTACATATGTATACATGTGCCATGCTGGTGCGCTGCACCCACTAACTCGTCATCTAGCATTAGGTATATCTCCCGATGCTATCCCTCCCCCCTCCCCGCACCCCACAACAGTCCCCAGAGTGTGATATTCCCCTTCCTGTGTCCATGTGATCTCATTGTTCAATTCCCACCTATGAGTGAGAATATGCGGTGTTTGGTTTTTTGTTCTTGCGATAGTTTACTGAGAATGATGATTTCCAATTTCATCCATGTCCCTACAAAGGACATGAACTCATCATTTTTTATGGCTGCATAGTATTCCATGGTGTATATGTGCCACATTTTCTTAATCCAGTCTATCATTGTTGGACATTTGGGTTGGTTCCAAGTCTTTGCTATTGTGAATAATGCCGCAATAAACATACGTGTGCATGTGTCTTTATAGCAGCATGATTTATAGTCCTTTGGGTATATACCCAGTAATGGGATGGCTGGGTCAAATGGTAAAAAGGCTTTTCTATAAAAACATAATCAAATAGAACATTTTAATATTTAAAGAAGAATAGATGAGTCCCTCATAGAAAATTCTTTGCTTTCTTATTGTTTATTAGATAACTTCAGTTGTGTCACTGAGGTTGCAAAGCCTTTCTTTCGTCTTCTATACCGATCCAGAAGGCCTCATAGAGTTCTCTCCTCAAGCAATATCTTACCCCAAGGGTGCCTTAATGCCTTAGTAGGTGACTGCAGAAGAAACATTTGGGAGGGGTCAAAGCCATTTTTGACTCAGTCCTATTCCTTTGCTTGGCTCGGGCACTGCTTCTTTTCTCACTGACTCCCTAGGGGTGGGACCATTGTCTGACCTTTCTGTTTTACCTCCAGCAGCATGCAGATAAGTGCTGGAGAGAAAGGGAACTAGAAGGGAAGGAGAGGAAGAACTGGGACCTGGAGGCTGGGAGTGGGAGGGAGAGGCAGGTGAAGATGAAGAGAAAGGGATATAGAAAGGACAAGGGGAGGAAGGAGGAGAGCAGAGAGGGGAGGGAGCTGGATGGCTACCTGTGCACCCCGTCCTCCAGACAGAGGCCCCATCAGATCTGCCAGGAAGTCCCCAGGGTTCCAGGGCAAGGCTGCTGCACAACCTATGGGCCTGGAGATCCTGCAGGAGATAGTCATCATCTCTGCCAGGATTTCTTTTAACTATGCTTAGCCCCTCCTTTTATACCCTCTGCTGCCAAGGCGAGACCACCCTCCTTCTGCCAAGTATACCAGAGGGTCTTTTGTTGGCTGCTGATGTAGATAAGTTCTCTCTGCTTCTCTCTGTCAGACACATCAGAATCTGGGAGTGTTCACTTTGGAATTGGAAGAGCAGAGGGGATTTTTTTTTTTTTAATGGTAGGAGAGGGTAGAAAAGGAGAAGAGGAGAATAGGTGAATGGAATCCATGGTATTGCTCAAGGTTCAGCTGAATGGACTGGGTGCAAGGCCCTGTGAGCAGGGGCCGGGGGATGCTCTGGGAGACACAGAGTTTCCTACTGGTGCTCAGGTTTCTCCAGGTTGCCCAGGCCCAGAGGGTGAGGGCAGAGTGTTCTAGGAGTTGGTGGAGCTGCTTGGTGAGACTCTGGGTACAGTCAGAGCTGCTTTGGGGTCGGGTGAGGCAAGGTCCAGAGCTGGAGGTCATTTCCCCATTCTGCATGGGGCACAGCACCGAGGGAGCATCTGATGATGGTGGCTTTGGGAGCACCCATCAATGTCTGTGGCATGGATAGAGGAATTCCCCGGAGGGGCTGGCATGGGTGAGGCTCCTGCAGATGGCTCTGTGGGTAGGGGATATGGACAAATGAGATGTAGGATAAAGAGGAAGGAGGGGCTGATGCTTGATGGCAGTTCCATAGACCAGCTTGTGAGTACACAGTGGGCTCCCTGCTGAGGCCTCTCAGAAATAACTTTGTGTACTTTATGTTTATCTGGGAATCTGGAGTCTTGCTGTTTTGTGGGGGTGGGGGGGTTATTGAGCTCATCAGAGGTCACATTTAACTTTCTAAGTCCCATGACCACCCTCCCCAATGATGGGAAAAAAGAAAAAGATAGAAAAGAAAAGAAGGCTGCAGCTATGATGTCTTAGTCTGTTCAGGCTGCCGTAACGAAAACCATAAACTGGATGGCTTATAAACAACAGAACTATATTTCTCATGGCTTGGGAGGCTGGGAAGTCCAAGATCAAGGTGCTGGCAGATGCAGTGTCTTGTGAGGGTTCATTTGCTGATTCACAGATGGAGGCTTCTCACTGTATCCTCACATGGGGAAGGGGTGAAGGAGCTCCCTTAGGCCTCTTTTATAAGGGCACTAATTCCATTCATGAGGGCTTCTCCTTCATGACCTAATCACCTTCCATGAGGCCCACCTCCTAATACTGTCCCCTTGGGGTTAGAATTTCAACACAGGAATTTCGGGGGACATACACATACAGACCAGAGCACATGAGGAACATGCCACTTGTCAAAAATGTGGGAATTGCCTTCTAATTAAGCATCTTCCAGCAGGACCACTGCCTCTTTCTGCTACTCCAGAGGATGGGCACGCTACATTTTATGCTCCTTGTCAGGGAGCCTCCTTCTTAAAGATCCCTTCCTCTGTGTTCTTGGGACATTAAAAAAGGTTGAACAGGCCGGGGGTGATGGCTCATGCCTGTAATCCCAGCACTTCAGGAGGCTGAGGCGGGCGGATCACTTGAGTACAGGAGTTTGAGACCATCCTGGGCAACATGGTGAAACCCCATCCCTGCAAAAATTAGCTGGGCATGGCGGTGCATGCCTGTAGTCCTAGCTACATGGGAGGTTGAGGAGGGAGGATTGCCTCAGCTGGAAAGGTGAATGTTGTGGTGGGCCAAGATCGCGCCACTGCACTCCAGCCTCGGTGACAGACCAAGACCCTTTCTCAAAAACAAACAAACAACCTCCCCCAAAATCCCCAAACAAACAAACGAATCAAAAAACCTTTAACAAAGTTCTTAAGCATTCAGGTTGGCTTCGTATTATGCTGTATTGCTCTTTCTTCATGTTCCCCTTTATTTTCCTACTGCCTGGGGTGAATTTTGGTGACTGTATACAGAGCCAATGCTAGTCTATTGGAATTGGGAGAAAACTTTGGGTAACTTTTGTGCAAGTTATATACAGGCACCCCTTCCTTGGGGGAATAGACTCATGCAGCATGCATACAGTGAAGCATAGGCTGCACTTGGCCCCCAGTGTCCCCCTTGGCCGATGTCCTTGAACAGAACAAACTTAAAGGAGTGCTGTGTCTTCCACCTTCTCACCTGTCAGAGGTACTACCATTTTCATGGGATCACTATGTCTCATTTTCAATATCTTTTTCTCATTACATACTTTGAGTTTTAAAAATTTCTTCCAAAAATTATCTCCATATTCCCCTTAGGTCTGTGCTTTTAAAGCATTGCTCCCTAAGGATATTTCTTGCTTGAACCATGTGGCCCGTTAGGTTTTAACTGAGAAAACAAAACCACTTCAGTTATTGCAGCAGAAGGAATTTAGTGTAAGAAATTGATTAAGCAGGTGATAGAAGAGCTGAGAAGACAAATGGTGCATGAGGCAACCCAGAAGTCAGCACTCGAAGGAAGCTGCTCCCACCCCTAGGATGAAGAGACAAAGGGAGGAGGTGGTGCTACCAGGGACAGCCGTCTTGCAACTGTGACACTGCAGGCATAAGGACCAAAAACCAACAAGAGGAGGACAGGAGCATAGAAAGATAGGAAATATAGCATCATTAGGCTGTGAAGCCAACTCTGAGATCGCCTTTCTCTTGTCTTCTTGTTACCAAATAATAAATGCTAGCATTTATTTGAATCTGTTAGTTAAAATTTCTGTTACTTATAGCTGAATACATCTGATGCAATATTTTTCCAAGTCCTAACCTATTTCCAAGTTACAGTAGTAACTGCATTACATTAAACAACTGCATTTATATTCAACAAACCCTTTGAAAGCTGAGGCCACAGTGACCTTTCGGCCCAGCCTATGGTAACAGATGCTGCCCCAGGTCTGCAGGCAAATTGGAGGTGCTGGTCAGTGATTAGGAGCTGAGCTGGGGATGAAGCACACTGGAATTCAGTTCCAGCGTCTCCCGCTGGATGCCACAATTGTGAGGTTCATTCAGCAAACCTAGCCTTTGCATTCCTGCCAGGGGTCCCAGAGGAAGTCATTTCCATTTTCTTTTGACCATCAGCGGACACAGGACTTCCTGATTGGCTCATGCAATATAAACTCACAATTTAGTATTTATCCTGGAAGCTCCCCTGAGCCTTATATTCAACAATGCATTGAAAGATCTCCTCTCTTTTCTCTCAAGTTCTGTGATCTCAGAGCCCTGAGTTAATGAAAAAAAGAGATTCCTTGAGGCAAGGCCCCATTTTCTCTCTTTGCTGATGATTTTCAGACAGGTTGGTTTCACTTATTTATCACGAACTGCAGTGTGGTATATCTGTGGGAAAGTGTACCTTGCAGATGTGATAGTAGCAACATTCGTTAAAACAATGGTTCAATTTGTTAAAACAATTGAACTATGTTCAGTTTTGCTTCGTACAAATGAGGCTCAAATACTTCGTAAATTGGTGGAGATTGGTCTTGCAAGAATCAGAGAGTAAATGCTTTTAGATGGGTTTTGTCTTTTCTTTTCTTTTTCTTTCTTTCTTTCTTTTTTTTTTTTGAGAGTCTTGCACTGTTGCCCAGGCTGGAGTGGAGTGGCATGATCTCGGCTCACTGCAACCTCTGCCTCCTGGGTTCAAGCGATTCTCCTGCCTCAGCCTCCCAAGTAGCTGGGATTACAGGTGCCCACCACCATGCCCAGCTAATTGGATTTTGTCTTTTCTTTCACCTTTTGTGTATTGTAAGGCTTTTTATATTTTGTCTTACAAGCACTTTGCAGCCATTTTAATTCTTAGTACAAGACACAAAAGTTATGAAGTCGTTACAATTAATCATCATTGTTACCATCATAGCAGAATATTTATAGGGCTTACTATATGTCAGGTATATGATATAAGTACTTTACAAAAACTAACTCATTTTAGTAACCATAAAACCATATAAATAAGTGTTAAGGGTTGGATTGTGTCCCCATCCCTGTCCTAGCCCCCAGTACTTCAGAATGTGACCTTATTTGGAGACAAGGTCTTTACTGAAGTAATCAGGTTCAAGTGAGGCCATTAGGGTGGGCTCTGATCCAATATCACAGGTGTCCTTACAAAAAAGGAAAATTTGGACACATATCCATACAAAGAAGACAATATGAAGAGACAGGGAGAGAAGATGGCCATTTGCAAGCCAAGGGGAGGCCTAAAACAGATCCTTCCCTCATGGCCCTCAGAAGAAACCAACGTTGTCAACACCTTGGTCTCAGACTTCTAGCCTCCAGCACTGTGAGACAATAAGAATCTGCCGTTTAAGCCACCCAGTTTGTGGTATTTTGTTATGGCAGCCCTAGCAAATAAATACAGTAAGTATACACTTATTACCTAATAACACTATTATTATCTCCATTTTCGGATGAGAAAGTAGAGGCACAGAGAGGAGAAGCAACTTGCCTAAGTTTATAAAACTAAGTAGAAGATTATATCCCCAGTCCTCTGTGTAGGAGCCGGGATGCTACTTCCCAGGCACCCGGGTGTGCCGGAAGTAGTCAAATGGAGAGGGTGCCTTCAGTCCAGGTGGCCAGGTTTCATTTACCCCAGGCTTTCCTTTTTAAATCTTTCATTTAGGTGTCAGTGTGGAAGTGGATCTGATGTTTGCTTAACTGAGAAATGGGGCCATGTTTATAATGAAATGCATTTCATGTGACCCAGGATCCAGCTGTTCCTTGGACTATCAGAAGGTTGTGGGTTCTGCTGACTGCAGAGATGTTATGATGCTTCAAGTTACCTCTGCCCTTGACCCCCAAGTAGTGGAGCTAGACACAAGCGTGTGTGCATGTGCACACACACCCACCACTTCCTCCATGCACACATAGTAGTACACACACCCCTCACCTACATCCACATTTACAGACAGAAATGCCTAAACACATCTGGACACATGTACACATACAGACAAACACACTGGTCCTTCAGAATATGCATGTACTCATTCTCAAGCAACACACCTATACACTTATAAACTTACACACCAATACACCTGTTCTCACACTACCTTTCACACAAATGTGCTTGTGCATACACACAACTGAGATCACATACATGGCTAAGTGGGCTCCACCAGTGGGCCTCTGTCTCATTAGAGTGTGTGACAAGCTAGTGTCGTGTCTCAGGTCAGGTTGCCCAGAAGCAGATCCTGAGAGGAGAGAGAGTGTGCAAGAGATTTGCTAAGGAAGTGTGCCTAGGGGAGGACAGTGAGGGAGAAGGACAAGCAGGACAAGAAAGAGGAGGAAGAATGCAATTGTAGGTGAAGTTGCAGCCTTGGTCTGAGGAGCCATTGGAACACTCTGGTGCATTCTTTTGCCTTTCATCAAGGCAAAGGAGCTGGCTTTCATACCCTTGCACCACTCATGCATTAACTTTGGGCAGCCCCGGGGACATAAACTCCCAGGGACTTCTGTCTATTACTGTTTCTGGTTAAAGGTGCCAGCAGGCCAGGGGCTGTCCTCTGAAGACTGCAAGGTGAGATCCCTTAGAAGTAAAGCACACTTTGGGAGAAGAATCTGGGGACTGACACACAGAACTGGTGAAGGGGATGTGGGCAAGATACAGTGTATGTGTGTATGTGTGTTAGGGGAGTGCAGGGGCCTCTGGGAGCAGGGAGATTTCTTTCAAGGAGCAGAGGGATGATCCAGGGATGTGGGGGAAGAGCCCATGGGTGCTGGTCTTGGCCCAAGAAGGCTAACTAAGCAAGGGCTTGAACAGGAAGCTCAGTGATGGTGGTCCATGGGGCAAAGGCTATTTGCCCTCCAGCCATTTTCATGCTTCCTCGGCCAGGATATGCGGAAGACTAAGGTCAGCCTTGGCACAGGCTGCAACTCTGTGCACCTGAGAGGAGGGGTGGATCAGAAGGAAGATTTCCCATATAATCTGGGGGATCCAGGTACACAGCAATATCCCCAGCCCACATCTTTATACCCAGGGTGTGGGGCCAGGCCCTCCCCACACTTGTTAGCGTCTAGATGGCTGCTGGAGAGAACTGGTTCTGCAGGTGTATCCATTGGAGGGGTGGGTGGGGTTTTCTTTACCGCTCATCAGCCGCTTTGACTGACTAGAGGTCAGTTTGTATGTATAGGATGGCAAAGTCCTTCAATTCAGGATGGGGGCAGGGGAGGAAACTCACATTTTCCTAGCACTCCTCTGGTAGGTATTATCTTCCCCATTTTGCAGATGAGAAACTGAGACAGGAGAAGTAAAGTGAGTTGCCCAAGTTCATACAGGAGTACAGTGGTAAGACTGGGGTTCAAACTCACACTTGTTCTCTTAATGGTTGGACTGCTTCAGGGTCCTGGGATTGCTGAGATAGAGGTGGCAATGGCAGCAGGAGCAGAGCCTTGAGTGTGGGGTCCCAACTGGCCAGGCCAGGAAACACCTGCCAAGCCCAGCCCAGGTTCTTTTTCCTCCCCGTGAGCAGATAATCAGGCCTCATGTTTCACCTGGCATGGGCAGGTCTCACAATCTACTGGGAATAATCAAATATCTCTTATGAACAAGCAATACTTTTTAGGGACTGGACAATTTAAATTTATATTTTAAAATAATTTAATTGCAAGGGCACAATCCTGATGGAACAGAAACCACATTTTCATTACTGAGCAGAATACTTAACATCTCAGTCAGAAGCATAGACTGATTCATGGTTGTTCCCAGAAAAAGGAGTAAGAAATTGCTTTATCTCTGTCTGCATGACTAAAAAGGTCATCATAGTGGGCCCTCCCTGAAGAAAGAGAAGACCTGCCTAAGAACAAATTCCTGCTTAAACTCTAGGACGTAAAATCCACTTGGTTGCCGAAGTGACAGTTTTCCAGCTTCAAAAATTAAACTTCACCTGTAGCAATGGGAAGGAGCTTTTAGCTTAAAAATATTAATTTTCTCTGTTATAAGTTGTTTCCTCGACAGCTGATGCCCTACCTTCAAGCAAGATTGCTTGCGGACCTTAAAAATACTTAGTAATATGGCTAAAAACCAGTACCTCGGAATCTGCCTTGGGCCTTAACATTGCAGTGTTTGAAGACTGATTCCTCAAATAATGGGTGGTTGAGGATAAAGACTTCACAACTTGGTGGCCCTTGCTTTAAGTATCAGGGAATTGATGATAAAGCATAGCCATGCTCCAAGCTTCTAGACTTTTACTGAGAGTCTAGACTTTTACTGGGAGTCTTACGTTAAAAAGAAAATATCGGCTGGGCGTGGTGGCTCACGCCTGTAATCCCAGCACTTTGGGAGGCTGAGGCGGGCGGATCCCGAGGTCAGGAGATCGAGACCATCTGGCTAACACAGTGAAACCCCGTCTCTACTAAAAATACAAAAAATTAGCCAGGCGTGGTGGCGGGCGCCTGTAGTCCCAGCTACTTGGGAGGCTGAGGCAGGAGAATGGCGTGAACCCGGGAGGCGGAGCTTGCGGTGAGCAGAGATCACACCACTGCACTCCAGCCTGGGCGACAGAGTGAGACTCCATCTAAAAAAAAAAAAGAAAAAAAAAAGTTTTTCTATTAAATTTATTTTGAATTAATTTAGATTCATACACAGTTGTAAGAAATAATACAGAAATACATGCATTAAAAGTGTGTGTGTGCACTGGGGCCTATTGGAGAGTGGAGGGTGGGAGGAGGGAGAGAATCAGGGAAAATAAGTAATGGGTCTAGGCTTAATACCTGGGTGATGAAATAATTGTACAACAACCTCATGACACAAGTTTACCTATATAACAAACTTGTGCATATAGCCCTGAGCTTATAAAAGTTAAAAAAAGGGTGTGTGTATGTGCGCATTTTCTTCATCTCATGATGCTTCTGAAATGTTTCTACTTGGTCTTTCTGATTAGTAGGAAATCATGCATATGGCACTGTAGCACCCTGACCTCTGAGCTGCTCTGCATCAACATCCCAATCACAGAACTAAATGGCTGCATGCTTTTGTTTTCAGTTAATGTTATAAAGGAAGAATTTAGCCACGTATTTCAGAAATCCAGGCAGTATGGTTTGAATACTGCCTGCAAACTCAGGTGTGTACCTCATAAATGGCCATAAAACAAACCATAATAAAATCAAAAGAGAATGAAATAGCATATTTATAACTACAATGGAGGAGAAATGTACTTGTGATATTTAAAGTAAAAGAAGATATCAGCTGGGTGTGGTGGCTCACACCTGTAATTCCAGCATTTTGGAAGGCTGAGATGGGTGGATCACTTGAGGCCAGGTGTTTGAGACCAGGCTGGCCAACATGGTGAAACCCCATCTCTACTAAAAATACAAAATTAGCTGGGTATGGTGGCACGCGCCTGTAATCTCAGCTACTTGGGAGGCTGAGGCAGGAGAACTGTTTGAACCTGGGAGGCGGAGGTTGCAGTGAGCCGAGATGGTGCCATTGTACTTCAGCCTGGGCAACAGAGCAAGACTCTGTCTCAAAAAAAAAAAAAAAAGCAATGGAATATATCATCAGAAACAAAGTGAATCAAATCAATTATAAAAGAGTTATGACTTTTGGTCATGAGAAAAGAGACTAAATGACATAAAAAATTAGCAAATTATTTTAATTATTATGAATAAAGCTTACAGTCTAAAATAGATAAGGAATCAACCATAAAGAGACCTGAATTCTACTTGATAATTTATCAAATGAAATGAAGATATTGTTTACCTATAAAGAAAGGAAGATATCTTCATTAGTATCACCTTTACAATTAATGTCATATTATCATAATGGATAGATTTGCCCTATTAAAATGTCTTTTTAAATTTTAATTAATTAACTAGTTAATTAATTAATTAACCAATGGGGTCTTGGTCTGTTGCCCAGGCTGGAGTGCAGTGGCATGATCATAGCTCACTGTAACCTTGAACTCCTGGACTCAAGTAATCCTTCTGCTTCAGCCTCCAGAGTAGCTGGAACCACAGGTGTCCACATTAGCATTCCTGGCTAATATTCAAAATTTTTTGTAGAGATAGGGTCTCACTATGTTAACCAGGCTGGTCTTGAATGCCTGAGCTCAAGCAATCCTCCTGCCTCAGCCTCACGAAGTGCTGAGATTACAGGCATGAGCCACCATGCCCAGACTTTATTTTTTACAAATAGTAATTAACATGAAAAAATGTTCAGTCTGAATAACAAAGAAATACAAATTTGAACAGCTATGAGGTGTCAACTTTAAATTAATAAAAATAAATAAGATCAATAAAACCCATTGTATTAGATTCTGCACATAAAATCCACATACAAGGCTGGCTGTTCTGTAAGTTGTTACTATTTTCCTGAAGTACAAGCTGGCAGTTTGCAATAAGGAATATGAAAACATTCATACCCTTTGACTGTATAATCCCACTTTTGGGAATATACCCTAAGGTAATAATCCAAATTTTAAAAAAGCCATTATAGAGAGCTATGTATGGTAGGATGTTCATAATAGGGGAAGATGGAAAGTGACCAAAATGCCCAGTGAGTGGGAATGGTTAAGTGAACCACAGTGTATCAGAATTCTCTGTGAACACTAAAATGAAAAAATACGTGAATTGTGCTCATATGTAAAAATGTCTATACATCACAATGTTAAATGCAAAGCAAAGCAGAATGCAGAATAAAATACCACTCTTAAAATTTTATATAAATGGTGTCTGTGCTTTGAAGAGTCTGGAAAAAATGTAGATGGATATAAATAGATGAGAATTTTAAATTCATGGGCTATTTTTCCTATAAAATTATTTATTTATACATTTATCAAATATCTATTTGATGAAAATGAAACAGTGGTTAAAGCCTCATTACTTGAGTAATCCATGTAGTAAATTATTTTCTTTTTAGCACATGGGGTGTCTCTAGCTTCCCTTAGCGAGCTGACCTCACAATTTCTCCACCTGGGTTAGCACCAGTGGTAGGGCCTGTTGGCTGCCCAGGAAGACATTATAAGGATGCTGCAAATATCTGTGGTTGGTCATGGAAGAGAGGGTCTCCCTTCATTCCTTGTTCCAGATACTGTCTTTGTTCTTTCCCCTGAAGTGAATACATCCTCTGAACCTTGAGAAAGACTTCCTACACTCCCGGTTTCAGAGGTGGGACCTAAAACAATATAAAGTGAGGTCAAGTTTGGGTTGGGCAGGTGGGGATCTGACCTTATGTTCCTGCTCTAGTGAACTTTTTACCTCGTATGCACCTTAGCAGGTATTATTCTTAGGTAACTTCTGATTGCAAGTTCTAGAAAGTCCTGCCTCTATTGGCTCAAAAAAACAGAAAAAATATATTGTCTCTCATAACAAAAACGTCATGGTTGGGCACCTCCAGGCTGGTTAACTCCGTGGCTCCAGGTTCTGTTCGTTTTTCCATTCTGCCAGTATCAGAGGGTCAGCTTGGTCCTTTGCTAGTTCTGATCACGGTCCCAGCATGGCTGTTGTGGCTCCAGTCCACAGACATGATGCGTACTATCAGGACTGTCTCTTACCCTCTCCTTTCCAAAGCAAAAAAAACACTTACCTAAATCTGCCTTACGCCCCACTCCACACCCTGGGAGCCTTTCTTTCATTTCTCATTGGCTAGAACTGCATTCCCTGTTTGTACCTAAACCAATTGCTGTTAGGCCCAGTGAGACTTCAGTGAATTGCTATAGTTAGACTTGTCAGGACTTGTTCTTGTAGCTGAGGATTGGGTCTTCTGTCCCTGACATTTATTGGTTCCCAAGGTCTTCCCCTCCTGGTCTCGCTAGGAAGTTGGGGCTTTAGCTTCCCTACTCTGCCATGTATTTCCTGAGACTGTGTCTGCATCCAGAGCCATCAGGCGAGCGACCACATACAGAAAAAAAGCAACGGGGATTCTCTCCATGCTCTGCAGACCCCAGTTCCTGGGTCAGAGAGAGGGGGCTTCCCCACTCTTGGAGTTTAGGTGCCTGCCTGGTTACTGCTCCCATTGCCCATGTTGTAAGGGAAGAATATTGCCTGGGGGTAGAAACTGAATGAAAAGCAACCCACCCAGGGTATTTCTCCCACTCTCTCTGACCTATAGGGGCTTTCTTTCTTAGGCCTCAGGTTGGAGTTAGACATTTCTCTTGGAGTTCTTTCTATCCTCATCTAGTGTACAGCTCAGGTTTCAGATTAACTTTGAATCTAGGCTCAGAGGTATTGAGGGATAAAACCAGGAAACTCACTATTTTTTTTTCTAGTTCTTCGAGTTCTGGTTTCCTTCCCCAATCTGTTTGCTAGCATTTTACTTTTAGAATCCTTAGCTGCTTCATGCATTCTGTCCAGGCAGAAGTCAGCCACGGTCCTGGGGGATGACAAGATTGACTCTCAAGCTAGATTTCCAAAGAATAATTAATATTTGTTTGCCCTGGCTCATGTGGCTGGGAAGTGGCAGAAACAGGAGTCATCCTTGGTCTGTGGGGCCAAACCTGCATTTTTCACCACTACATCGTTCTACCTCTGGACAGGGAGCACAAGTGAACCAGAGTTCAAGTTAGGTTTGGTTCCTCCTCATGGCTGTCTTGGAGGCTCCAGCCTTCCTTTCTTTAGGCTTGTGTTGCCATGTGGTATGAGTCTACAAAGACAAGGCACTCCTCTTGTGCCTCTCATAATCTCTTTGGGATTTGCTATTGGTTAGAACGTATGTTCTTACAGAACTGTGGGAGGGAGAGAGTCTTACAGGCTATTAATTCATCTGCATTTCACCAGGGCTGTCTCAAATAAGGTATCTATAAAATTGTGTTAGGGTTACACAAAGCCTTAGGATGAAAACACAGCATCTTCTCCCAGAGAATTAAATATACTCTAAGGCAAGTTATTTAAAGTTTTATTTGAACATTAAAACAAATAAGCATATATTATCAGGTAGAATGCAAAAATCACATGAATTTTGAAACATCAAGAAAGGTCAAACTTGAGGTAAGATAGAATCTATTCAGACTATCAAGTTTCCTGACTCCAAACCAGGGTTCCTAACATCAACAATAATCACTGTAAATGGACTGACTTATTTGTCTGACAAATATCTAGTGAATTATAGCCCTTCCCTGTTCTGGGAGTCAGTGTCCTCACATCAGATATGAGGAACCCAGACAGGGGCCCTCTGAGGCCATCCATGTTAGCGCTGCTCCTCACTTACTTGCTGTCCGTTCCATACAATGCTGCGATTTTCAGATACATCAACTTCACAGAGAGACCAACATTTACTTCAGTGGCTGAGGTTTTCACAGCAGACACATTTAAGCAGGTGGCCCTTCTGTACTGGGTATCATCTTGAATGTGAGGAAAGAAAGGTAAGTTGGTTCCTTTATGGGTTGAATTGTGTCCTTCAATAAAGACACATTGAAGTCCTAATCCCCAAAACTTCATAATGTGACCTCATTTGGAAATAGGTTCATTATAGAGATAATCAAATTAAAATGAGGTCATTATCAGGGCCCTAATCCAATACGACTGGTGTCCTGATCAAAAGGGGGAAATGTGAATACAGAGACAGACAAGGACAGAGGGAAGACGATGTGAAGAGAGAGGCACAGGGAGAATGCCATATGAAGACGAAGGCAGAGATTGGAGTGATGCATCTATAAGCCAAAGGTTCCCAGCAAACCACCAGAAACTAGGAGAGAGGCATGGAATAAACTACCCCGCACAGACTTCAGAAGGAACCAAACCTGCTGACACTTGGTTTTGGACTTCTAATCCCTCAGAGTGTGAGACAATACATTTCTTTTATTTTAAGCCACCCAGTTTTTGGTACTTTGTTATGATAGCCCTGGGAAACTAATCCAGCTTCTGAAGGCTCAAGAGAAGGAAGGCTTAGTCATATACAGTCTAGTTTGAAGGATTAAAATGCCTCAGAGGACTTCCAGATAGAGTTGGTAGATTGAATGAAAACACACCTATTTCACCTTGCTTTTTCCTTGTAAGCTCATGAATAAAAGGGTTTTTGAAACTTATAAATTCACAAAGACAAAGAAAGGGAATCAACCAAGTCAACTAAATATCACGGGTGGAAAGCAGGTGGGCAAGTGGCAATGGCCTTGACTGACTTGAAAAAGCTAAATCCTAACCTAGCAATGGGTAAATCCAAGAAGCAACTCAACTGGTACCAGAACCCTCATGTCCATGTAGGAGACTGGAAGAAATGTCTCCTAGGAGTCTCATCAGACTGAAAGGAAAGACTTAAAGATGCTGACACCCAGGGTCGGCTGACAAATAGCCCAGCCAGATTACCTGACTGTGAAGATGAGAGTTGATGAACTCCCACTACATACTTTGGACTTCCAATGACACTTTTAGAGTCACAATCTTGGGAGCAGATGGTCTAGGATCTCCATGTTATGAAGAAATCTTCTTAGATGTAAGAGAGGGTGCTATGGTTTGACTGTTTGTTCCCTCCAAAACTCATGTGATAGTATTCACAGTTGGGGCCTTTAAGAGACAGTTGTGTCACGAGGGCTCTGCCTTCATGAATGGGTTAACCCATTCATGATTAGTGGAGTAATGGAAATGGGTTAATGGATTTATGGGTTATCATGAGAACAGGATTAGTGGCTTTATAAGAAGAGAAAGAGAGACCTGAGCTAGCACACTCAGCTCCCTTGCTGTGTGAAGCCCTACACTGCCTCAGGACTCTGTGGAGTATCCTTATCAGCAAGAAGTTCCTGACCAGATGTAGAAGAAAAGACCTTGGACTTGGCCTCCAGAACTGTAAGAAATAAATGCCTTTTTTTTTTTTGAGATGGAGTCTCCCTCTGTCCCCCAGGCTGGAGTGCAGTGGCGTGATCTTGGCTCACTGCAACCTCTTGGGTTCAAGTGATTCTCCTACCTCAGCTTCCCAAGTAGTTGGGATTACAGGTGCCTGCCACCACACCCAGCTAATTTTTGTATTTTTAGTGAGGATGGGGTTTCACTATATTTGCCAGGCTAGTCTCGAACTCCTGGCCTCAAGTGATCCGCCTGCCTCAGCCTCCCAAAATGCTGGGATTACAGGTGTGAGCCATTGTGCCTGGCCTAAATGCCTTTTCTTTATAAATTACTCAGTCTCAGGTATTCTGTTACAAGCAACAGAAAATTGGCCAAGACAGAGAGACTAAAACAGATACAAATATTTTGAAATAAATAATTCTGTACCAAGAAAAAGTATGAAAAACAACTATCAATAATATTCTCAGAGAGATAAAAGAAGATATTGCAGTCCAGGTATGTGGCTTATGCCTGTAATCCCAACACTTCGGGAGGGTGAGGCAGGAATTTCACTTAAGGCCAGGAGTTTGAGACCAACTGGGGCAATATAGTGAGATCTTGTCTCTACAAAAAATACAAAAATTAGTTGGGCTTGTTGGTGTGCCCTTGCAGTCTCAGCTATCTGGGTGGCTGAGGTGGGAGGATCACCTGAGCCCAGGAGTTGGAGGCTGCAGTGAGGTGTGATCATGCCACCACACTCCAGCCTGGGTGACAGAGTAAGACCTTGCCTCAAAAAAAAAAAAAAAAAAAAAAAAAAAAAAAATGTCAGCCATGAAACAAACAAACAACAAAAAACGGATTGCTATTAAACAAAGAACTGTTGGGATTTAAAAACATGTGAGATAAAAGTAAACATTCAATAGAAGGGTTAGAAGAAAAATTTGATGAAATCTTTCAAATGGTAGAAGAAAAATTCTAGTAATAGAAAATTGAAGTGACAATATAAGAAAGTTATAGGACCAGTATAGGAGGTCCAATATCCAAATAATAAAAGTCAAAGGAACAGAGTATAGAGATAGCAAAGAAGAATACATTATTAAATAAATAAGAGAATTTTTCAGAATTAAAAACTTGATTATACAGATTGAGAGGTCCCACTGAGTGTCAAACACAATGAGAGAAAATCAGCCAACTCTAAGACGCATTATAAAATTTTAGAACACTGGGAATGAGGAAAGATGCCAAAAGCCTTTAGAGAGAAAAAGCAGGTTATGTTGTGAGGGTCAGGAATCAAATAGTATTGGAAATCTCAACAGTGACACTGGAAGTTACTGTAGGATATAAAATAAAACATCAAAATATTGAGATGAGATGACTTTGATGCCCACTTGTATCAGTCAGCGTTCTCCAGAGAAACCAATATGATATGTCCAGTGGGATATACAGTCAGCCCTCCGTATCTGTGGTTCTATATCTGCAGATTCCACCAACCCTGGATCAAAAATGTTTAAAAAAGTCCCCAAAACCAAAAAAACCCCTCACAACAATGAAAAGATACAAATTAAAAATAATACAGTATAACAGCTGTTTATATTGCATTAGGCATTATATGTAGTCTAGAGATGATTTAAAGTACAGTCATGCATTGCTTAAAGCTTGGGATATGTTCTGAGAAGTGTATAACTAGGCCCTTTTGTTGTTATGTGAACATTACAGAATGTACTTCCACAAACCTAGATGGTATAGTTTACTACTAGGCTCTATGGTACAGCCTATTGCTCCTAAGCTACAAACCTGTACAGTATGTTATGTACTGAATACTGTAAATAATTATAACACAATGGTATTTGTGTATCTTTTTTTTTTCTGAAATGGAGTTTCGCTCTTGTTGCCCAGGCTGGAGTGCAGTGGCATGATCTCGGCTCACTGCAACCTTCGCCTCCCAGGTTCAAGGGATTCTCCTGTCTCAGCCTCCTGAGTAGCTGGGATTACAGGTGCCTGGAACCACACTCAGTTAATTTGTTGACAGTGTTTGTGTATCCAAACATAGAAAAGGTATAGTAAGGGCATGGTATTATAATCTTTTGTGTAAGTGGTCCATTGTTGACCAAAATGTCATTATGTGGTGGTGTGCTTAGGTTATATGCAAATATCATGCCATTTTATATAAGGGACTTAAACATTCTCAGATTTTGGTATCCCAGGAGGTCCTGGAACCAATCTCGCATGGATACTGAGGGACGACTGTGTATGTAACATTATATATGTAAAATATATACAAATAGATTTATTTCAAGTAATTGGCTCGTGATCATGGGGGCAGGCAAGTCTAAAATCTGTAGGGTGGCTGTAGACGCAGGCAGGAATTATTGTTGTAGTCTTGAGGAAGAATTTCTTCTTTTTCAGGAAACATCAGTTTTTGCTTTCCAAGCCTTTCAGTGGATTTGATGAAGTCCACTCACATTATCGAAGATAATCTTAATCTCTTTTGCTTAAAGTCAACTGATCGTAGATGTTAAGCACATTTACAAAATACCTTCAGAGCAACATCTAGATTTGAGTTTGATTAAGTAAGTGGGTACTATAGCTTAGCCAAGCTGACACATAAGACTAATCATCACAAAAACTGAACTATCAATTAAGTGTGCTAGTAGAATAAGATGTTTTCAAGGATAGAAAGCCTAAACAATTTTATATGCCATACACCCTTTCTCAGGAAGCTATTGGAGGACATGTTCCAACAAACCAGGAAATTAAACTGAGCAAAAGGAAGATATGTGTCTCAGATGGACTCCCTCGAAGACTTTGAGACATTGATTCTTGTGCAAGTGATTTATTAAAGAGACCTATAAAGGAGTGGAGGAAGCAGGACAAAAGAGAGAGGAAGCCAATCAAGTTGTGATTCCAGGCAGCGTTTCATGGAGGGTGACTTCTATCTGATCCTGGAGAATTCTGTGGTATAAATGACTTCAGAGTTGTCCCAACCTGAGGCAAGGGAGCTGGCTGGCATATTCCCAAACTAGTATAAGAATCAATTATACTAGTCAATGCTCTGGAGGGTGGGGGCTGGGGGATAAAAATTCCTAGGCACTTGGTTCTCTGGCTTTAGACAAAGCACTTCCAGTAGCCAAGGGCAGTCTTCTGAAGAAGGTCCGTAGGTGCTGGCTGTTGGAAGCAAAAGCACACTGAAGCCAGGAAGTGTGCGTGTGTGTGTGTGTGTATGTGTGTGTGTGCGTGTGTGCACTAAAAGTGGTGAAATGGGGTATAATACTACAAACTGGGATACAGGAAACAGAAGATCCAAAACAGGAAACAAAGCTATCCCTAGGATAATGGTGAAGGGAAGCCTAAAAACAACAGCTGTGCAAACAGTTCAGATTGCCATAGTGGATCAGAAGACCAGGAGATAATTATTCAAGAAGGCAAAAATGATTAGATGCTGAATGAGTTTGAACGTAGTAAGAAGATGTTTACATATATGGGGAAGACTTTGAGGTTGAATTCATGATAAGGATATAGAAAACTTAACAAACGAAAGACCAAGACAAGCGTAAACTCAAGGGAAAACAAACTGTATTATAAAGTAATGTAATCATAGCTCACAAGCCTCACAAGTAAGTTGTGAATAGCATTTACATCATCATAATAATGTAAACACTGAATGTTTTGAATTTAACTAAAATTATGAATCAACTCCATTGGGAGGATCAGGATAGGAAGTAGGTGTGTGTGGTGTGATTGCAAAGAATGGTGAAAAAGTCGCATTTTTCATATTGGGAAGCCAGTGGATGGTGCAATGAAAAAAATCGAAAAGTAGCAGTATCAGCACATTACTTATAGATAGGGGCAAAAATGTCCAAAACATCTTCTAGAAGTTGAAAGTTTTTTCCTCTGGTGGTGAAACTGGGGGCGGGGAGGGGATGGGGCAGTGTATACAACTGCTATTTTTCATGCAAGTCTTACAAAATGATCTGACTCTTGAAACTGTGTGCATGCAGAACATTTATTAAAAATAAAGAAGTAAATTAAAAAAGGAAGCAAGTCCTGAAGGCAGAGATGACAGAGATGTCGGAAATTAGGAAGAATAGGAGGCTGATTCAGATATATTTTAGCTGTATTAATTTGTGTTCTCCCACTCCCAAGCAGGGCCCCAGTAGATAACAATGCCAGCAAGGAGGCTTTGATCTTCAGACTTTAGGAACAAAGAATCTTAGAATTTGAAAAGTTAAACTCATAGGGTCATAAAAGTTTGCAGTTTTACGTGGACTGAATCTCATTATGACTCATTTTCTAAAACTCCACTCTGGCTATAGCGTGCCATGATTGCACCTGTGAATAGTCACTGCACTGCAGTCTGGGCAACATAGTGAGACCTTGTCTCTAAAAAAGCAAAAATAACCCTCCACTCAGGTGTTACTTCCTCTAAGAAAACTTTACTGATCCCTCCCTACATCCCCAAGATGCCTGGGTTTCTTGCTATCCAGCACTCATCAGCCTATAGTAGCAGGTTGTTTACTTGCCTTCTCCCTCCACTGATGGCCGAACATGTGCTTGCAATCACTTCCAGGTAAATGCAGTCATTTCCAGAATGAACACCATTGTTCAGGAACTCCCACTCTTTCCCTGGAGCAGCATCAATTTACCTCAGCTTCGTGGAGAGCTCCTGGTGTCTGGTCACAGCAAAAGTCCCTGCTGGCATCTGAGATGTGTAACTGTCTTCCTCTGGTTTGGTTCCTGGCATCCATCCTAGTGACCTGCTGAGATGTCTGTGCCATTGGTCTGTGCCTTTCTTGTCTTGACCACAGGGACCCTCCTTATCTTCTGTTCGTCCTAAGCCACATCCTTGAGCCCCCTGGCTGTACTCCTGAGCCTCTATAAGGCCGAGGAAGACTCAGGGTTGGCTATGCCAGGCTCTGTTTGCTCAAATGTGTCCTGCTACCATTTTGCTCCACTACATCTGTACCATATTTGGGGCTATGAAACTCTTAGGAACCTCACTTACCCGGCTGGGTCTTTCCTGGGAATGACAAACATCCGTTCTCCTACAGATCCCTGAACTAATCTGTATTAGTTTCTATTGCTCTACAACTATGTTATCGCAAACTAGAACAACATATATTTATTATCTCATGATTTCTGTGAATCAGAAGTCTGACTACTGCTTAGCTGGGTTCTTTGCAAGGCTGCAGTCCAGGTGTTGGCCAGGACTGAGTTCTCATCTGAGGCTCAACTGGGGAAAAATCTGCTTCCAAGCTCACATGGTTGTTAGCAGCATTCAGTTCCTTGCAGGCTGCCAGACTGGGAGGGGGTCTCAGTTTCTTGCTGGCTGTTCATTGGAGGCTGCTCTCAGTTCCTTGCCACATGGTCCTCTCCATAGGTAATGCACACAGCAGCTGGCTATTTACAGCCAGCAAGGAAGAGTGTCTCTTTGCAAGATGGGCACTATAATTGTATGTAGCATAATCACATGCACATAATCATGTACATCTCTTACCTTTGCTGTATTCTATTGGTTAGAAACAAGTCATAGGGTCCACCTACACTCAGCAGAGGGAATTAGGCAAGGATGTGAATTCCAGGAGGTGGCGATCATGGCGGAATACCTTAAGGTTTGCTCCCTGCGAGGTCTGTCTCCTGGACCTAAAACTCTCACCTGAGGGTGCAGATTCCCACTTCTGCATTAATCTCTGACTCTCCCTGAACATCTTTGTTTCCTCCTGGCCTGTGGAGTCTTGGGTGGCAAAATTAACTTTCTCTTTTCTCAGGCATGTCTTCTAAATTCTATTGTTTGTAGAAGCCTGGCTTTTTGTACTCAGAAACGAGGATTTTGAGATTTTTATGCTATGTTCTCTGCCAGAAATTTCAAAACCTAAAAGCCAGAAACTCATTTTTGTTCTTTATTTTTTATGCCTTTCCTTTCCAATTCAGTAAGCCCAGACTGCCCTAGCTATTGCCTGAGAAGTGGGGAAAGGTCATGGGCAAAAGTGAATGACTGAGAATAATATCACTATGCCCTGAATAATACACAGGATCTGCTGGAATGAACACAGACGCAACACCAGAGATCTGGGTACAAATCTTGGCTCTACCACTTACTAGCTTTGTGATCATGGGCAAGTCATTAATTTTCTATGAGCCTCAGTTTCCTCACCTGTGAAATAGTGATAATCATACCTACTCTTATAATGCTGAAAGAATGTTCGTAAAGTCGGTAAGATTCTTTTGTAAATTATAAAGTGTCATATATGTACGTATTACTATTATAGTTGTTGGATTCTCTGATGGGTGGTTAAAATTGACACAAGTATGCAAGAGACCCCCTAACAGTGATTGTAGATCAAACTCAATTATGAAAAGGCTTCTTTGTAGTTCTGGAGTTGGCAGAGAGGCTAATGCCTTTGATAGAGGTGAAATGTGTGATAGCAGATGCTGACTACACACTTGTCACTATGTCTTGGGCAAGCTCTAGTTTGACTTGAGATTTTACCAAATCAGCATCATTATACCAGATGGTAATATTATGTGTGTGGATGCCTCAGGTAAATTATAGAGATGGAGTGAATGAACAGTCAGATTCCTAAACCCAGACCTATCCACTCCTGGGAGTGTTATTCCAAATGCTGTTTGGATACAGTTTATTTATTCTCTGCACAATGTTCTTTCCATCACATCCATCACGTTCCTCATCCCAGGCTCTGTGCAGGAGAGAGTTATATCATGCATAGATTTGCAGAAGTATTTTCTTCTCCTTTGACTTGCTCAAACAATATTAATTTTAATAAGCATTTATGGAGGCCCTGCTGTCAATGGGTGGTATGGAAGACACAAACAGGCTATAAAATTCTTCTAACTTTTTCGCAAAAATCTCATCTTCTGTTGCGTAGTAGCTCATCTTTTTCTTGAAGGAAGAAATTGATACCTCACATTGCAGACTCAGCTGAACGCCTATAAAATGAGGGAATCAGCCTGTTACATGGCTACGAAATTAGAGTCCTACTGATGGTAGAAGAAACTTCTTGAGAAGGCTGTCACAATCTGGCCATAGAGGTTTTGAATTGTCTTTCTGGACTCAATCTAAAGATCTTTGTCTCCTTGTTGGGGTCTTTCTGCATTATCTCTCTTTAGGCAAGCTGAATTGAACATGCAATGTCTGAGTAATGGCATTATTTATTTAATATTCATAGCAGAGTGAATGCAGTTTCATTTTGACATGGGATAAAGAAAGAGAGAGGGTGATTTAGTGATCTTAAATGCTGGTGTTTTGGGCCAAGTGAGACAAAGGGTGTGATTAACAAAGGGACTCCCTGTGGGTGTCAGAGTGAGAGGCCAAGCTTGCCTGACTGTACAGAGAAGAGATACAAGAGTGGGGTGTCAGTGTCTGGGAGGCTTCACCAGCCTTAGGGCTACCAGGGGATTAAGCGCAGCTCCAAGGTTGAGAGTGAGTGTTTACTTCCTGCATTCTTTCACTGTCCTTGCTCTAGCCCACAGGTATTAACTCTGAAAGGCATAGACAAAGGCAGGTGGGGGTTATTAACATTTGTGAGTCCTTACTATGCTCCAAGCCCAGGGTTAAGGACCTTACAGAAGGAGCCTCATTTAATCACAATAAGAACTGTGAAGCAAGTACAATGACTGTGAGTTTCATAGTACAATAAGACTCAGATGAGGAGAAATGAAACTAAAAATTTCTCAAACATTGAATTCAGTTTGCAAATTCTTATTTTTGATTCTAGAAGAATGTGTAGTCTAGCAATGTTCCAAGACTTTTAGCCCAACATATTAATTCCTTGGTTATTTATAGTTCAAAATGTAACCATTTCAAGGTCTCTGCCCCTCATGCTCATGCATTTTATTCAAGGGAATCTTCAGAATCAAGTGGCCTTGGGGTAGCAGGTGTCTGGCCTGTGGTTGTCTCACCAATGTAGCAATCTGCTGCAGATGCTCCTCTTTGTCTCTTGTCCCATCTCAGTCTGGGCACGCTGCTTATTCTGGGAGCAGGGAAATTTTCCTTTGTTGACTTGGCCCCACTTTTGCTCTTGTGTTGCTGCTGACACCCTGAGTTCATTTGCAGAGACTTTTGTCTGATCTGTCTGGGCAAGCATTGCCAGCCTCGGCTCTCAGGTTCACTTGCCTTGTGCTATGGTTACCTCCAGGCTGGCTCATGGGTGCTCATTCTCAGTGACCTTCTGCTCTCCAGTTAGGCCCACACAGACTCCTGGGGCTCCTCCATCCAGGCCCATTACCTTTCACTGTCATCTCTGCAAGGCTGCTGGCTGATCTCAGGACTCTAGCATGAGCAACAAGTCCCCTCCACTCTCAGATCCTCTCTGCCCAGCATGGGCTTGGCCCAGAGGGGAGAGGCAGGGACTTGGGCTCCTCCAGAGTGTATTCTTATTTCTTCTCTCAAAACTCTCTTCCTTCTCCTCCAGCTTTGAAGTCTTCCATTTTCTGTGGAGTACAAGGACATACCTGCTCTCTCTATGGGCATCCCCATTTCAAATTTTTCCTGTCTCACACCTAGAAAGTGTCATTTGACCTTAAAAGATTAAGAATGCAGCACATTTGTTCTCAAAGTTAACTGTTTGTTACTACATCAGGATGTCTTTCCCTTTAGTTGCAGAGCCTGGGTAGGACAGTGCCTATATAGCATCACATCAACTAATGCTATGGAATATAATTTTGCTGTACTAGTGTTATCCCCATTTCACACATGAAGAAAATCCAGAATTGCCTTAAAGCAGATGATTTCCCCCTGAAATCATGCTCCCCAGAGAAGTTCAGTGCTAGGTTCTCAGTGGGTAAAAGACGTGCCTTATAAGGCATTACAGGCCCCAGCGTCACACTGGAATTGTTGCTCTTGAAGTGCAAGACACAAGAGTCATCATTGGAAGACTGGCTCTGCTAGATGGGGCTGTGAGAACTATGTCAAGTATACAGGTAACGGGCAGGTTCCGGCAAACAGGCCCCTTATGTTTTGGCCAAAGCAGGAAGAAGGAAGTGGTTGAGTGCATTCCCAAGTATGCTGACTTTGCTATGCATTCAAGGAATCAGAGAAACCAATAAGAACCCCCAAGTAGGTTCTATCCAGTAAAGATGGCTTTGGAGATAAAAGAGTTAAAAAATAAGGGGATATTCTTGACTTCTGAGGGCTGATTCACCAGTAGGCATAAATGCAGTGTTGGGGAGACATAGAAGACACATGAATCCCCAGCTTCCCAGAAAGAAATATTAATTGTCAGAAATGCAATAGAGGACCTCTAACTGAAGATGGTAGACTGAAGTATGCCCTTATTTCTACTTCTTAGCAGATCTCACTGAAATGACAGAAGAAATAATAAAAATACAAGCCCTCCAGACAATGAATACAAGACAGACTATACCTTCAGACATGCATATTTGAAAGTCCCCTCACAAAGTGCCTGGATCACCACATGATCCCCTGCTGTAAAGCCCACCAGCCAATAAGGCCCACCCAAGCACAGACAGCTTTTAGGACTTCATTTTTGGATAGAAAACCAAACCAAACCAACCAACAAAACAAATAAACAAACAACCAAAAACAATAACCCTACCCAAACCCAAATAGAGAAATCCCAAAGATCATCAGGCATTTGAAAAACATCTCCTACAGGAAAGACAGTGAACAAAACAAGCAAATCAGACAAAATATCTCTGAGGAAACACAAGAAGGGGAGAAGAAACAAAACAAAACAAAATGTGTTCTATAAAATAGGATCTACAAAGATCCTCATAGGGAGCTAAGAGGTAATATCATATGGATATTTTCAGAGAGATAAAAGGTGATTTCACATGGAAGTGCTCCTGAGAATTTAAAATACGATAAAATAATATATTCAATAAATGAGTTGGAAGTTAACATTGAGGAAGATAATGTGGAAGATAATCTCTCAAAAATAGAACAAAAAGCCAAAGAGATGGAAAACAGGAAAGTTAAAACTGGAGAATCAGTTCAGGATGGCAACATTGAGAAATAGGAGCCTCAAGGAGTCACCAAGGAGAGGAAACAATCACAGAAATAATACAGGAGGAATTGCCAAAGCTGTAGGACAGGAACCTCTGAATTTAAAAGCCCAGCACAGTAAATTAACAGAATTTGACCCCGAAGCTCATCTTCATGTAATTTCAAAATACCAGGAATATAGAGAAGAATCTACAAGCTTCTAAGGAGAATAAACAGATTACATACAACTTATCAGAAATCAGAATGACATGGAATTTGTTAAAAGAAACCCTGGAATCTGGAAGACAAGGAGTAATGCTTTCAAAATTCTAGGAAAATACATTTCAATCTAGAATTCCACACCATCAATCACGTGTGAAAGTAGAATGAATTTGAAGATGTATAAATTCCTAAACATGTATCTTCTTTGCATAATGTTCAGAAGGCTTCTGGGTGTGTGCTCCACAAAATAAGATTGCAAACCAAGAAAGAGAACATCAAGTCAGTGCAGGGAAAGGCAACACAGAAGAGAGGCAAAGGGCATTCCCAGGATAATGGTAAGAGAAGTTTCAGGATTGCAACTACTCACTAGGTCTAGAGAGTATCAGTTAAGATTTGAACAGAAGGATGGAAGCCTCCACTAGGAATGTCTCCAAGAAAACTACTGGAATTGATAGATGAGCCAATATGTTTGATGGTATTTAAATGGTCCATATCTTCCACAGGAGGAAGTTGACATATAAAGTATAAAACAGAAAACTTAAGATCTCTATTAATATGGCTTAGAAATATGCAATCGGAAGCAACGTTTAAAAAATAACCCTGAAAATAGTTGGCTTTGAGGAAGGAGATTCAGGGGTAAAGAAGGAGTGATCCTAAGGACTGATGTTTTCATTTTAAGTCCGTAGTTCTATTTAAAAGTATATATATGGGTCAGGAGCAGTGGCTCACATCTGTAATCCCAGCACTTTTATAGGCCAAGGTGGGTGAATTGCTTGAATTCAGGAATTTGAGACCAGCCTGGGCAACATGGTGAAACCCTGTCTCTACAAAAAATAGAAAAATTAGCTGGGCGTGATGGCATGTGCATGTAGCCCAGCTGCTTGGGAGACTGAGGTGGGAGAATTGCTTGAGCCTGGGAGGTTGAGGCTGCAGTGAGCCAAGATTGTGCCACTACACTCCACCCTGGGCAACATAGCAAGACCCTGTCTCAAAAAAAGTATGTATATGTATTATTTTGAAAAAGATTATTTGGAAATTTGCTGATATTTGGCAGTTTGGCCTATGAAAATTGCAATTTCACATGGTTCAACTTAAAATTAAATTAAATAGATGTATGAAAGAATCATTAAGAGCAATGCTATATACAGGACATATACTGCATGGTCTCACTTAGATGTGGAGTGTAAAAAAGTTAAACTCATAGAAGCAGAGGGTAGAATGGTGGTTACCAGGACCTAGGGGTTGAGGGGGGTGGTTGGGAAGATGTTGATTAAAGGATACAAAATTTCAGTTAGATAGGAGAAATAAGTTTGAGAGAACTATTATACAACATGGTGATTATGGTTAATAACAATGTATTGTGTTCTTGAAAATTGCTAAGAGAGTGGATTTTAAGTGTTATCACCACAAAATGATAAGTATGTGAGGTAATGCCTATGTTAATTAACTCATTTAGACATTCCACAATGTATATATGTTTTATTTGTCAATTATATAAAAAATAAAATTTAGAATGAAAAAGGGCAATGCTATACATACATATTTATTATACTTTAAGTTCTAGGGTACACGTGCACAATGTGCAGGCTTGTTACATATGTATACATGTGCCATACTGGTGTGCTGCACCCCTTAACTTGTCATTTACATTAGGTATACCTCCTAATGCTATCCCTCCCCCCTCCCCCCACCCCACAACAGGCCCCCAGTGTGATGTTCCCCTTTCCCGTGTCCAAGTGTTCTCATTGTTCAATTCCCACCTATGAGTGAGAACACGTGGTGTTTGTTTTTTTGTCCTTGCGATAGTTTGCCGAGAATGATGGTTTCCAGCTTCATCCATGTCCCTACAAAGGACATGAACTCATCTTTTTTATGGTTGCATAGTATTCCATGGTGTATATGTGCCATATTTTCTTAATCCAGTCTATCATTGATGGACATTTGGGTTGGTTCTAAGTCTTTGCTATTGTGAATAGTGCTGCAGTAAACATATGTGTGCACATGTCTTTATAGCAGCATGATTTATAATCCTTTGGGTATATACCCGGTAATGGGATTGCTGGGTCAAATGGTATTTCTCGTTCTGGATCCTTGAGGAATCACCACACTGTCTTCCACAATGGTTGAACTAGTTTATAGTCCCACCAACAGTGTAAAAGTGTTCCTATTTCTCCACATCCTCTCCAGCACCTGTTGTTTCCTGACTTTTTAATGATCGCCATTCTAACTGGTGTGAGATGGTATCTCATTGTGGTTTTGATTTGCATTTCTCTGATGGCCAGTGATGATGAGCATTTTTTCGTGTGTCTGTTGGCTGCATAAATGTCTTCTTTTGAGAAGTGTCTGTTCATATCCTTCGCCCACTTTTTAATGGGGTTGTTTTCTTTTTTTCTTGTAAATTTGTTTGAGTTCTTTGTAGATTCTGGATATTAGCCCTTTGTCAGATGAGTAGATTGTGAAAATTTTCTCCCATTCTGTAGGTTGCCTGTTCACTCTGATGGTAGTTTCTTTTCTGTGCAGAAGCTCTTTAGGTTAATTAGATCCCATTTGTCAATTTTGGCGTTTGTTGCCATTGCTTTTGGTAAAACAGAGAAACTTATATGCACTTTAGTGTAACTTGGTGGATGAGAATATTTTAGCTGTGTCATCTCCGCCCTTCTGGTGTCCTATATGTTTGCATGTGAATTTTTTTTTTTTTTTAATGCCAGTGTTGCATCCCCCTTCTTTAGCTGTCTACAATTTCAGCCACGGTTGTAGTTTCTTTCTTAATAAATGCTTATTTGAAAACAATTCATTGGCAATCCCTTGATGCTCATGCTTCCTATCTATCTAACCATTTATCTCTATCCTTTGCACCTCTTTCTCCCAATGCCTTCTCCTTCCTCACTTTGTCCAGATTTCCTGGGAGAGGTTGCACAGTACTCAACACTGTACTAGGGTGCACGCACAGTGTTGGGTTAGGCCTTGGACAGCAGCCAAATACACTCTGCCCTGGGAACTGCTTGCAAATTCTGTACTGCAGGATGTATCTATCCCCTTAGCAATGGCTGATTGTGACAGAGATAATACTTTACCCAAGCTGGGACAGTCAGATTCCCTCCTCTAGGATTTTCCATTGAACTTGAGGGACAACCAGTTATTTAGCTTCCTTGTGTAGCTGCAAAGTCATGCCTCAGGAACTGTGGGGTGTGCAGTCTGTTCCATGGGCTAAGGATCAGGAAATGCCAGTCTACAGAGACAGACAGTAAAGCAGATGTGCAGAGAGGATCAGAAACGAGAGACGGAATTGAAATCATGGTGACTTTTCAGTTCTTTCTTGAGAAAGACTGCATTATTCCCACTGGGTTCTGTTAGACAGTGTAGTGGACTTAAATAAACTTCTCTCTTTCTCTGCTTGGGCTAGATTGAGTGGGTTTCAGATACTTGCAACCATGAGAATATTAATGTGTACATGTTAATCTCCAGAATTCTATAATTCAATGACCTCTAGGACTACTTACATTTTCAGGGGATGGGGAAAACGGGAACCATAAGTTCTGGGCAATTAGGAAGCTTTGGTGGGTATTTGGAGGAGTTCTGTGTGGGTGAATTATACCAAACTTACTGAATATGTTAAGAAATTTCTCTACTTCATAAGTATACCTAGGAGACAGCCTGACTAGACTAGCTAAATATTACTTTCCTTCAAATTTTGATGTTAGTATTTGAAGTGTAGCAGATAGTTTAAAAGCCTAAATGAGTCCAGCTGGTATTTAACTGTGGTAAGGGGAGATGTCTTTTTTTGATGAAGATTTTCCTTTCTGATCTTCAGTGGGTGTAGTGGGGAATCCATTTTAGATAGCTCCTGTCTGTATTAATTTCTTCTCATGCTCAGTATTTTTCTAACTTCCTCTGCTCTGTCTGACCTGATATGATGTCATTTGGGCTGTATTAAACATTTTTTTGAAAAAGAGTGAACATTATACATTTCATCCAAAAAATGCTATTTCTGGGTCTACAATTCATCTCTGCCACGGCATTTTCCTTGTTCCTAAAGGACTCTGGTACAGACGTACCCTCTCCCCCTCCTCCCTTTCACCTTGGATTCAGCACTAAAAAGTGTAAAAGACGTTAATAAGGCAGGAGGTGCTTTATGCCACAGGGTATAGATGATACTATTGGAAATGAGGAATCTTCTTCCTGAATGTTGTCAATTTGTTACTTTTCTGAGTCCGCTGGTGGCAGCTCAGCGTGGGGCCCCGTTATCTCCCAGCCCAAGCAGCTGGCTTTGGGCACAAGTCTGGACTAGGAGAGATTGCTTTGTGGCCCCAGTGGGGCATTTCACAATTTTCTTTTCCTTGAGAAACTTTAAAAAGCCATCTAGGCTTCACTACCTGTGTACTTCATTTAGAGCTTCTACCATGTGACTCAGTTCAGAAAATGCAGCAGCCTGATCCCCTGCTATGGAGAGGGTGAAATACATCACCCTGCTGTGGGCTGGTGCCTTGGACCCAGGGTGCAGTGGGTCTGCAAATCAGGCCAGTTAGGCTCAACAAACACTTATTCGATACCTACTGTGTGTGAGCAATTATGCTAGGCCTCAGGGTACAGAGGTCAATAAAAGGTGGTCTATGCTTTCAAAGAGCTGAGAGTTTAGTGATGAAGATGGAAAAATAAACAATTATTACATAACAGGTGAAGTACACGGAGAGAAGAAATATATGAGCAAGAGGATGGGGCATGTTGAGCTTGAAGTTGCGGAAGGGTGAGGAATGGATTATGGAGGGAGGTGGCCATTTCATTTGAGTCTCAAACAATAAGTCAGTTGGGAGTAAAAGCTGGGAAAAAGCACTTGAGGAAGATGGAACAGCATGAACAAAACATGGAGGTATAAAATTGCTTGGCCTATCTGAGGGACAAGTAGATTTCTAGAGTGTTCAGGAGAGGAAGGGGGATATAAAAGACAAGTCTGGAGAGGTAAGCAGGGCCAGGCAGTTGCGTACCATGTTGTGGGGGAGGGCAACTGGACTTTCTCCTGTAGGTGCTGGGGAACCATCGCAGCTAGGGTGTGCCTTGCACAGGCTTAGGAGCTGCATTTCAGGAGTAACCTGATGGGGAAGTCTCAGGGCCAGGAATCCTGGGAGGGATCTGGTGGTAGAGGCAGAATTGAAGGGCAGGCAGCAGGGGAGCTGGACACCTTCAGATGCTGAGGGTCTGAGCAGGACCAGGGCAGTAGGGGACAGCCAGGTGAGCAGACAGGCAGGGGAGAGCCAAGCTGAGTACACAGTCCTTGAGGGCTCTGGATCTGAAGTTTGCACAGTGAGGTCAAGCTGAGAGACTGAAGAAGGTATGGAGCATCAGAATAAGCCTAAATAGGGCAGAGTAGGTCAGAAGTTAGAGGCCAACACAGCAGCTGACACAGGAAGGACCTGTCAGGAGCTGTGACCCCTGCTTCTTCACCACCTGCCCCTAACCACTTCCCAACACCTGATATGCTGGAGGGGACTAATAAGAACCATGCCTGTCTATTAGATGGGGCTGATAGGGTTCCAGTTGATACATATGGTGGCTTGGGCCAGGCAGTGGCAATGGAAGGAGAGGAAGTGGTCAGACTGAGATGTACTTTGTAGTTTGAAGCAAGAAGGTAACTTAGGACTGACTTTAGATTTCTGGCTTTTAGCTACCAGAGGTTGGGGGAGTGGTATCAATTGTTTATATGGTTTATTAGTTTGCTAGGGCTGCTGTAACAATTTTTGTGGCTTAAACAACAAAAATTAATTCTCTCACAGTTCTGAGAAGTCTGAGATTAAGATATCAGGGTTGATTCCTGCTGAAGGCCCTAATGGAATAATCTGTTCCATGCCCCTCTCTTGCTTTGTAGATGGCCAGCTTGTCCCCATGTCTTCACAGGTTTCCTCTTTCTTGTAAGGGCATCAGTCATATTGGATTAGGGCCCACCCTAGTGGCCCCACTTTAATTATTTCCTTAAAAGTTCTATCTCCAAATAAGGCCACACTCCGATGTATTGGAGGTTAGGACTTCAACGTATATATTTTTGGAGGAACACAATTCAGCCTGTAACAATGATGGTGGTCAAGAGTGGAACAATTTTGTGAAGAAACTCAGGAGTTTATTATTGAACATTAATTTTGAGATGTCTTTGACATACACAAGTGAAAATGTCAGGCAGGCAATTGTATATACAGAATCTGGGGCTTTGACATGAGATCTGGGTTGGAGATAAAATTTAGGAATTGTTGGCAGTTTTAAATTTTATTTAAAGCCATGGGAATTGGCCCTGTGTGTGTGTGAGGTGAGGTGGAGTGGGGTTTGGGGGGCAGAGCACTTATATACAAGGAACAAAGAGTCCAAGTTGTATCCTATGAAAGTCCATAGGAGGTCTTCCCATCTATAAGCTGGGGTCCATGTCTTCAGGCTTGCCACACAGTTAGTCCTACAGGTCAGTTACAATGTAGGAATTAGCTCAACAAGAATTGTGGACTGAGGCTGGGTGTGGTGGCTCACACCTATAATCCAGGCATTTTGAGAGGCCAAAGCAGGAGAATCACTTGAGGCCAGGAGTTTGAGACCAGCCTGGGCAACATAGCAAGACCCCATCTGTTAAAAATAAAAGAATTTTGTAATTCCTGGCAAAGGATTCCCCGACTGTGAATAAATATTTATTTTAAAAAAAGAATCTTGGCTATAATATCTTTATAAGTGTAATGCAGACTATTACACAAAATTTGGCAAATTAGAGTATGATAAAAAAAGTAAAAAAAACCACTCCATATTGGACATTTCATATTCTCTCTGTCTTAGCCCTTACTTCAGCCGCTACTATGGCAAACTGCTTTGTGCAGGCATTTGAACTCCTTCCATTGGCAGTGCCTTGGCTCAAGCTACTTATCCTGAGGGTTCTGTGATATCATGGCATGGGATGCCAGTGAGTCTGCTTCACGTTCACACATGCACAAACTTGAAGTGAAGGTTGAGTGCACAAACTCAATCAATGGGATGGAAACCAGTGGATAAGTACTTCTCAATGTTGATCTTTGGGGCAGGGGAATAATTCTGAGATACCTTCTGTATATTTCCTAAGGAGAACCTGGACAGATGGACCACCAGTTGCCCATGGTAATGCCCAATTTAATACTATCCTTGTGTTGGCTTTTCTTCCTTGTCTGTGTTACTCCCCTTAGTCTGTAGAAATCACTTCCTGAATAAATCATTTGTGCATTAACCTTGTCTCAGGGAACCTAAGCCAAGATATACCTCAAATACCCAACCCCCAAATAACCATCCTCAATATAAGCAACATTCCAGAATCTCTCTATGCACATACACAGGGCTGATAATGGGTTGAAATAAGTTTATAGAAATGAGACAATTTTGGATGGGTGCAGCCCAGTACAGCCACGCCTGTAATCCTAGCACTTTGGGAGGCTGAAACGGGTGGATCACCTGAGGTCAGGAGTTCGAGATGAGCCTGGCCAACATGGTGAAACCCTGTCTCTACTAAAAATGCAAAAAATTAGCCAGGCATGATGGTGGGCACCTGTAATCCCAGCTGCTCGGGAGGCTGAGGCAGGAGAATCTCTTGAACCTGGGAGGCGGTAGTTGCAGTGAGCTGAGATTGCGCCATTGCACTCCAGCCTGGGCAACAAGAGAGAAACTCTGTCTCAAAAAAAAAAAAAAAAAAAAAAGATAATTTTATACATCTGTGAATAGTATTTTTTAAGGATATCAAAAGGAGATCCTTAAGAGAAGCCAGGGCTGGGACTAGGATGAGGTGATTGAGACTTGTATGGCACAAAATTTAAGGAGGCGTTCATTCTCAGGATCATACATATGTAGGGTCAGCCTCTCTTGTCTCATCCTAGTCCCAGCCCTAAGAAGTTCAGTGAAGTCTCTTGATGACTACAGTCCCAAAAGCTTGCTCAGGGAGGGGCACAATGCCTGCTGAGTAGGGGAGACATTTGGGGGCACAGCATTCTCCTCCTTGTGCCACTCTTGTGGGTGAGTAAGGACGGCAGTGTCTAAGTCTCAAAGAGCGCAGGCTTTGGGGCCAGATGGGGAGGTCTCAAATCCCTTCTCTGCCATTTACTAGCTGGTTGGTCTTGGGCACCTGCATGAGAATTAATCTGTTGGAGAGTGGTAGGAAAAGCATGCCACATTGTTTGGAGTAGTGTCTGCCCCACTGGAGGAGGTATGATTAGGACCCTTATTCACGAGATGGTTGCTCTGGAAATCCCAGAACGATGAAAACGGCTTCTGTCCTGGGGAACTGGAGAAAAATATAGTAAAGGAGAGGACCACTAAGTACTTTTCAATTCAGTAAATAATTATCAAGGATCCATTATGTACAAGGCATTGTGCTGAGCTTTAGAGGAATAGGATGGAGGTGTAGTTAAGGCAATATGTACCCTTAAGTTCTCTTGATGGGGGCCATAGCTGGTCTTGCTGGTGTATTCTGCAGAGGTGGCAGGCCAGGGAGTTTGTCCTTTATCTGGAATTGGTTTGAATGCTGAGCTTAAGGATGCTTTTCAGAACTGGTGATACAGCAGAGGTAGCAGCGAGGAGGTGAATTAAAAAATGGAGTCTGAATGGGAGAAAAAAATGAGGAGGGTAAGATACAGATACTGGATCCAGGGAAAAGATTGCTGGTGGATGACAGTAGGGTATGGGCTAACAGAATAAATGTAAAGAGGGTCATGAGTGAATCCTGGAGACAGAAGCTGCTTTCCAGCTTCATGGCATGGTTTGTGGCAAAAGAATGGGGCAGGTGCCAGTCACCTAATGTGAGAGTCATCTTCCTGCTTCCTTTCCTAGGCTTGAGTGTCCTTAAGGAGGAATGGCTATATTTTCTGGGGACACAGAGACTCTGAGTTTGGAGTTAATAATCTGAAGATTCACAATGTTTTCATTTTCCTACAAATCAACCTTCTTTGGGCATCAAGTCAAGTTTCAGTCCTCTGTTGCGCCAAGTCATCTCCTTATTCTTCTTGACTTTGCTGTGGCTGATGTTTGTCAGTCACAGAGTTTCAGCCACACACGAGTACATGAGCTTGCTTAGCAGAAGTGCTGGCCATGCCTGCTGGTTGCCACCCCACAGGAAATCATGCTCATTTTTCTCTGATATTAAACAAATACCCTTCCCTGATGCATTCTAACCACCTTGACCCATTTCTCTCCATTCCCTCCAAGCTCTTTGAAGATAGTCTACTTTTATAATACCCTCTTTCTCTTTTATCCCTTTTTCCTCACATGACTGCGACCACCTTGTCTTCACCATCACTGCACAATTTTTCACCCCGATCCCCTCTGGATCACTACATCCAATGGGTCTCTTTCAGTATTTACCTGAAGTTCTCACTCTCTGGCACTGGATACTGTTGACCATGCCTTTCTTTTCGGTTTCCTCCTTTGGTTTCTGTATTACTACTGTCTCTTGTTCTCTTTTCATCTCTCCGACTGTCCTTGGTAGATTCCTTTTGTTTCATCTGCCCCTCAGATGTTGCTATTTTTTACAGTTTTGCCCTGGTCATCTTCTTTACTCTTTCACTCTGAGTGGTGAAATTTTGACTGTAATCTATCCTATAATTCCTATAATTTTGACTGTAATCCTATACTTTTGACTGTAATTTATCTATCAATCATTGATTCTACATCTATGACTACCATTCAGAACTTGTCCATGAGGTTTCAGATCTATGTATTCAACTGCCTACAGGGTGTCCTGAAGTATTTCAAACTTGAGGTGCCCAAATTCGACTCATTTTTTCCTAGAAAGCCCGATCCACTTAAAGTATTACCTTTCTCAGTAAAAGTAAACCCCATTTATTCAGCTGCCAGGGCCTTGGACATTATCCCAGACACCTCCTTCTCCTTTGTCCCTCCCATGCAATTCATTATCAAATCCTGTTCTTTCTGCCTCCTTGACATCTCTTCTATTTATTTCTTCTTCTCTATAGTCTTCTAATTGGTCTCTGTGGCTCCAGTCTCACCACACCCAATGTATTCTTCAAACTCTTGTCAGTGTGATCTTTACAAAATACAAATTCAAGCATTTTACTCTCTGGCTTAAAACTAGCCAAAGGCTTCCCACCACCTGGACTTCTAGAATAAAGGCTAGACCTCTTAGTCTGGCCTATCTGAGCCTACATAATCCAGCTTCTGTTCATTTTGCCAGCCTCATCTTTAACAGGGTTCTCCTCACATGCTGTGTTTAGTGAATGAATCCATCATTGAAGCCACTAATAAACACAACAGGTGTACTGAGCAGCTCAAGATCTGTTTTCCTGGAAGCCTACTCACCATATTGATAAGCCTATGGGATGTCCTGAATAAAAAGTTTTAAAATAAGAAGTAAGGTTTATTCTCTGTGACTCTGGAGGGCAGTAACATAGAATTTCAGGGAGATAGGTTTCAACTCAGCATAACATTCTGTAAATGAGAGCTGGCCACAAAGGGATGGATTTCCCTGAAGTAGTGAGCTCCCGACATCTGAAGGTGACCAAACAGGCACTGAATGACTATGACAGGCAGGTTAGAGGAGGGACCTCTGTTCTGTGTGGAGTATTGGACTATAGGAACTCTCATGTCCCTTCCTCCTGTAAGAAGGAGAAGAGGAAGGGGAAAAACTAATATTTATTGAGTGCCTATTATGTACCTGGTACTTAATATATATTGGTTCATTTTTTCCTCACAATTACCCCAGGGAAAATTGCTACTGTTATCTCCATTTTATTGATGAGGAATCTAAAGCTCAGAAAGGTGAAACATTATTCCCAAGCCCACTCAGAAGGTAAATGATAGAGCTGGGCTTAGAATCCACTCTGAAAGCGAATTCCCCAACCAGCATCATCATCAGCATCACCCGGGATCTTCTTAGAGATGGAAATTCCCAGACCTCATCCCAGATCTACTGAATGAGAAACTCGGGGTGGAGAACCAGTCATTTGTGTTTTTAAGCAAGCCCTCCAGGTGATTCTGATGCCCACCAAAGTTTAAGAATGCATTATATTTGATTATACATATGGGAAATATTAGAAAGAAAATTCACTTCAACTTTTTTGAGAATTAAAAAAAACTGCTCTTAGTCTATAAGGCATCAACATTTAATCTGCTGCCTTCTAGTGTGGGGCAGGCCAAGGGACTTCATGGTAGGCCTAAACATCCTGCAGCTCCCAGCAGATTACAGTTCTGCAGATTCAGTTTGGTAATTCAGAAACAAATTTTCCCTGAGAATATCTTCTTGTGGCTTCATATATTGTTTTGCATAAGGAACAATGTGAATCTTGGTGAAAGAAAAACAAAGCAAAACATTAACAACATAGAACACTTTCCTATTTAAAATATGAAGAAGATGCCACAAATCTCCCAATCTTCCTTTTATAGAATTTAATAAAAGCAAGATAAATTTGGTGTCTTTTTTAAAAGCCAGATAGAACTGCTGGTAGTATGCTATTATTTATTTTGTTAATTCAGCAATATTTCGAGTGAGATCCAGATACTATAGCATTTAAAAATAATGCAACCTTGCTCCCAATGCAAGTGGCAAGAGCGAGAGGTCTCCATGGAGCTTTGCTAAAGGGGGAAAAAAAAAGAAATTAAAAACCATCCACTAATGTACTGGCAAGTAATGAAATAAGAATCTGACACTTGGTGCATTGAAATGCAAACAAGATGTCCCTGTGTTACCCTGGCAATTCATCATAAAGGCCGGTGCATTTCTGCTTATTATACATGAGGTGCAGTGAATTATTACCAGGCTGGTTCTTCTAACAAACTTTTCAAACTATGAACATGATAGGGTCAAAAAGAGATTTATATATGTGTTTGTGTGTGTATGCACTTATGCCAGGATATACACACAGAAGTGTGTGTTTCTCTGCTTGTGAGTACATGGGGAGCCAAATATTACAAATGAGAAATTTAGGTGATGACTCAGGTATTTAGAACCATTCTATCTCTGTATATATGTATGTATACATACACACACATATATATATACATATCTATTTTTTTATGTGTAAGCACTATGCAAATGTGTTATCTCTAGATAAAATGAAATATATTGTCAAGTAACACCAACCCAAACAGGGTTTTGAGAAATGTGTCACAAGCAGAGTTTTGATGGGTTAAGATGATCTTGAAAACCTATTGTTGGAGGTATTGCATCTTTATACCTAAAGAAAGAGTTGGAAAAGAAATGGATACAAAGAGATTTAAAAACAAAAACAAGACAAAAACTCTAGACGTGATCACTAGGTGCTTGGGATTTTAGAGAAAATGTTTGGATCACAGGTATATCTGCCTGAAGATGGGTCAATCCATTCCCAGCCACAATGGGAGGACAGCTTTTTGTTGGGAGAAGACTGCAGAAAATCAATGCTTTGACTCTTTTTATTATTTTATGTTTTAGTTAAACAAAACCCTGAAACTTTAATGTATTTGTGGGGTGGTGTGTATGTGTATGTGTAAGATTAGAGTTGGGATTTGGGCGTGCATCTGGCAACTACTTGCCGTGAGGTGAGAATGTATGTCAATGAGAGCATTACAGGAAGGAAAGCAGAAATTAAATTTTACAGGTGTTACTCATCAAAACTCTATGGAGTTGGTACTCTTGTTAACATCATGGCATAGATGGGAAAATTGAGGCACAGGAATATTAAGCGAAGTACCCAATTGGAAAGTGGTAGAGCTGGGATTTGTGTTAAGTGTCTGACTGCTTTCAAAGCCTTTGCAGCTCCCAAGGAGGGAAGAATTAGAAGACAAACAACACTGTGGGCCATGAAAGAAAATTCAGTAATGGCTCCCAGGCAGGTGGATTGGGATTTAAGGTGCTCCCTTCTGCTTTCAGTGGGAGTGAAACAGGGGATGGTGAGTGCTATGGTTTCAATGTCAATTTCAACTCATGTCAAAACTTAATTGCCATTGTAACAGTATTAAGAGGTGGTACCTTTAAGAGTGCTTAGGTCATGAGGCCTTTGCCTTTATGAATGGATTAAGGCTGCTATCTCGGGAGTGGGTTAGTCATAACAAAAGGGGGGATTTTGGCCTCCATTTCCTCTGTCTCGTGTGCCCACTTGCCCTTCACCATCTTGTGATGGAGCACGAAGGCCCTCTCCAGATGCTGAAGCCATGCTCTTGAACTTCCCAGACTCCAGAACGGTGAGAAATAAATATCTTTTTTAAATACATTACCTGGTCTGTAGTATTCTGTTATAGCAGCTAGAAAATGGCCTAAGACAGTGTGAGTGAGAGAAACAGGAAGAAGTTGGGGGGAGGGGGTCACAGTGATTTCCCTAAGAAAATACCTGGTCACATCTCCTAAACCAATTTCATTACAGGATCTGGCACAAACTTGGCACATAAGTGAAATCAATAAATGGAGATTCAAATGGAATACACAGAAAAATATCTGGAAGGATATACAACCAAGTTCCAATAATAGTTATTACTGGGGAATGAGAATGTGGTGGGAGAGAAACAGGAGGTTTTTTATTTACGTTATTTACATGCCTCAGTTTTATTTGCAATCTATGATAGTTCAAATAGGGTTGGAGTTTCCATTGTTTCGTTAATATTTTTCTAAAGCATTGATTCTCATACTTGGCAGATCACTGGAATTTCCTGGGGAGCTTTTTAAACAGGCACATTCCAGAGCTGAACAGGACCCAGGGAATCAGAATCTCCATGGTGGGTCCAGGGATCTCTGATTAAAAAGCTCCACATATGATTCTGAGGATGAGCCACATTTGGGAACAGTTGGTCTACTTAAGATAAACCGTTTAAAGCACCTTCCAGCACTTTGGAAAGACTTAATTCCATATAAGCAGTTGATACACTAATTACAAATTTGCCTTATCTAGTCATTAATTTAGGTTCCCTAAGGACTACTCTGAATCCCTTGGATTAAAGGAGTAGTTGAATCTAGTTAACCTAGTTCTGATTAGTATATAGCTATAAAATAGAAAAACATATTTTCTTAAAATATTCTACAATTAATTTTTATTACAAACGTAAGACTAGTGTTTTCTATAATTAGTGAAAAATGCTTTATTTTTGCCGGTAGATTCCATGATTTAAACATGAGAAAATGGAATCTCAAAGAAATGAAAAAACTTGCTTAAGAATATGTAGCTGGTTAATGGCTGATCCAGGACAAATGCAAAACCTGCACTGTGATAGGCACTGGTGGGTCAATGACAAAAATATGGGGTTCCAATGTTCCAGGAACTTAGGGTCTAGTGAGGGAGTCTGACACGTGTTGTGACCACGACTTTCAGTCAACAGATCCAAGACACCTGCAGCCTAGAGTGGGTAACAATAGAAGTAGTAGGTTGATATCATTATACAACCTGGTGCCCAGAAACGAACCTGTCTTAATTTTTCCAGAACAGAACTTAATTTCTATTTTGAGCCTTATTCTGATAGTAATTGAATAATTTTAATCAATACAAGTAATCTTGCTCAGTTCAGGATTTTCTGCTCCTCCGCTTCAATGGGGTTGCTGTTGAGTTCTAGGGGTCTGAAGAATGCTGAGATATTGGGGGATGGAGAGATCCTAGTGTCAACTTCCACCTTGCATCTGCTGAGCATCTTATTTCCATCTGGTTCCTAAGGGCTGGTTTATGTAGATTGCAGCTGTGCCTTTTTGTCCTAACCACAAGGCTTCTTCAAGTCTGGGTCATCCTTAGCTACTCCCACTGCTCTTCTGATTGTCCCCAGACAGTTGGTGGTTTTCCATGCACTGTGCTAGAAAGCTTCAGGACTCCAGGAGATGGTTTCAGACCTATCTGCTGGGAACCCCACTTGGCCATTTTCTACTTTTTTTACATGATGCTGGGCTTACGGAAATTCTATGAGTTTTGCCAAATACTGCGCCCAGCCTGGGAATTGAGCATAGATCTTCCTTACTCTTGTATTCCCAAGTCGCAATGAGAATTCTCTTAAACATACTGCTTCCAAAAGACTTGGCTTGATGTGTGTGTGGGTGAGTGGAGGTGGGAAAGTAAATGGCTTGGGAACTCCTCTCAGGGACCCACCAGGGGTTAAATTTCTTCCTTCCCACTTAGTGACAATCATACTGGCTTTTGATATCCCAATATTCTTGTAGGGGAACTTATTTTTGAGCAGTATGATGTCAATGTCAATGTGTTTCCCTTTGATCTCTGCTGCTCTTTGCCTCACTTTCCCAGACTGTAGATTATACAGAATAGTATGCAGCTTGCTGTGGGTGGGGATTAGAATAAAATGTCTTTGCATGAACACATGCATTCTTTTAAGTCTTTTAATGGCATAATCTATGCCTTGATTCCTTCGGAGTTTTGAATGTCAATGCCCTCCAACCAAGACTATCCAGAACACATGTATAGTTGAATAAATTGGGTTTATTACTTGGTGCAGTGAGCACATACCATAGGGAATTGGGACGTTGTTATTAAGAAGGTGTTAGAAAGGACTTACAGGATTTGGGTTTGTGTTAAGAGATTTTGGAAAGGGTTTAAGGAAATAGAGTTTTGCTCTGGATTGGATGCTGCCAGGAAGTAGGGTAATTCTATGATTGGGCATCTTAATACATTTTATCTAGAAGGAGGGAAGAATAGACGGAAGCTAAAGCTATAATAGGTAAAGAAGCGGCAGACACTCATATTAGCTAGGAGAGGGAGATGGGTATTTTTGTGGCTTTGACATGTTCATGTTTTGTCTGTGTTCAGACATCCTTATGGAATGGTCTTGTTTTTGTCTGGATGCAACGTGGTCATCAGAGTAGCCTTATGTTGATGTGCTATGAAATTATTTCTGTTTAATAGGAGGACACCCAGACCTGCGTGTGGGTTCCAGGCCAGCTCCTAGCAAAACCAAGGTCAGGTTTCATAATGTGCCAATAATATCAACCTAGTTGATAGCTCCCAAAAGTCAGGGCTGCTTTCTTTTTTCTCAGTATATGAAAGCTCGAAAATCCAGGTTTATGTTTCCCAAATGGTTTTTTGGAATGCAAAAGCCAAGAATGAGTCACTTATGCTTTCCTATGTTCCTAAAGTCTAGCTCCTCAAAGAGAAGAACTTTGAGGTATCAGGGAATCCTAAAGAAAATCTCATCAATTAAAATATTAAAACATTATCCTATCTGCACAATGACATTACCAGATGGTTGGTGCGATGATGGAGGTAGCACCATGAAGGAGGACTCTGGCATAGCCTCCTCCTGGAAGAGATGGCCTTTGAGATGGTTTTTTCTGTCAGAGAAAGGGAGATGGAAGAAAAATATTCTATGAAGAAAGAAAAGCATGCATTGGCCGTGCTGGGGAAAAGACAAACCAGTCATAGTGCTTGCTTTGCTCACAGTCTGTCCTAAGTAAAAGCAAGAGATCTCATCCCTATTCGAAGCTGATTGGCCCTGAAGTGCCTACTGACTCACAGGCAGACACTTAGTAGGTGGGTCAGTAACCTGTGAGTTTGCCCTGCACATGAAGAGGAGCTGCGCCAATCAGACTGCCTCTTTCTCAGGAATGTGGGCTAGGAAATGCCAGCAGAAAGAGGCTGTGAGGAGCGAAGTTTGAAGCTGAAGTGCTGTGTGCACAGGAGCCTTGAGGAAGAGTGGGAGCTAAGAGGGGTTGTGGAGAGTCAAAGTTATGAGGAAGCAGGGACTGGAGGCAGAGAGATGGCAGGTTGAGAGAGTAAGTGGTGGGGTGGCTGTAACAGACAAGTCATAGGGAGAGAAGACACTTAACACAGCAGAGTCTTATTAGCCCGGAGTAGCAGAGTGACAATTACTCACTCCTGTGCCTCCCCTTTTTCTGCTGGCAGGGGCTGACTTGACTAGAATCTCTGTTCCTGAACTTCAGGTCCTTTCCTCTTCCTCACCTTCACATACATCCTTACAGTTCTCTTCACCTCCTAACTGAGACTTATTTGAGTTACTTGAAAGAGCCCAACTAAAGAAAGAGTAGAGAGAAGCAGGGACCAGACCTAGGTTAGTGCCATCTGCTAAGACCTGGGATGTATAAATACCCTGTCAGAACTCGTTCAATTTTAAGTGACAGAAAACCCAATTCGATTTGTTTTAAGACCAAAAAGCGATGTATTGTCTCACATAGCTGAAAAAGCCAGGGCCAGTTAGCTTTAGCCATGCTGGATTCAGGGGCTCAGACAATGTCAGCAAGACTGTCTCTGTCTGTGTCTCTGTTCTCTTTTTCTCTGTGTTATCTTCTGGCTCTTCTCTAGGTTTATATCCTATGGACAGTGTCTTCTTCCTAGTTTCTCTGGCAAAAGTCTGGGGAATGAGGATTGGACCAACTTGAATTCCAGACCTGTCCCTGAGCAAATTTCCATGGCTGGCAGGACTTGGTGGATTGGTGGGACCAGCCTTTTCTGTCAGGGATAAGACCAAGGGCAGATGCTGGGTGGGCAAATTAGCAGATGTCCACCACACTGACCATAAATGTGCACATGTGCATTTGAAAGCATTCATTATTTCCAGCCACCAGGAAATAAGGAGTCTAGAGAAGAAGGAAAAATATACAGTTATTATCTGGACATGAATACATATTTAAACTTGAATAAAAATTAGTTTGGAAGCCAATATATATTTAATTTGTTTTCATTACTTTTTTCATCTTTCAAAATAACTTTGGAACTTCATATAATTGTTGGTATGCAATGATTTGGGGGAAGGAGGTCATAGGATCATGAGAAAATTGACCTGTATGCACCTATGTTATGGTATAGCAGAATAGGTCCTAAAGTGGAAAGGGTTAAATCTGATCATGCCACCTACCAGCTTGAGTCATTTAATCCCTCTGGCCTCAGAATCTAATTGGGGATAGTCATCTTGCAGTGTTGTTGGTAAGAATTAAATGCAAGATAAAATATTTGGCACATGGGAGGTGCTGACAATGGTAGCTGGTTTATCAGGAGTCTGCTTCATGGCTACGTGGATCAGCACTCCAAGATCTTCACGCTTTCAGGCAATGCAGATGCCATCATTTCAGATCCTCTGTCAGATTTCTCTGCCTGAGTCTACAGTCAACCTATTTTAGGTAAAGAAAAATCCTGGTGGAAATTAGTTGACCATGAGCACTTTGAAAACTATAGGTTGAATTGGGCAGATAGCAAGTCAATAATTAGCTGGGTCCAAAACAGTCTGATTGTGATTAGAGAAAATATGTGTCAGAGAGAATTTAACATTTTTATTTTCCAAACCAGTCTGTGCATGTGATTATAACCTCCTGTTATAAATGGCATTCTAAAACCTTATACCTAGGCTTTTGTAAAGCAGCCTTAGAAAGAGTGTTTGTGCATGTATGCATATGTATTTGTGTGCACCCTTGTTTTGTGTGAGCAAGAGGAACAGTGGCATTGCTGAAGGGGCCATGAATCTGGGAACAGAGGCGTATGAGGGCTCTGGACGGTGATAAGATCCTTACCAAACCCATGACTGGTACCTGGGAATGACTGAGGGTCTTGGGTACCACTTGATGCTGCCCTTGCTGTGGCTGTCCACCATAGAAACAAAGCCCAAAGAAAACGTCTAAGTGGGGGAATTCACAAGGTAATTTTGAGTAGAACCTTGTAGCCACCAGTACTATAAGAGACAGTCAGTGGGAACCTGGCTTTGTAGCTTGTGAGCTAAGCACAGGGCTGGAGCTCTGCTGCTGTGTCGTCTATGCAATAATACCTTTCCTGACTCATTCTTCCAAGCCAGGTGAGGGATCTGCTGGGTAAATGGGCTCCAAATCAAAGCAGTTTTATTTCTTCCCTCCTGATTTGTATGCACTTTACTCCCTTTTCTTACCTTATAGCGCTAAATAGAAGTTACAGAATTGTTTACTAAGAGTGGTAAGAGCAGATGTTCTTGCCTTATTACTGATCTCATGGGGAATGTGTTCAGTCTCTCACCATTAAATATGCTGTGAGCTGTAGAGGTTTTTTGTTTATGTTCTTCATATGGTTAGGCTTTATGTCCCCACCTAAAACTCATCTTGAATTGTAATCTCCATAGTCCCCACGTGTTAAGGGAGAGACCAGGTGGAGGTAATTCAATCATGGGGGCAGTTTTCCCCATGCTGTTCCCGTGATAGTGAGTTCTCATGAGATCTGATGATTTTATAAGAGGCTCTTCCCCTTTTGCTTAGCCCTTTTCCTCCCTGTCACCTTGTGAAGAAGGTGCCTTGCTTCGCCTTTGCCTTCGCCATGATTTTAAGTTTCCTGAGGCTTCCCCAGCCGTGTAGAACTGTGAGTCAATTAAACCTCTTTCCTTTACAAAGAGGAAAGTTCTTTATAGCAGTATAAAAACAAACTAATTCAGTTCTTTATCAACTTGAAGAAGTGATCATCTCTTCCTGTTTGTTGAGGGTTTTCTTTAAAATCATAAATGGGTATTGGATTTTTGTCCAGTGCTTTTTTTGGATTGATTAATATGATCATGTAATTTTTTTTCTTTAACTTGTTAATGTGGTAAGGTTTTATACATACGGTGGAAATCACATTACTTAATTTTGAATTTTGAAACAGCCTTGCATACCTGAAAAAAACCTCTCTTGGTCATGTATATAATTCATTTTATATAATACTGAATTCTATTTACCAATGGTGTGTCAAGGATTCTTGCATCTATACTAATAAGGAATATAGGCTGGTCATTTTTTTGTATTGCCTTGTCTGGATTTGGCATCAAGGTAATGCTAGCTTCATAAAATAAATTGGGAAGTGTTCTCTCCTCTTCTATTTTCTAGAAGAGATTGTGTACAACTGGTATTAATTCTTCCTTAAACATTTAGTATAATTCTCCAGTGAAATCACCTGGGCCTGGGATTTCTTTTTTTGGTAGCTTTAGAAATTATGAATTTAATTTTCTTAAGAGTTATAAGGCTATTTAAATGATTTATTTCATATTGAATGAGTTGTGATAGTTTGTGTTTCTTGAGAAAGTGGGACATTTGGTTTATTGCCATATGCATGTTGTAGAGTTGTTCATAGCATTCCCTTATTGTTCTCTTGATGTCTGCAGGGTCTGCAGTAATATTGCCTCTTTAATTACTGATGTTCGTAATTTGTACATTCTTTTTTTCCTTCTTAGTCTTGATATAGAATTGTCATTTTAATTGATCTTTTCAAAGAACCAGCTGTGTGTTTCATTAATTTTTTTTCTATTTCCAATTTCATTGATTTCTGCTTTTATCTTTATTATTATTTTTTTCTCCTTGCTTTGGGTTTAATTTGCTCTTCTTTTTCTAAGTTCTTGAATTGGGAGCTTAGATTATGGATTTGAGACTTTTCCTTTTTTCTAATATATGCAATTAATGCCATAAGATTTCATTTATGTACTGCTCTAGCTGTGTCTCACACATTTTGATATGTTGTGCTTTCATTTTCATTTAATTCAACTTATTTTTCAGTTTCCCTTGAGACTTTATCTGGGATTCATGCATGTGTGTTCCTTGAAGATTTTCTTGTTACCTGTTATTAAACTTTAGCTGATTCCATTGTAGTTGTAGAACATATTCTTTATGACTTCAATTCTTTTAAGTTTGCTGAGGTTCATTTTATGGTCCAGGACATGGCCTATTTTGGTATATGTTCCATGAACACTTGAAAAACATGTGTATTCTGTTGTTGTTGGGTGGAATGTTCTGTAAGTATTGAATAGATTCTATTAGATAAATGTGTTTTTGAGTATTTTATATCTTATTTTCTGTCTAGTTGTTCTATTAATTGCTGAAGAGGGGTGTTGAACTCTCCACTATAATTGTGGATTTGTCTATTTATCCTTCAGTTTTGCTTCACATATTTTCAGCTCTATTGTTTGCTTCATATACATTTAGAATTGCTATGTCTTCTTGGTGGATTGACCCTTTTTTCATTATTTAATATCCTTTCCTGTTGCTGATAATTTTCTTTACCCAGAAGTCACTTTATTTGATATTAATATCACTTCTGATTTCCTTGATTAATGTTTGTATGATACAAGGATAAAAGGATAGTTTCCTACCCTTTTACTTTCAACTTGTCTGCATTATTACATTTGAACTGAGTTTCTAGTAGATAGCATATAGTTGGGTCAGGTTTTTAGGCCACCTCTGCCTAAGAAGCATACAGTTGTGGCAGAAAGTGAAGGGGAACCAGCATGTCAAATAATGAGAGCAGAAACAAGAGACAGAGAGGGGAGTTGCCACAAACTTTTAGACAACCAGATCTTGTATGAACTCAGAGTGAGAACTCAGTCATTAGCATGAAGACAGCACTAAACTCTTCATGAGGGATCTGTCCCCATGATTTAAACGCCTCTCACCCAACACTAGGAATCATACCTCAACATGAGATTTGGAGGGGTCAAACATCCAAACCATATCATTGACCTTTGGGAGTTTGATTATTAAATATCTTGAGGTAGTCTTATTTGGATTAAATCTGCTTTGTGTTCTATAACTGTCTTCGCTTATTTTTAAAAACTTTTTATTTTTAATTTTTTGGGGTACATAGTAGGTATATATATTTATGGGGTACATGAGATGTTTTGATACAAGCATATGATGTGAAATAAACACGTCATGGATAATGGAATTTTCATTCCCACAAGCATTTATCTTTTGGGTTACAAATAATCCAATTACATTCTTTTAGTTATTTTAAAATGCACAAGTAAGTTATTGTTGACTATAGTTACCCTGTTGTGCTATCAAATAGTAAGTCTTATTCATTGTTTTGAACTATTTTTTTGTACCCATTAATCATCCCCCTCCCCCCAAGCCCCTCCCAGTACCCTTCCCAGTCTCTGGTAACCATCCTTCTACTCTCTACATCCATGAGTTCAATTGTTTTGATTTTTAGATCCCACAAATAAGTGAAAACATGTGATGTTTGTTTTTCTGTGACTGGCTTGTTTCATTTAATGTAATAATCTCCAATTCCATTCATGTTGTTGCAAGTGATTGGATCTCATTCTTTTTTATGGCTGAATAGTACTTTATTGTGTATATATACCACATTTTCTTTATCCATTCCTCTGTTGATGGACACATAGATTGCTTCCAAATCTTAGCTATTGTAGACAATACTGAAACAAACATAGGGGTACAGATATCTCTTAACACACTGATTTCCTTTCTTTGGGGTATATACCCAGCATTGGGATTGCTGGGTCATATGGTAGCTCAATTTTTAGTTTTTTGAGGAACATCCAAATTGTTTTCCCTAGTGGTTGTACTAATTTACATTCCCACCAAATTTTCAAGGGTTCACTTGTCTGCACATCCTCACCAGCATTTGTTATTGCCTATCTTTTGGATATAAGCCATTTCAACTGGGGTGAGATGAAAACTCATTGTAGTTTGATTTGCATTTCTCTGATGATCAATGATGTTGAGTACCTTTTCATATTCCTGTATGTCAATCATATGTCTTCTTTTGAGAAAAGTCTATTCAAATCTTTTTTCCATTTTTTTGTTTGGATTATTAGATTTTCTCCTATAGGGTTTTTTGAACTCCTTATATATTCTGGTTATTAATCCCTTGTCAGATGAGTAGTTTGTAATTTTTTTCTTCCATTCTGTGGGTTGTCTTTTCACTTTGTTGTTTGTATCCTTTGTTCTGCAGAAACTTTTTAACTTGATGTGATTTCCTTTGTCCATTTCTGCTTTGGTTGCCTGGGTGTATTTAGAACCATAGCACACAGTGTTATAATTTTCGCTTCAACCATCAATTACAATTTAGATAATACAAGAGGAGAAGAAAAGTCTGCTGTTATTTCCCATGTCCTTTCTTCTTTCCTGCTGTTCCAAGGTTCCTTAAAAAACTCATTTTCTTTCTCTTCAGAAAATCTTCTTTAGCCCTTTTTTAGTATAGGTCTGCTGATGACAAATTCTTTTACTTTCTTTCATCTGGGTGTCTTGATTTTTCCTTCATTCCGGAAGGATATTTTTGCTGAGTATAGAATTCTATACTAAAGTGTATAGGTTGACAGTTTAAAAGAACCTGGTACTCCTAGTTATTTTTCTTGATCCTCTCCCTCCTCCCAGCCTCCATCCTCTGTGAGGCCCCAGTGTGTCTTGTTCCCCTCTATGTGTCTATGTGTCTTCATCATTTAGCTCCCACATATAAGTGAGAACATGCGGTATTTGGTTTTCTATTCCTGCGTTAGTTTGATGAGGATAATGGCCTCAAGATCTATCCATATTTTTTAAAATTTTAATAGCTTTTGGGGTACGAGTGGCTTTTGGTTACATGGATGAATTCTACAGTGGTGAATTCTGAGATTTTAGTGCAACTGTCACCTAGTGACCACTGATTTTAAATAGGTACTGGACATTGTCTGAAATCTTGTTTTCCTTCCTAGTGGGTTCAGTTTCCACTCTCTCAGATGACTTTTCTTTCCTTCTCAAACTTTTTGAAACATCTCTCTTCCTTTCCTTTTAGTTAGTGACCTCACTGCCTCCTTCAGGAACACTGTTGTTTCTCTAGAACCAAACCTCAAGCCCTGTAATGACATTTTCTGTCTTCTATTACAGTGGAAGAAGCATCTCTCAATGTGTGCTAGAATACTTCTCCCCTCAACTTTGTTCATGCGACCACTCTTTTTCTCCTCCCTACATCTTAGTGTCTCTCTTGCTGCTAGATAATTCCTTAAAGCCCATGTACACATGCTCAAATACTTTGCATCTCAAAAATGTAAAAAGCAAAATAAAACCCATGCCTTCCTTGATAACAATTCCCTCTCTAGTCACAATTCTATCTGTGCTCCTTTACTGAGCAAAACTTGTTGAGTTGCCTACTCTTGCTGTTCTTCATTTTCTTATTTCCCATCTAAGAGTTAATATTAAAAGAAAATCAAGGCCGGGTGCGGTGGCTCATGCCTGTAATCCCAGCACTTTGGGAGGCCGAGACGGGTGGATCACGAGGTCAGGAGATCGAGACCATCCTGGCTAACACGGTGAAACCCCATCTCTACTAAAAATACAAAAAATTAGCTGGGCGTGGTGGCGGGTGCCTGTAGTCCCAGCTACTCAGGAGGCTGAGGCAGGAGAATGGCATGAACCTGGGAGGTGGAGGTTGCAGTGAGCCAAGATCGTGCCACTGAACTCCAGCCTGGGCGACAGAACGAGACTCTGTCTCAAAAAAAACAAAAAAGAAAATTAAAATTAAATTATGTTATGAAACATTTAAAATAAATGGAGAGGCTTTTTCAGTTTTCAGTCTACTGACTTTTGCCTCCATCCCTCTATTGATACTATTCTTGTCAAGATCACTGATGACTGTGTTGCCAGCTTTAACATACCTTAATCCTCATTTTACTTGTTTCTCTGCTAGTTTCTGTGACACCATTCTTTCCTGGTTTTACTTCTACCTTTCCTGCTCTTCCTTCACTGCACTCCCGAGATCTACCAGGAGTTCCCCAGGCTCAGTCCTGCCTTTTTTTCTTTACATACTTTCTCTCTTCACAATTTCGTTCAGTCTTATGGCTTAGATACCTTCATATACTGGCAACTTCCTAGTTTATATTTCCATTTCTGACCTCTCCTCTGTGCACTAGGGTCAGATATCTCATTGCCTGATTGACATCTCCACTTGGATATTTAATTGGCCTCCCAGACTTAACAGTCACAATTTAGTTAAACTCTGGATCCTTGACATCCTTCTCTACCACCTCTACCTCTATAACATTCCTTAATCAGTGTTCTGAATCTCTGTAAATGTTGTCCTCTGAGCTGCTTAAGCTTCAAACCTAGGAGTTGCTTTAATTCTTATCTTTTTCTCACCCCCATTCAAAACATTAGTGAATCCTTTAAAATATGTCTTGAGTGTGTTGGCCTCTCTCTGTCTTCAGTGACTTCACCCTAATCCAAGGCATCACTTCTGTCTCCTGGACCACTGTCAACAACTTCTGTGGTCTCTGTGTCTACTCTTGCTCCTCTGTGAAACCAGAGTCTTTGGCTTAATATGGACAAAGATTAAAACCATAGAAATCTACAGTAATAACAAACTGATATACATCTCCTCAAATGAACAAATGCTAACATTCAAGTATTTTTATCAGATTTATTTTTCTTGAATAAATAAAATAATATTAATTGAGCTAAACTCCTTTTTGTACCCCTCTACCTAACATCATTCCTTTTCCTTCTTTCTTTGATGCAACCACTATGATGAACTTTGCGTATGCCTTTCTTGCCCAAGCTTTTATACTTTTATTTCCCATATTTGTATCCAGTGTCTAGCATTGTTATGTCTAATATTGTTTTGCCTATTTAAACATTTATATATTAGTAGAGATCAAATTCATTTCATTACTGAATAGAATTGCATTAGACAGACATAGCTTATTTTACTTATTCATCCATCAATACTTCACTGCCTTTAATCTTTTATTGTTACTCACAGTGCCGCAATGTGCAGACTTAGACATATCTTCTTGTGCAATATTCCAGAATTTCTGTGGCAGAAATGCAGGAATGAATGGAACTACTGGATCATATGGTATATGCATTTTCACTTTTACCTGAAATTGTCAAACTGCTCTCCAAATGACAGCTCATTTTCTTTCTTTTTTTTTTTCTTTTTTTGCATGTATTTTCTTTTTTGCATTTTTTTTTAATGTTTTTTTTTTTTTTTATTATACTCTAAGTTTTAGGGTACATGTGCACATTGTGCAGGTTAGTTACATATGTATACATGTGCCATGCTGGTGCGCTGCACCCACTAACGTGTCATCTAGCATTAGGTATATCTCCCAATGCTATCCCTCCCCCCTCCCCCGACCCCACCACAGTCCCCAGAGTGTGATATTCCCCTTCCTGTGTCCATGTGATCTCATTGTTCAATGCCCACCTATGAGTGAGAATATGCGGTGTTTGGTTTTTTGTTCTTGCGATAGTTTACTGAGAATGATGGTTTCCAATTTCATCCATGTCCCTACAAAGGACATGAACTCATCATTTTTTATGGCTGCATAGTATTCCATGGTGTATATGTGCCACATTTTCTTAATCCAGTCTATCATTGTTGGACATTTGGGTTGGTTCCAAGTCTTTGCTATTGTGAATAGTGCCGCAATAAACATACGTGTGCATGTGTCTTTATAGCAGCATGATTTATAGTCCTTTGGGTATATACCCAGTAATGGGATGGCTGGGTCAAATGGTATTTCTAGTTCTAGATCCCTGAGGAATCGCCACACTGACTTCCACAATGGTTGAACTAGTTTACAGTCCCACCAACAGTGTAAAAGTGTTCCTATTTCTCCACATCCTCTCCAGCACCTGTTGTTCCCTGACTTTTTAATGATTGCCATTCTAACTGGTGTGAGATGATATCTCATAGTGGTTTTGATTTGCATTTCTCTGATGGCCAGTGATGATGAGCATTTTTTCATGTGTTTTTTGGCTGCATAAATGTCTTCTTTTGAGAAGTGTCTGTTCATGTCCTTCGCCCACTTTTTGATGGGGTTGTTTGATTTTTTCTTGTAAATTTGTTTGAGTTCATTGTAGATTCTGGATATTAGCCCTTTGTCAGATGAGTAGGTTGCGAAAATTTTCTCCCATGTTGTAGGTTGCCTGTTCACTCTGATGGTAGTTTCTTTTGCTGTGCAGAAGCTCTTTAGTTTAATTAGATCCCATTTGTCAATTTTGGCTTTTGTTGCCATTGCTTTTGGTGTTTTGGACATGAAGTCCTTGCCCACGCCTATGTCCTGAATGGTAATGCCTAGGTTTTCTTCTAGGGTTTTTATGGTTTTAGGTCTAACGTTTAAATCTTTAATCCATCTTGAATTGATTTTTGTATAAGGTGTAAGGAAGGGATCCAGTTTCAGCTTTCTACATATGGCTAGCCAGTTTTCCCAGCACCATTTGTTAAATAGGGAATCCTTTCCCCATTGCTTGTTTTTCTCAGGTTTGTCAAAGATCAGATAGTTGTAGATATGCGGCATTATTTCTGAGGGCTCTGTTCTGTTCCATTGATCTATATCTCTGTTTTGGTACCAGTACCATGCTGTTTTGGTTACTGTAGCCTTGTAGTATAGTTTGAAGTCAGGTAGTGTGATGCCTCCAGCTTTGTTCTTTTGGCTTAGGATTGACTTGGCGATGCGGGCTCTTTTTTGGTTCCATATGAACTTTAAAGTAGTTTTTTCCAATTCTGTGAAGAAAGTCATTGGTAGCTTGATGGGGATGGCATTGAATCTGTAAATTACCTTGGGCAGTATGGCCATTTTCACGATATTGATTCTTCCTACCCATGAGCATGGAATGTTCTTCCATTTGTTTGTGTCCTCTTTTATTTCCTTGAGCAGTGGTTTGTAGTTCTCCTTGAAAAGGTCCTTCACATCCCTTGTAAGTTGGATTCCTAGGTATTTTATTCTCTTTGAAGCAATTGTGAATGGGAGTTCACTCATGATTTGGCTCTCTGTTTGTCTGTTGTTGGTGTATAAGAATGCTTGTGATTTTTGTACATTGATTTTGTATCCTGAGACTTTGCTGAAGTTGCTTATCAGCTTAAGGAGATTTTGGGCTGAGACGATGGGGTTTTCTAGATAAACAATCATGTCATCTGCAAACAGGGACAATTTGACTTCCTCTTTTCCTAATTGAATACCCTTTATTTCCTTCTCCTGCCTGATTGCCCTGGCCAGAACTTCCAACACTATGTTGAATAGGAGCGGTGAGAGAGGGCATCCCATGACAGCTCATTTTCGCCAGCAGTCTGAGTGTTCTCATTTCCCTATAGTCTCCAACACCTGATATTGTCTGACTTAAAAAATATTTGATAATCTAAAAGATGTGAAACAAATGATCTTTGAAATTAAAAACATTAAAAGGATTATATAACATCCCACCACTTATACCCCCGACTCCTCAGTGGGGTTGTTACACTTAAAATAAAATCCCCACATTTTTTAAAAAACCATAGCCTATTAAGGTCATGCATATCTGAATCTCCACCATTCCTTCTTTCCTTCCTCTATTTTACTCCAGATGCCCAGGGCATACTTGAAGCCTTTACATTGGCAGTTCTTTCTGCCTGGGTAGTTCTGCTTCCAGCTGTTAGCTTGGCTGTCAGCTTATCCTTGAGGCATCAGGATGAGGGGTTAAATGCTACTTCCTCAGAGAGGACTTCCTAGGTCATCCTGTCTAAGGAAGCCAGCTAGCTATTTAGTGCTTCCCTTTCCCCATTTGATTTCTATCAGATCACATCCTTTCAAACCACAATCTGTTTATTTATATTTACTTGTTCATTATGTATAGACAACATAGTGCTGCTTTCCTTCCAAAGACAGCTTGATGGAATCTCTCTCCAGCAAACTGTCTTTGGTGTTCCATGCTAACTCAGAATTATGCAGGAAGAGGCATTTTGGGAACTGTAGTTCCAGTTCAACCAGGTTGATACAATACAAATATACCATAAATCCAGCATTCTTCTTATCGGTTAGGAAGGGAACATGTATTTACTGGATGTCTTTTACAGGCCAGGGACCAAGCTAGGTGACTTACACATATTCTTACTTAATCCTCAGAACAGCTTTGAAGTAGATGATATTATTCTCGTTTTATAGAAGACTGAAGCTCTAAGAGGTTAAACAGCTTGCTGCATGTCATATAGTTACTAAGTGATGTCATTGGTATTTAAATCCAAGCCTTTCCATTTCCTAAACCTATTCATTTCAATTACATAGTCCCAGTTTTAAAATTATAGATAATTTTATTGCTACTTATGCCATTTTGGCAGATTAATTTTGCCTTTAAAAACTAAGCTGCCAGTGATCATTGCTTTTTATCTGTATAGGGGGAGATAACTGATTGGATTGTCCATTGTAGCCAAGATGATTGTACGGGGCAGCGGGTCTCAACGATTAATGGGCATAGGAATAAACTTGGCCTCAGAAAACGTATTCCTCACAAGTGATTCTCAAGCTTGCTTGAGGGTTAGAATCACCTGGGGTGTTTGTCAAAGCTACATATTTTCAGCCTGATGTAGTGGCTTGCACTATAATCTCAGCTAGTTTCGGGGGCTGAAGGGGGTGGATTGATTGAGGCCAGGAGTTCAAGATTAGCTTGGGCAACATAGTGAGACCCCCCCCACCCAACCTCCATAGCTAAAAAAAAAAAAAAATACATATTTCCAAGCTACTCCCCAAGTGATTTGATACATCAGGTTTAGGGAGGGATTGGGAAACCGTGTTTTTAAACAAGTGCCCCCAAACAACTTGTATCGTAAGGCAAATTGGGAAACACTACCTTAAAAAAATTTTGAGGAAGTAGCAGCTAACTTGAATTTGAAAAAGAAGGTCCCTGGAGTTTAAGTAAGAATGGCAGGGGTTCAAGATATGCTTTGCAGATGCAACCAGCTTTTATGAGCAGATGTTATTTATACAACTGAATATAGGCAGAAATGTGGGAGTATTCCAATAGTGAGGTTTGAAACAGGAAGAGAAAACACCTCTGTGCATTTCAAGAGTCGGTAGCAAGGGTGAAGGAAGGGCTGGGAAAACAGTCAGGGGAAGGCAAGGTTATGGAAAGAGTTGTAACTGCAGGAAACCACTAGCATCCCAGGGCTAAGAAGTAAAAGGAGAAACTGAGTGATTGAGAAGCAGGAGGCTGCTGAGGCTCCTGCTCTGGAGTGGATTTCAGGCTTAGCTACTCAGAGCCATTGATGGAGGGCTGCTGAAACTAGAGGAGGGGTAGGGAGAGAGAGAAAGAGATAGAATGAACAATGGCTTCTGCCTTCTTCCTGCTCTTTAGTTTCCCCCAGCGCCTCCCATTGGCTGAACCTGACTGGAATTTAGCTGGGAAGGGAGTGTGGGATTGTAGTTTCCAGGTGTCCAGTGCGCTGTGATACAGAGTAGAACGCAGATGGTGCACACAGGCCTGAGAGCCAACAGGTGAATAACCAGCCAGAGCACCCAGAAAAAACACGGTCATCACGTGAGGCAGCCTGTATGTGGGAGGAAAAAAAAATCACTGTTGAAAGTAGGGACTAGTTAAAGTTTAGGTTTGTAACAGTACTGTCCATTTAAATTGGAATTATTGGTTAACACTTACCCTGTATGATATAGTTTATGACTTAGCAAATGGAAAGGGAGTCTATTGTCATTGCCTAAGTCAGGAGTTGAAACTAGCAGCCCTTGGGATGGGTCAAGAGCATAGCCCTATTTTGAAAAGCCTACACATTTTTAAAAAGTTTGAATTGTTTGTCAAATGTGAAAATCATATTTCACATAAAAATTAAAAATTTCAGCTTCTCTTGAAATATTAGAATATTTGGAATGTTAAAATCTCATTCTAACATGGCAACAACCAGCTGGAAGAAGTAGAGTGGCAGCCCTAGATAGCATATATTCTTCATACATGTCTTCCTCACATTGTGCGGTCTCAGTGGGCATTTTCATTTGCCACCACTGGCCTTAACATATCTTTACATTTTTATTTGTAAATTTATAAAGTTTTAGTTTATAAGTTTATAAAAAATGTGAGAAAAGAGGTTTGTCTATGCCTGAGGTAATTTATTACTTTTTGTGTACCATATTGAGAAGGAATATTGATGATGAGGTTGATAATGATGATGATGAAGAAACTACTAATCACCAGGTGGCAATATCCAGATGTGAATACTGATCATCTGGGAAGATATTAAAAATCTTCTCTAGCCCTGCAAGCCTAGCCTTTTAATGTGACCCAAACGTCACATTAGTGCGGCATTTGTTTGTTTCTAAAAAATTGGGGTCTAATGTTAAACTCCCTCTGGATACTTAATGCCTAAGTCCCTTCACATCACATCCTTATAGGGAAGAGAGGGATCACAGATACCTATAATCCTCTTTTCTGTTTCCTCAGTAAGCAAGTAACTATAGAAACACACTTAAGCAAACAGCTTGGTGACCATCCTGAACTCTGAGAAACTTCAAAAATTAACTTGCTGCTGGACAGAAACTTTGATTAGGAGCTCTTCAAAGATGTTTTCCTTCACATCAGCTTAAAATTATTACCTGGTTTTGCTACTAAGGTTTTAAGAACTGTTTAAGCATAGTTCTACAAAGAACAAGGATTTTTATCCAGTTGACACTAGGTCAGTATCTTGTCTTTATATTTGCATGTGAGCCTTATAAAGGAACGGAAAAATGTATTTGTTGTATCATTTATGTAAAAATGGGGACCAAAGCTGGAAATTTCAAAGCTGTGTGATTTACTAAGACTAGTAAGGGAGATGGACAGTTAAAGGAAGTCTTTGACTTAGGTAGTGGACTCCAGGGACTGTTTCCTCCCCTCTTCCCACTTGCCAGCATTCCTGTTGCAGTGATGAAAGTCTTGGAAGTTTCAGTCCCTGCTGGGAATTCCAAGTGGACTAAGAGAAAGGGGCTTCCAGATAATCAGCTTTCCTAAATGTCTTCCCTCCCATTATCTGGAAAAGAAATAGTGGAAGAGATGCAGCAGCATTTTATTAGAATCTATTTTATTAGGTAAAATATAAAACATTTGTTTATTATAAGTCAGTAAGAACAGTAAGTCTGTTTTTATGAACACAGACATTTGAAATCAATTTCCGGTTGACCGCTGTGGCTTTATAACCTCAAAATCCAGTTCATGTCTGAATTTTGTTTTGGCTGCAAATATTGAGAAAGTTCCAGTCCACATGAAGAAGTTGCAAATGGATAAAAGATTTTAAACAGCTGTTTTTGCAACTTAGGATATGTTTTAATAAAATAGAAGTGGGAGGAGATTATTCAGAATTTTGCACACAAATAAGTAAACATTGTAGCATGAGTCTGTGTTGGTGCCACCCAAATGTGTTAAAATTAGAAGTATTTAAAAGTTAAATTTGGCCAAAAAGCATATGAAAAAATGCTTAACATCATTAATCATTAGGGAAATTAAATCAAAACCACAATGAGACACCATCTCACACCAGTCAGAAGGACTATTATTAAAAAGTCAAAAAATAGCAGATGCTAGTGAGGCTGTGGAGAAAAGGGAAGACTTATACACTGTTGGTGGGAATGTAAATTAGTTTGGCCACTGTGGAAAGCAGTTTGGAGATTTCTCAAAGAACCAAAAACAGAACTATCATTTGATCCAACAATCCCATTACTGGGTATATACCCGAAGGAATATAAGTTGTTCTACCACAAAGACACATACACATGTTTGTTCATTGCAGCACTTTTCACAATAGCAAAGACACAGAATTAACCTAGATGCCCTAGGTGGATTGGATAAAGAAAATGTGGTATATATATACACCATGGAATACTATGCAGCCATGAAAAATAACAAAATTGTGTCCTTTGCAGCAACATGGATGTAGGAGGAGGCTATTGTCCTAAGTGAATTAACACAGGAACAGAAAACCAAATACTGCCTGTTCTCAATTATAAGTGGGAGCTAAACACTGAGTACACATCAACACAAAGAACTGCAGCTTACTTGAGAGGGTGGGGGTGGGAGAGGGTGAGGATCAGGAAACCACCTATCATGTACTATACTCACTGCTTGGGTGATGAGAAACCACCTATTGAATACTACACTCACTACCTGGGTACACACCTACCCCTAGTGACATGCAACTTACCCATGTAAAAAATGTACATGTGTACCCACCGAACCTAAAATAAAAGTTGGAAGAAAAAAAGTTAAACTTTTGGGTGGGTGCAATGGCTCATGCCTGTAATCCCAGCACTTTGGGAGGCCGAGGCGGGCAGATCACATGAGGCCAGGAGTTCCAGACCAGCCTGGCCAACATGGTGAAACCCTGTCTCTACTAAAAATACAAAAATTAGCCAGGCGTGGTGGCAGTCACCTGTAATCCCAGCTACTTGGGAGGCTGAGGCAGGAGAATCACTTGAGCCCTGCAGGGGGAGGTTGCAGTGACCTGAGATCATGCTACTACACTTTAGCCTGGGCGACAGAGTGAGACTTTGTCTCAAAAAAAAAAATTAAGCTTTTAAAAATTAATTTTTAACTATAGTAATATCTACACATAGTTAAAACATTAGATAGTACAAAAAGCTTATAATAAAATGTAGTAGTTCCTTTCCCCAGCATTCCCCACCCATGATTCTATCCCACTAAATACAACTACTTTCAACCACTGTAGCTGTTTATTTTCTTTCTTTTTCTTTTATAAAAGTGAAAACAAGTTTATTAGGAAGGTAAAGGAATAAAAGAATGTCTTCTCCACAGGCAGAGCAGCCTGTAGCTGTTTCTTTCAGTGTTTACCTCCATGTCTCAAATCTTATTCTGTACTTTCTTGACTTACCTGTTGTGAACATTATCTATTAAATTTTCTTCGTGGTAGTCGAGGATTGTGCTCTCTCTCTCCCCACTCTCTCTTCTCTCCTACATTATCCTCAGCCCCCATTTTCCCATTAGTGAAGCTTTGGTTAAACCATAGTCAGTGTTTACATGAAAATGGTGATGTAAATATCATTGTCTTACTGCCAGCCAGATAATCTACCATGATCATTTCTGTTACAACTTCCATTTTTCCTTGAGTTGATAATTGCTTTATTTTTTTCTCATTTGTTTGGTTTACTATATGACTATTACGGGCTAAATTGTGTCGCCACAAATTTCAGATGTTGAATCTCTAATCCCTAGTACCCCAGAATGTGACTATATTTGAAGACAAGAACTTTAAAGAGGTGATAAAGTTAAAATGAGGCTGTTGGGGTGGGCCCTAATCCAATGTGACTAGTGTCCTTATAAGAAGAGGAAAAGGCACCAGGGATGTGTGTGCACAGAGAAAGACCATATGAGGACATAGTGAGAAAGCAACCATCTGCAAGCCGAGGAGCGAGGCCTCTGAAAAAACCAAACCCACCAATTCCTTCATCTTGGACTACTAGCATCTAGAATTGTCAGAAAATAAATTTCTGTTGTTTCTGCTTGCAGTCTGTGGTGTTATGGAAGCTCAAGCAGAAGAGCTGACTGTTTTTTTCCAAATGGTCCAACGAGCTTATTCATAATTTTTCCAAACTCTCCAAAGCAATTCCAAACATTCTGTCAGTTCCACCCCTCCTTCCCTCATCTCCCACAAGCCTTCTTTCAGGGATGCCACAAGCTAATATGGAACCTTGGCTCATATGGGGTATAACGGAGGGCTTGGGCACTCAGCCCTCCATGAGAACACCTAGCTTGGTGAGCCATGCACGGGCTGGGCTTCAGTCCCTGCTGATGTGAGTGGTGTGTCTGTAGGCAGAACATAATCCAGACTTAGTGCCCTGCCCGCTGTCCTCCTGCTGTGTTCTCTCTACCTCTTCTCTAATCCCTCTCCGTCATCCCCAACCTTCCCTTTACCACATTTGGTTCGCCTGTTTCCTGGTTCTTACGTTATTCTCTTTTTTTGTTTTATTCCCTCCTTTTGCTGAAGCAAAACTTCCAGTGATTTTCTAAAACCAATACACAGGAAGTCAATTGTTTGAGTCCTTAAATGTCTGAAAATGTTTTTATTGTATCCTTACACTTGATTATCAGTTTGGTCAAGTATAAATAATTGGGATTGAAAATGATTTTTCCTCAGAACTTTGAAGTTATTGGTCTACCATATTCTGGCGCCCAGTGATGAAAGCTCCAGAACCTTTCTGATGATCTGAATAATAGTATTGATATAAATGAGGAGTATCTTGGGAACCAAAAGGAAACCCATTTAAATATAGTAATTTGCAATTGTATATGCAAGATTATACAAGAGTACATGTAATGTTACATTATGAAATAATACATGCAAAAGAGCTTAGGAAACTCTGAAGTGTTAGACATGAAAAAAAAAAATTTTAGCCACAATTTTGACCTCAGTTGTATGTACGTTTGATAATATGGAAGATACCACCGCCCTCCCCCTACCCCAGCTTATGTATAATTCAGTTGACTTTTATTTTAGGTTGGATCCAAGTTTAGTTCTAAACAATCATTTAAGAAAACAATCAGTTAAAGAAATATAGAGAAAAGGCCTTCTTTGTGTGATATGGAAGGAGGCCTCAAACTGAGATAGGCCATAAAATTATCGTTGGGGAAAATGTGCACTTCTGTCGTTACAAGCACATTGCACAATCTAAAATTCATTCAACAAATGTTTACTGGGCAGTGCGCTGTGCCAGGCCCTGTGCTGGGTGGGGGGCAGAGAGGACTGAGCCACTTGGACCTGGCCTCCACTCTCCTGGTGTCCATTTTGAGGGGAGGAGACGGACATGAACAAATTAGAATGTGTGAAGCAGTTAATTACACTAAAGTAAGATGAGTTTTGTAACAGAAGGAATGCAACGGGCAATGGGAGCCCCTGGAGGGTGGGATCCTAACCTGGGGAGTCATGTGAGCCAGGCCTCTGGGGGAGGTGAGGTTTAGGCTGAGAGTAGAGAATGGGAGAGGTACTCAGCACTTTGGGAGGTGGGAGGATCGCTTGAGTCCAGGAGTTCCAGACCAGCCAGGGCAACACAGTGAGACCTCCTCTCTCTCTCTCACACACACACACACGCACACGCACACACACATGAAGGGGTGGAATGAGCCATGAGCCACGTGAAGTGGCCAGAAGGGAGGAGAGCTCCAGATAGAGAGAATAGTGTCTCCTAGGTATAGGGGAAAAGTGCCGTTTTAAGAACTTAAAGAATTTCTGTGTGGCTGTACCATGTGGGGAGACAGGTGGTGAGACAAAGCTGGAGAGTTTGGCAGGGGCTCAACAGCGGAGAGGTTTGGTCTTCATCCAAATAGCAACCAGAAGCCATTGCAAGGTTTTGGAAAGGGGAGTGACACGATCAGATTTGCTTTTTACAAAGAATGCTTTGCGTGGGTGGGAGAAAGGATGGAGGCTCTAGTCACCCAGGAGAGAGACAAGGTGGTCTGAGTATGTGTTGGAGGTTGAGAAAAAAGCAGGAAGATTCTGGGAGACAGAACTAAGGTGCCATTTTGTTCTCCTGGAAGAGAGAACAAGTTCTGTCAGAGGCTGAGAGCTATGGCTGGTAGGGGAAGGTAGAACAGGGATGGTGCGACAGTGACCAGGCACAGAGTGTCTCCAGAGTCACACAGTTCCTGCGGGTCAAGGCCTATAGGCATATCCACCCAGGAAAAAAAATCAGGAAACCCTGTGGCAAACGTCCGGGGTTGAGCAAGTTTCTGAAGGCAAGCAAAAGTGTGAGAGCAGAACATTGTGAAGACAGGCAGTTGGCAAAAGTCAGGTACTGGCCACCTAGACATGAGATGACCTTGAAGCTGATGCATGATTCTGGTCAGCAGGGTTTTCTGAGCACTCTGTGAGGGTAGGAGTATCCTGCAGAGTGGTGGCCTCCCAGAGAGGACAGGTACCCGCAGGTAAGTGAAGGCTCCCATCAGTTCTGCCAACTCTGCCTTCAGGATGCAGAAGTAGATCAGACATGGCTCCTCAGAGGTGACTCAGGCATGCCAACAGGACAAAAAAAGCAATACTCTCCAAGAAGGGGATATAATATGTTCCATTGTCCCAAAGTATTTGTTCACAGAATGCCTTTTCTATGGAGCATCTCATGGAATGTGAAGTGAGTTCTGTTGAACTCAGTTTGGCAAGTGTGCACTTGGTTAATTGCCATTATGGAAGTGTGTATGAATTATGGAGGACCACAAGATAAGGTACAGCCAAGCATACCCTGGGAGGTCAGGGAAGGCTTCCAGAAGTGATGGTATTTCAGCTGCTACTTGAAAGGCCTGACAAGGCAGCAACTGGGGGGAAGTTCAGAAAGAGGAGAAGACTCTTCGGAGGGTAGAGCTAGTACTATAGTAAACTCAGTGGGACTAGCACACTGCATATTACATAGGACTTCAATGTTTCACCATGACGAGAATCACCACTGTGGATAAAAGGGTTTTGGGCCCTTGCAGCAGGTGTGGTTCTGAAAGATAACTTCTGAGTAAGGACTGAAGGAGAAATATGGAAGGATGCAGATAGGATGAGTCCATGGGAACTGGATAACGGCTGGCAGCAAGGAATTCTCAAGTCCTTGCCGCAGTAGTGGGAGAAGGAACATCACCTAAGTTGGGCCTGTTTGGGTTTGAGGTTTGGTTTTTGATTGGTTGAATGAATGGTTTATTGGTATTCTGTAGAAACAGATTAACGTGAATTTGTTCACGGCTTTTCAGACTTGGAATAGCTAAGTTCCTCATTAGGGGATTTATTCTTCACTAAAATGCGGCCAGATGCTGTGCTATAATAATAAAGTGACCATAAGAGGGCGCCAAAGACAAAAGTATGTTGCTGTTTTCGGCAGAATAACTTCAACAGAACACTGAAAATAGGACATAAAAGGAAAGGCAGAGATCTGAAGGGGGCAAGGAAGAAAAAGAAGACAGGATGAACTCACCAGCAGAGGGTTACAGATTTGTTTATCGTCTTGGTAGCAAAGTATTAAAATTACAGAGCAAAACAAAATCTACCCACTTTTCAACTAGTCTGCTTTAGAAAGGGACTTAAGAAAATGTATTCTGAAGTACAGTTTGTGTTTTGCCTCCAGACCCTGAAAGCGTTTGTGGGTGAATAGTCCCCTTCCTCTTTCTCCAGGCTCTAAGTGAAGTGAAGATAATCCCTTCAGTTTTCACTCCTCGGAGTGCAGGTCAGAAAGGGCTAAAATAGGCAGGACATTTCTTCTGGCAGTCTCATCCTTGGTTGCTTCTAGGGGAAAGATGAAATTCGATTTCATTGTACTTAAAATGTCCGAGTCAACTTAAACAGAAATACTTGTTTTTTGTTTTCCAAATGAATGAAGCCAGTTTGGAGCTCCTCTGCTTTTCTTTCTGCAATGCTAATATATCCTTTTGTATACCCAATACCCATGACTTGAAAGAGCTTTAATAGAGTCACATGATTTTGAGACTTCTTCACATTGTTTAGAAATACTCATTTGAATGGTAGAAAATTAAATCTTTTTGCCCCTTCCTTTCCTATATTTTATATTTACAAACAGCTAAAACGCTAAGCTTCTTTAAAATAAATGAATTTCAAAGAATTCTGTGATCCATAATAGACTATTTGGAATTATTATTAAATAACAGAAATTTATCTTGAATTTTGTTTAAACCCAGGAGCATAAAGTAAGAATTGTTCTTTTAAGGAAACAGAGCTCTTTCTATGTGGTGCAAAATCTCCCAGTGACAGCTGAAGAATTCAGCTTATAAATAATCATCCATAGGAAAGTGCAAAGGGCCCCTAAAACCTTGGGGTGGCCAGTCTTCCCTGGACACTTAAAAAACTCAAAATAGATTCACCAGAAAGTATAAAATCATCTCTCAGAATAGGAGCTTGTCTGCCTCACTAATCATACATACTGTATATATTATATATTTTTCTTTTCTTTTTTATTTCTTTTTGGTGAGAGTATTTTTTAAAAAGTTGTGTGGCCGTGATACAGGTAATTGCTTAAGCTTAAAAAAAAACTACACTGAACAACAAATCTCTGATAGTGTTTAACACTGAAAGCTGTTACCATGGAATTGAGGAAGCAGTTTTTATCCTAGAGAAGAGCTGGGCACAGAGACAATGAACAAGGTTAGGAATAAATGGGTATCTTGTGAATAGAGAAGTGCTAAAAGTGGGGACCTCGTGGGATCGGTGTTTTGTGCATCTGTAATAAATGACCAGAAAGAGATGAAGGACAATAAACTCTTCCGGTTTGTGGAGGATACCAAATGCACAGAATCCTAGCTGGGCTGAGAGTCCAACGTACTCAGAAGGGAGGAGAGAAGGCAGAATCAAGTAGAGAAAGAGAGAGAGAGAGAGAAAGAGAATGCGAGGGTGGGATATTGTGAATCAGGAGTTTATGCCAAGTTCAAAGTTACAGAAGAGTTGCAGTAGGATGTGATGATAGAGCCAGGGCTTGGCTGTGTGGACTGTGTAAAAATGTAACTCATCAGTTATCCGTTATTGCCAAATAGGGGATCTACTTAGCTTGGGTTCCAAAGGACTGAAGATTAACCCCTTACATGCTAAAAGTTTCGCATAAGCCTTTTAAAATGGATACTTTTAAATGAAAGGAAATGTTCTTCTGCCTTGATGTAAGAAACACAAGAGAACATTTTCTTTTTCACTAGGTTCACAGTTATAGGGATGTGTGTGTTACACATCTCTGAATGCCCTGCAGTGTTTGCATTTGGAAGGGGTGCAACAAATACCGGTGTCATTAGTGAATGTCAAATGGGTACCACTGTCTGTAGGAGGCAGGTAGAACGTGTCTAGAATCCTGTGCTAGGTTGTTAAAACTATTTCATCTCTCTCTGTCTCTCTCTCTGTCTCTCCGCCACCATTGTGTCTTCTCCTTTTTCTTCCCTCCCTCTCTTTCATGAAGTATATCAAACATACAGAAAAGAATTGAGAACAATTTAATGATTATTTCAGTGCCAGTATTAACGTAACATTTTTGTAACAATATTAACATTTTATATGCTTGTGTCAGAGTATTTTTTAAATATACAAAACATTAGATATCCAATTGAAGACTGTGGATTTCTCCAAATCCTTTTCTCTCCCTTCCTCCCTCCTTCCTTTCTCCTTTCCCAGAACTAATCACTTTCTCAAAGTTAGTGCATATTTTTTCTGTCTGATATATATTTACTACATTACATATGTTTGTTTCAATAAGCAATGTATAGCTTTTTTGAGGTATTTTAAAAACTTTACCTAAATGGTACACTGTATTAATATAATTCTGCAGATTGCTTTGGTCATTCGACATTATGATTTTGAGGGATAGATCAGTGATGTATTTAGATCCAATTTATTCATTTCAGTTGCTGCTTTGTATTTTGTTATTTAATTTAGTAAAATTAAATTATCTATTCACCTTTTGATGGACATTTAGATTGTTTACAGTTTTTCACTGCTAACAAGCAATGCTGTAATGGATGTTCTTGTATCACTCTTTGTGACTCCCTTAAGCATATGGCTGAGAATTTTCTACCTATACACTAGCCACTGGAAGTGTGGCCAGCCCAAACTGAGCTGTGCTGTAAGCATAAAATACATTGGATTTTGAAGACTTAGCATAAGACAAGAATACTAAAAAATCTCAATGATGTTATCATATTGACTATATGTTGAAATGCTGATACTTGGATATATTGGGTTAAACAAAATAAACTCTTAAAATTAATGGTTATCTGTTTAAAAAATTTATAGTGTGGTTACTAGAAAAATATAGAATGTGGCTTTCATTCGTGACTTACATATTGGACTGTGTTGCTATTAATATGTTTCTCTAGGATTTGGGTTTTAAGTATTCTTCTCCTTTTCTTTTCTATTCCTTCTTTTTGCTCTTAACGGCATTTGATTTTTAGAGCCATTGCTTACCTATGAAGGAGTTCCTTCCATTGCAAACCCACCAATCATGTCCCTCCTTCTGTAATCTTCACTCTTAGATTCTCCCTGGCTTTTTAATTTCTGCCTGTACAGGGTGGCTGCTAGGGACACTTGTGTGTTTTCAGATGCTCTGGATGGCTGAGGGTGTTTGATGCTTGACTAGCGGATAAGAGAGGTGTGACTTCATTATTTATGGAGTTTTGGGGTTATCACAGCATTCCATTATGCCTTCTCAAAATTATTGGTTTGAGATTCTGCTTAAGGACACAGATTTAGCTCTAAGCTATCACGCCCAAACTTATAGTATCTGTGAGTCAGCTTCTCTACCCAAGGAACTGAATAAATCTCTGAAATGCTAATCCATCTTTAAGGAGCCCAATAGTCAAGGTTTCAAGGGAAACGTTCCCCTCCCTTTCTCCCCCACGAACCCCTGCCATTATTCTCTCTAAGAAGGCAGGGATTTGAGACACTCTCAATCCTGCTTGAGACAGGGATTGGGTATGCACCATTCTCGCTGCTATCACAGCAGCCTAAAAGATGGCAGCTAAGCCAAGCTGGAAGAAGCTTCTGTTCCCTATAGTGGTGGCTCCCCCATGTGTGACACGGCTCTGCTCTCTCGGCATCACCATTTCCAATGAGAAAATAAATTGCTTCTGTGCAGTCGCATGCAAAGCAGAGAGCCCTTTTAGCTGGCTGGAGCTGGGAGGTTGATAGAGAGCAGGAATTCTATGCACCAATTGTTAGTGGGTAGAGCTAGGGATGATTTTTCATTGTCTGCTGAACTCCAAGCATACCCTCTTGGAGTGGGTCTCAAATTTGAAAACAAATCTTCACAGTGACTTTTCCAACCTGCTTGGCTTTAGAAGGATGGAGCTGTTGCCCAAATTTTTCAAAATCCCACCAAGTTGAGTGACACCACTTCTATTTGGGCAGAAATATTTCTACTTGTCATGTAACACTCCTATCTTCAACCAAAGCTTTGTTTACACAAGCAGAGGGATTGTGCTGCTGTTAAAACGTGGGCTTTGTGGTTAGGCAGAGCTGGATTTTAACTGGAGCTCTACCACTTTTATCAGCCCTGTCGGCTTGGACAAGGTATGACCACCACAAGGCTCATTTTATGCACCTGTGAAGTGGAGACAATGACAGTACTTACTTTATAGGTTACTGGAATTACTATTACCCTGATTACAACTATTATTATAATGTAAGCCAATTTGAAAAGATTCACCTGACTCAAGCAACTGGCTGCTTTGGGCTGGTTAGTACGCTTTAACCTGTTGTTTTCAAGCTAACTTTGAGAGGTTTGGTTCATAAACTTGTTAACTCAATTTTTCTGGAAGAGTGATTTTCAAATGGGTACGCTGTCTCCACCTTTAAGATATTGTTTCAGGATTTTGACACAACATGGCTCCCCCAAAAATCTCATTTAATTTTACATTATGGTTTGAATTTAGAAAATTCTATAGAAATAAAACATTTTTATTCCACCATTCTAACTGTGGGCTAGAAATTGTGACAAACTCTTCTTGGCTGCTAGGGCTATGTGGAATACAGATTCTAAAAGTGATCTTGGCTGGGTGTGGTGGCTCATGCCCATAATCACAGCACTTTGGGAGGCCAAGGCAGAAGGAACCCAGGAGTTTTGAGACCAGCCTGGGCAACATAGGGAGACTCCATCTCTGCAAAAAATAAAAAATTAGCCGAGCTTGGTGGTGCACACCTGTAGTCCCAGCTATTCAGGAGGCTGAGGTGGGAGGATAGTTTGAGCCCGGGAATTCGAGGCAGTGAGCCATGATCATGCCACTGCACTCCAGCCTGGGTGACACAGCGAGACCCAGTCACAAAAAATAATAAAAAAAAGAAGTGCTCTTCAAGGTGGAGAGAGATGTGTATGTGTGAGATTTTCGTGATGAAGAAAAAAATCACTAAAACCACCTTAGAGCTGATTTCTCCTTTTCACTTGAACTCCTGCAATTCTGTTACCTGCCACTAGATGTGTGTGAGCTCCATTAAGCACTGCAGCTGTTAGGACTCAGAGATATCAGCATAATACATCTATTCCCAGCTAATCCGGTTTTTCCACTTGTTCTATAAAATATAATTTAATTTTATCTATTGATTGTGTTTATAAGAAATACCATCTGAGGCAAGATGGAGGAAAAGAGAGTTAGTGAGTGGGGTTAGGCCATGCATCCTCAAAGGTCAGAATTTACTCCAGGGGGGATGAAAATTGGTTCTTGGGAGGCAAAATCTAACTCCTCTTATGGATAGAGTGGAGATACTCAGACATTACCTAAATGGATATATGGTATATCTTTTGTTTTAAAATCAAATGGGGTAGAAGTTAGGGAAAAATGCCTAAAACTGCTCCTTAGGCAGGTGATAAATAGATAAAGCCTGAGAAATCCAGCTTAGGCTTCTGTGGTGGTTCATCTGGTTTTTGAAGATGTGATGGACTGCTGAGGCCCAGATGGTCACTGGGCTTTTCTCAGGGCTCAGAGTCTCCAGATGTGCTCAACTCCCCGACTAGGCTTTCTGCATGGAGGGGCTTGGAGTGAAAATCCTCCAGCAGCTTTTATACTCCTATAAATACATTACCTCAATGAGCTTGCTTGCAATAGCTGCCTTACTGCATTTTCTTTCTGATCTTCAACTTGGCCTTCAAAACCTATCCCTTTTGTATTTTCCCTGATATTGCTGTCTACTTCTAAAATAAGAGAGGGAGAGACTTCCACTGATGGGTGAACCTCTGTTTTGTTTTGCTCCCAACTGTATAACCCTTCACTTTCAGACAATAGGTGGGTGAGTGAGTTACTGTGTTAATCCACATTATAGGCTGCTCTTTCCACTCGTATAACCAATTCCATGCAGGACTTGGCTCCACAGGTAAAGGAGCCCGCTGCTGTCTCAGGGTGGAGGTGGGTGTCCTTCCCTCTCCACAGCCGGGCAGAAACAATCCTGCTTTACTTCCTTCCACTACAGGAGCTTATTTAGGCTTCTAATGTTTTTTTTTTTTTCTTTTATTTCTCTCTACAGTCGTGTGCCCCACAACGACATTTTGGTCAACAATGGACTGCATATACCATGTGGCCCCATAAGATTATAATAGAGCTGAAAAATTCCTGCTGCCTAGTGACATTGTCGCTGTTGTGATGATGTTGTAGCTATTGTAGTAGCACAATGCATTACTCACGTGTTTGTGGTGTTCCTGTTGTAAATAAGTCGACTATGCTGCCAGTTGTATAAACGTCTAGCACATGTAATTCTGTATAGTACACAATACTTGGTAATGATAATAAACGACTATGTTACTGGTTTATATATTTGTTGTACTATTTATCATTACTTTAGAGTGTATTCTTTTTACTTATTAAAAAAAGTTAACTGTAAAACAGCCTCAGGCAGGTCCTTCAGGAGGCATCCAGAAGAAGGCATTGTTATCATAGGAGATGACAGCTCCATGCATGTCATTGCCCCAGCAGACCGTCCAGTTCGGCAAGATGTGGCGGTGGGAGACAGTGGTATTGATGATCCTGACCCTGTATGGGCCTAGGCTAATGTGTGTGTTTGTGTCTTAGTTTTTAATAAACAGGTTTAAAAAAGTTATAAAAGATTTAAAAATAGAAAAAAGCTTATAGAATAAGATATAGAGAAAGAAAATATTTTTGTACAGCTGTACAATGTGTTTGTGTTTTAAGCTAAGTGTTTTTACAAAAGAGTAAAAGGTTTAGAAAAGTAACAAGTTTATAAAGCAAAAAAGTTACAGTAAGCTAAGGTTAATTTATTATTAAAGGAAGAAAAATGTTTTTAAGATGAACAGTGTAGCCTAAGTGTACATTGTTGATGAAGTCTATGGAAGTGTACAGTAATGTTGTAGGCCTCACATTCACTCACCATTCACTCACTGACTCACCTAGAGAAACTTCCAGTCCTGCAAGCTCCATTCATGGTAAATGCCCCATACAGTGTGGCATTAAAACTATTTTTTGTACTGGGCCTGTAATCCCAGCACTTTGGGAGGCCGAGGCAGGCAGATCACCTGAGGTCAGGAGTTCGAGATCAGCCTGGCAACATGGTGAAACCCTGTCTCTACTAAAAATACAAAAAAATTAGCCAGGCGTGCTGGCGGGCACCCGTGATCCCAGCTATTTGGGAGGCTGAAGCAGGAGAATCACTTGAACCTGGGAGGTGGAGGGTGGAGGTTGCAGTGAGCCGAGACCACACGACTGCACTCCAGCCTACGCAACAAGAACAAAACTGTCACACACACACACACAAAAATTCTTCGTACCATATTTTTGCTGTACCTTTTCTATGTTTAGATATGTTTCGATACACAAATACTCACCTTGTGTTCCAACTGCCCACAGTATTCAGTTCAGTAACATGCTGTTCAGGTTTGTGGCCTAGGAGCAATAGGCTGTACCTTAGTCCATTTCTCAGAATGTATCCCTGTCTGATGATGCATGACTGCATATGGTAGTGATGCCAGAAATCACACATGGCCCCAAATCTCCATTTCTTGGAGCAAAACATTTTCATATCCATGATTACCTCAATTTCTTTTTTTAAACTAGTAAGTTATGACCCATTGTCTCCAAATTTCAATGAAGTTTAGAAAACCCTCAATTATCAAATAAATAGAGACATTAATGATAAAAAAGTAGATAATGGAAGATTTTTTTTAGTTTCATATTGGGGCTATATAATGATTTTACATTCCCCTTGATGCTTTCTACTTTTTTTTTTTTTTTTTACAAGTTTTCTTTTTCTGTGCTTTGAACTTCCAAGGTAACACAGCCTCAGCTAAAATGTGCTGTTATGTCCGAGGTTGGCACACAACACATGGCAAAAGGGTCCTCCTAAAGTCAGATGTTTCTGGAACTAGGCCAGGAAAGGAGACTTTTGCAAGAGAAAGGCAGGATGTAATTCCAGTTGCTAGTTCCGTCGGATTCAGGTACAACCAATGGAGTTATTTAATACCACAATATAAACGGATGACTGGCTTGGAACTCATTTATTAATGTAGGAAAAGGTAACAACACCCCAGGGGAAAGACAGACCCCCAGAATCCTAGAAATGTCTGGGACTGGGGAGCCTCCATTGGCTGAACCACTGGACTTTCATGTGTTCTTGTGCTAGGGATGCAGAGAAAAATACATTTTTTTAAAAGTCCAGATTTGATGTTTACTTGGGTAGTGGAGAAAAAGTAATACTTTTTGTCATCCATCACCAGGTTCATGGCTAGTATCCCTGAAACAAAAGACAGGTTAACAAGAGACAAGAATAACAAACTTATTTAGCATGAGTTTTACGTGATGTGAAAGGCTTCAGAAACGAAGACCCAAAGAAATGGGGAAAAGTGTCTTTTTATGTTTGTTTGCTAAAGAGTAGATCGTAGTGTAGAAGTATGATTGGACAAAAGGGGATATGATCTAATGGTAATAAACCAGTGTGGGAGGCAAAGGACTAGCAAGGCCTGTTTATTCAGATTCTTCTTGGCCTCTCTGTGTAACAGGTATAAGGCCAGACACCTGTCACATAAACGTCTTTAAGAGAGAGGTGACAGAAGGAAGCCAGAGGGTCCTTTCTGCTTCTGCAGTTTTCTCATTTTCTTTCAGCTTAAAATACTTAGAATGCCAAGGTGCCATATTTTAGGGTAGTATTTCCCAGGACGCATCATTTGCATTTAAAATTGTTGCTGCTTCCCTCAGAAAGAAATACAAATGGAGGTATAAATATATTCTCATAGTGTTAGACATTTCACATGTGCTGTGCTTTCCTCATAAAACAGCCTTGCCCCCATGTGTCCTAGTGACAGTTTGATGATTTGGTGGTTTGTTGTTTCAATTTACATTTTCCTACTATGCTAATAATATTAGTTATATAATTGTGACATAGGACATAATTCTGGCCAATGAAATATGGGTGTTTAATTTTATAAGAAAGTGCCAAAGAGCCTTGCAAAGTGGTTTACTATTTTTCACTTTCATTAGAAATATATGAGAATTCCAGTTGCTCCACATCCTTGCCAACGCGTGGTATTGTTAGTCTTTAATTTTAGCCTTTCTGGTGAATTTAAAGTGGTATCTCATTATGATTTTACCTGATGACTAATGATATTAAGCATTTTTAAAAAATACTTTTTGGCCATTCAGATATCTTATTTTGTGAAATAATCAATTTTGAACTACTAGAATATCCTTGCATACTGTAAGAAATTCTACTTAGTCATGGCCAATTTTAAAAGCAATTTTCTTTGTTCATTTTGCTAATATTTTATTTGGTATTTTTAACCTTTATTTATGAATGAGATTAACCTATAATTTTTCCTCCTTGCACTCCCTGTTCAGTTTTGATATCAGGGTTATACAAACTTCATAAAATGAGTTGGGAAACCTTTCTTCTTTTTCTGTTCTTTGGGACTTTTTGATAATATAGGGGCTATCTACTTCTTGAAGGTTTGATAAAACTTAACTGTAGAACTGTCAGGGCCTGATAGTTTTATTGACTATGATTCTAATATAGTGTTCTATTTATTTTTTAGGCAATTTGATGATTTATAATTTTAATTTTAATCTCAATTTTTAACTTGATTGGCATAAGGTTTGCCATACCATTTCCTTTTGATTTTTAAACATCTAGGGAATCTATAGTTAGGTACTTAAAAAAATTTAATATTATTTTTTGTGCTTTCTCTTTTTTTTCTTTTGATCAGTCTTGCCAGAGGTTTGTCTATTTTATTGCTCTTTATCTTTTTCCATTTGTTGTCAATTTTATTAATTTCTTCTCTTATTTATTACTATTAATTTATTATTTCTGTCATTCTACTCTTTGATTTTTTTACTTGTTTCTTCTCCTAACTTCTTGTGATAGAACCTCAATTTACCTTACAATTTTCTTCCTTTATAAAATATGCTTTTGCTATGGTTTGAATATATGCATCTCCTCCAAAATTCATTTTGAAACTTAATCCCCAATGCGACAATATTGGCCTTTAGGAGGTGACTGAATCATAAAGGCTCTGCCCTCGTGAATGGGATTAGGTGCCTTTGTAAAAGGGCTTGATGGAGTGAGTTTGCCCTTTTTTTCATGCTTTCCATCTCTTCCACCATGTGAAGACACAGTGTTCATCTCCTGCAGAGGATGTAGAAACAAGGTGTCATCTTGGAAGTGGAGATGGAGCTCTCATCAGACATCAAACCTACCGGGGCCTTGTCTTCTTTATAAATTACCCAGTCTCAGGTATTTTGTTGTAGCAGCACAAGTGGACCAAGACAGCTTTCAAGACCAGAAATTTTCGAATATAAGTATCTCTTTAGGTATATTTCATGAATTTTGATATGTAGCTTTTCTGTTGTTCAATTCTTAAATGTTTTATATTTTGTTGCGACTCATTCTTTGTTTCATGAGTTATTTAAAACCATCTTTTATAAATTTCCAAATTCATGGGTCTTTTTGGGGTGAGATAATATTTTTCTTAATGAGTTCCTATCTTATTGCATTGCAGTCAGAACACTTGCTCTGAGTTGGTTGGTTTGGATGTCACAGGCATCAGCCTTTGACTCTTGGACCTAAACACTTTGAAATCAGCACTAATGAGATCAAAAAGGATGACGAGACCAGACAGAGTTAGTTAATGAAACCCCACAGAGGAAGAGTTTTCTGTGATGTTAATTTGGTAGTGAACATGGACTTTGTCCCATGGGACCGAATTTCCCATGGAGATTTGTTTGAAGTCCCTGGTTTCCTGGGTAGTACTCTTCAGGGATGCAGGCAATTGTGACCCCCACAGTCTGAGTAACTGAATATTAAAGTGGAAGTTTTAGCTGAGACTCAAAGACAATGGTTGAAGATAACACAGCAAGGGGCTGGACCATAATGCAAATTTGCAGAGAAAATATTTAAAAACTGATTTTATGTCTCTTAAACATGCGTTTATCTTAGGGGGAACAGCAGTTGTGTTTTTGGAGATTAGAGAGAATTTGTGAAGGGAATTTTTTTTGGAGAGAGTTTCATGGTGAGCAGTCCCCATCCTCAACATGAAGGGGTGAGTTGTGCCTGACTTCATCTCAAGCCTAGGGAGGGGCACTTTAATGGGTCTACTCAAAGTGCTTATATGATCCCTACAGAATAAAGCACACAATGGTCTGGTGTCTGACTCCTCTGACTCCCACTGGGTAAGTCTTAAAAGAGTAAGAGATGGGTTGGCTAACTGCTGGTGGATGATTCAGAGGTGTGGTGTCTGTGCTGGGATCACCCTGTGCAAGGAAATGGGGCATGAGTGTTTCCTAAGGACTGGATACTTGCATGTGCATGAAAGAGCTGAGTCCCAACCTGTAGGGGCTTCTGGTCAATGAAACCTGGTTGGCAAAAACTGGAGGTGAACTGGCTAGGGGCTGTGGACATAGGAGAGTGAGCAACTGGACTAGAGATGGGTTTGCCTGGGTCAAGAAAACTGCAGATGGGAAATCAATAGCAATGGAAATATCTGAATAACTTGTGAAAGTGCTTCACAAGAGAAGCAGGGTGGGATAGTGCCATCCAGGATTAACAACTGAGCTTAGGCTAGTACAAGTCAAGTAAGAACTTTCCTGCTTCCCTCACTCCTTTCTCTCCCTGAGCCCCAGTCCTAGAACGTCAGAAACAGCAGATGGGGAATGAGAGAGAAGGTGAGCCAGAAAGATGGAAGTCAATTACACTTCTTCCCAGGTAGTAAGCCATTGCTGGGGACGGGCAGTAGCTGTAACTTTGAGTGAAGTTAGAAGCATTGACTATTACGTGGGACTGGACATTCTAGCTGCCCTGTTGAAACTGTGCCTGTAAGAGTTTTTCCCGTAAGTGATCAGAGTAGTCATGGAAGCAACTGGAGTTTTACACTGGGTAAGAGTTCTTACTTTACTGAGTAAATTTTAAAAGAATACAGAAAGACAAAATAGGAATGCTCTGTGACTGCATTCCATGAATTGTGCTTCTTCTGTGTATTGATTTTATCCAATATAAAATGGAATTCTTGAGTCACTCAGAAAATTATTGCTTTATGGGGCTTCATTGTGAAGAAGGTGATGACCAAGGAAAATGATGTGGCAGCAGGTAATGTATTGGTCTTGGCACATTCTCTTTCATGCTCATCCTTAGAGGGGTAAACTTTGGGGCATCTGTCTTTTGTTTTTTTAACAGGGATTTTTTGTTTTTTATTTTTATATTTTATAGATTTAGGGCTACAAGTGCAGTCTATATTTTATAGATTTAGGAGAACAAGTGTGCAATTTTGTTACTTAGTTATATTGTGTAGTGGCGAAGTCTGGGCTTTTAGTGTAACCACCAGCCGAATAGTGTACATTGTGCCCAGTTTCTCATCCCTTACCTCTCTTTCATTATCCCATCTTTCTGAGTCTCCAGTGTCTATTATTCCTCTCTGTATGTCCATGTGTGCACATTATTTAGCTCCCACTTATAAGTGAGAACATGTGGTATTTGACTTTCTGTTATGAGTTATTTCACTTAAGCAAATGGCCTCTGGTTCCATCTATGTTGCTACAAAAGACTCGATTTCATTCTTTTTTATGGCTGAGTAATAGTCTATGAGTAGTATCCACTCATCCATTGTTAGTTGATTCCATATCTTTGCCATTGTGAATAGTGCTGTGATAAACATACAAGTGCAGTTATCTTTTTGATATAATGATTTCTCTTCCTTTGGATAGATAGCTAGTAGTGGGATTGCTGGATTGAGTGGTAGTTCTACTTTTAGTTCTTTTTGACATCTCTGTACTGTTTTCCATAAATGTGGTACTAATTTACATTTCCACCAACAGTGGATAAACATTCCCTTTTCTCTGCATCTTTGCCAACATCTGTTATTTTTAGACTTTTTAATAGTAGCCATTCTGACTGGTGTAAGATGATATCTCATTGTCATGTTTCTTTTTTTTTTTTTTTTTTGAGACAGAGTCTTGCTCTGTTGTCCAGGCTGGATTGTGGAGTGCAGTGGTGTCATCTCAGCTCACTGCAACCTCTGCCTCCTGGGTTGAAGAGATCCTCATGCCTCAGCTTCCTGAGTAGCTGGGATTACAGGCACGTGCCACTATGCCCAGATATATATTTTGTACCTTTAGTAGAGACAGGGTTTTCCATGTATGATAAACCCACAGCCAACGTCATACTGAATGGGGAAAAACTGAAAGCATTCACCCTAACAACTAGAACAAGACATGATGCCTACCTTCACCCTTCTTAAATAACACAGTACTGTAAGTCCTAGCCAGAGAAATCAGGCAAAAGAAAGAAATAAAAGGAATCTAAGTTGGAAAAGAGGAAGTCAAATTATGGTGCTGAGCTTTTATCTGTTGGGAGATTTTTTTTATTACTGAATCAGTGTTGCTACTCATTATTATGATTATTATTTTTTACGATTTCTATTTCTTCCTGGTTTAATGTTGAAAGGTTGTATGTTTCCAGGAATTTATCCATTTCCTGTAGGTTTTCTAGTTTGTGAGCATAGAGATGTTCATAGTAGTCTTTGATTATCTTTTGTATTTCTGTTATCAGTTGTAATGTCTCTTTTTTCATTTCTGATTGTGCTTATTTGAATCTTCTCTCTTCTTGATTAGCAGGTGAGAAGTCTATTAATTTTGTTTATCTTTTCAAAGAACAAACTTTTTGTTTCATTGATCACTTGTATTCTTTTTGGGGGCTCAATTTTATGTGGTTCTTCTCTGATCTTTGTTATTTCTTTTCTTCTGTGGCTTTGGGTTTTTTTTTTCTTGTTTTTCTAGTTCCTTGAGGTGTGATGTTGTTAACTTGTGATCTTTCTATCTTTTTGACATAGGCATTTAATGTTATAAACTTTCATCTTAGCACCGTTTTTGCTGTATCTTCAAGGTTTTACTATGTTGTGTCCCTCATTTTCATTCATTTCAAAACAATTTTTAAATTTCCATCTTAATTTTATCATTGACCCAAAGATCGTAGTAGGTTGTTTAGTATCCATGTTTCTGTATAATGTCTAGAGTTCCTCTTGGAATTGATTCTAGTTTTGTTCAAAAGTGGTCTGAGAAGATACTTGATAAGATTTCAACTTTTAAAAATTTACTGAGACTTGTTTGTAGCCTAACATGGTCTGTCTTGGAGAATGTTCCATGCACTGATAAGAAGAATGTATGTTCTGTGGTTGTTGGCAAGAACGTTCTGCAAATGTCTGTTAGGTCCATGTGGTCTACAATTCAATCTATGTTCAGTGTTTCTTTGTCGCTTCTGTGTCTTAACTATTTGTCCGTCAGTGGGATATGGAAGTCCCCAACTACTATTGTGTTGCTGTCTACTTCTTTTTTTCAAGTCTGTTATATTTGTTTTATGAATCTGGGTGCTGCAGTGCTGGATGGATATGTATTTAGGATGGCTATATCTTGTTGCATTGACCCATTTATCATTATATAATAACCTTCTTTTTATTTTTTTTTTTACTTTTGTTGATTTAAAATCTGTTTTGTTTGATATAAGTTTAGCTACTCCTACTTGCTTTTGGTTTCTGTTTGCCTGGAATATCTTTCTCTTTCCCTTTACCTTCAGTCTATTAGTGTCTTTCCCAGTTAAGTGGGTTTCTTATAAGCAGCATATGGTTATATAAACATCCATTCAACCAATCTGTATCTTTTTTTTCTTTTTCTTTTCTTTTTCTTTTTTTTTTGATGGAGTTTCACTCTTATAGCCCAGGCTGGAGTGCAGTGGCAGTGATCTCGGCTCACTGCAACATCCACCTCCCAGGTTGAAGTGATTCTCCTGCCTCAGCCTCCCAAGTGGCTGTAATTACAGGTGCCTGCCACCACGCCTGGCTAATTTTTTTGTATTTTTAGTAGAGATGGGGTTTCACCATGTTGTCCAGGCTGGTCTTGAACTCCCGACCTCAGGTGATCTGCCCACCTCGGCCTCCCAAAGTACTGGGATTACAGGCGTGAACCACTGCACCCGGCCCAATCTGTATCTTTAAGTGGAGCATTTAATCCATTTATGTTCAAGGTTAATATTGATATGTGAGGTTTTGTTTCTGTCATGGTGCTGTTATCTAGTTGCTTTGCAGTCTCATTTGTGTAATTGTTTTATAAGACCTCTGAGTTTTACATCTGCATGTATAGATCTGTTGCAGATTATAGAAGTTTTCCTCAATTGTTTCTTCAAATAGGTTTCCCAAACTTCTTGTGTTTTCTTCTCCCTCGGGAATACCCATTGTTCATAGATTCAGACATTCTATGTAGTCTCATTCTTCTTGAATAAATTGTTAATTAAAAAAATTCTTAAAATTGTTGTCTGACTGGATTAAAAATTAAAAGCAGGAGATTCTTTCTTCTGCTTGATCTAGTCTATTGTTGAAGCTTTCAACTGTATTTTGTAATTATTTCAACGAACGTTTCATTTCCAGAAATTCTGTTAGGTTTTTTCTTTTTTCTTTTTTGAGACAGAGTCTCGCTCTGTCACCCAGGCTGGAGTGCAGTGGCATAGTCTCGGCTCGCTGCCAGCTCTGCCACCCGGGTTCACACCTCAGCCTCCCGAGTAGCTGGGACTACAGGGGCCCGCCACCACGCCCGGCTAATTTTTTGTATTTTTAGTAGAGACAGGGTTTCACCGTGTTAGTCAGGATGGTCTCGATCTCCGGACCTCGTGATCTGCCTGCCTCCACCTCCCAAAATGCTGGGATTACAGGCTTGAGCCACTGTGCCCAGCCAGGTTTTTTCTTAAACATATCCATCTCTTTGGTAAATTCCTGATTCATATCCTGAATTGATTTTCTGATATTGGTTTTCAGATTTCTCCTATATGGCATTGAGCTTCTTTAACATCAATATTTTGAATTCTTTATCTGGTATTTCAAAGATTTCACTTTGGTTAGGATTCATTGCTGGAGAGTTAGTGTGATTGTTTTGGGGTGTAATAACACCCTGCTTTTTCATGCTTCCAAAATTGTTGTGCTGGTTTCTTCTCATCTGGGGGAATTGTCACTTCTTAATTTTGAATTTACTTTCATTTGGATGGAACTTATTTTTTCCCCTTAAGAATGCAACTATAATATATGTTGAGTAGGGTTGTTAGGCTTTGCTTCTGAGTGCTTTCAGTGGCAGAGACTCTGTATGAATTCCTTGGTTATAGATATCCTTAGTGTGGTGGTTTTCTTAAATGTTGGTTGTAGTACTAGTGTTGTGTTGGGTATGTGTGCAGGCTCATACCTGGGGTGGCAGAGGTCTTGAGAACCATGTCATGTTCTCAAGCGTTGTGTACTTGTGTCAGCAGATTTTGTGCTGAGATGTGCAGATCAACATCGCTGCCAGTAGGTGGTGCTTGCAGGTAAGAGCCAGTTGTGGTGGTAGCATTGGGGTTTTTATGCTTGATCTTTTAAAAATAGGAGAAGCTCTCAGTGCCTCAGGCAATAGGTTGGTCTGTAGAAAGCATAGTGGCCTGGCCTCCACATTCAGCCCCTAAGAGAAGGGCAAAGCTGGGCAGAGCCCAAACAGGCAAGCTGCCCTCAGGACCCCTAAAGGCAGTCACAAGCACCAGCTCTGACAGGGGTCTGAGGGTAGTGGGGCATCTTAATAAAAATATTTCTATGTTATCCTAAGGCCACATGGAGAGCCAGGTTCACTAGACCATGGCTGTTTTTTTTTTTTTTTTTCTTCTTCAGACTCTCACTTTGTCACCCAGGCTGGAATGCAGTGGCATGAACACGACTCATTGTAGCCTCAATCTCCTGGACTCAGGTGATCCTCTTACCTCAGCTTCCTGAGTAGCTGGGACTACAGGTGTGTGCCACCACACCCAGCTATTTTTTTTTTTAAGAGATGGATTCTCATTATGTAGCCCAGGCTGGTCTTGAACTCCTGTGCTCAAGCGATCCTCCCACCTTGGACTCCCAAAGTGCTGGGATTATAGGCAATAGTCACCATGCCCAGCCTCATGGTTGGTTCTTGATGTTGCCTAAAGCCCCTGAATCTTTGCCTCTTAGTAGAGTCAGGGTACTGCCCCTGGGTTCTGCATCAGGACAGAAGATTAGGATGACGTGGTTACGTTGAAAAATCCTTATCATGCTAATCACTGCATGGACCCTCTCCCTTGTGTGCTTGTGTATATATGTCTATCACTGCACTCACTATGTCACATTATAGTTATATGCTTATGTACCTTGTTAGTCTGCTTGGGCTGCCATAACAGAATACCACAGACTAGGTAGCTTAAACAACAGAAATCTATTTTCTCACAGTTCTGGAGGCTAGCAGTCCAAGATCACGGGCACAGCAAGATCAAGGGGCCTCTAGTGAGGCCTCTCTTTTGCTTGAAAGATGGCTGTATTCTTGCTGTGTCCTTGCACGACCTTTCCTTTGCGTGCACACATGGTGGGAGAGAGAACTCTGGTGTCTCTCCTTCTTCTTATATGGAGATCAGCCCAATTGGATTAGGGCCTCACACTTATGACTTATTTAATCTTAATTACTTCCTTAAATCCCTATCTCCAAGTACAGCCATACTGAACATATGAATACATAAGAATTTGGGGGACCAATACAATATATAACATGCACTGTTCACTACCATCAGACTGTGAGCTCCTTGAAGACAGAGCTACATTTTTGTATTGCCAGTGCTTAACACGTAGTTGGTACTTAATGTTTTTATGTTTGTTGGCCTAATGTCTAGACTTTGTTTTGCCCTCTGTACAACTATCCTTTTCTGATATCCTTGGACCTGTCATGGACAAGTGTGTACATCAAGTGTAGTAGAAATCACTTCTGCTCACCAAATATCTCTGGCTCCTTACTTTCTGTGAACCTGTTAGTATTGCATTTCTTGGGCCCTTGTGATTGTAGGGGCCTTGGATTAATACTGAACAATGAGTTGTCAGTGGATGTGATAGGAGTCACTTCTAAACTGGAGCATTTATCGATGGTGGGAGACCTTCTAAGTTCTCTTACCTTCTGTCATAGTGGCCAGCAATGTTCCTGATAGAGGCTGCTTCATCATCCTGCATCCTAGAGTGAAAGAGACATGAAGCAAACTTCACAGCCCACTGTGGTGAGCATTTAGTCAAGTCAGACATGTGCTATTGTCTTGAGCTGAGATTTTTGGGGTTCTTTTCTACTATAGCATAAACTAGCCCATTCTAATCAATACATTGTCTTACCCCTTTTAGTTCCCTGTACCATCCAAATAGTAAAAGAGTACAGCTAGCCAACTTTATGTAATGTTTTATTCAAAGGAGAAGGCCTCCCTATCTCAAACTTTCTATCTGTTGAAATCTCACTCTTAAGCTTAGGTTAATTCCTCCTCCATAAAGCATTCCTCTGCCATACCCAGTTGGAATCTGTTTTTCCCTCTTTAGGGTCTCATGTGACTTTCCACTGTAACCTCATTCGTACTTGAAACGCAATCGTTTGTGTAATAGTCTGTTTCCCCTACAATACTGCAAGCTCTAGTCAATTAGAATTCTAATCCACAGCAGTAATTTGCTTAGGGATGACCGTGTGATTCAGATCAGACCAATTATATTCTTATATAGAATGTTACACATCTGAAATAGATTATTACATGTATTATACATGTGTCTTTCCTCACAGCAACTGGCATACTTGATAAATGATGGTTTAACTGAATTGAAGCTTTCCCTCTACACCCTTCACCACGTTTATTGTCTCCTTGGAGATATATAGTACTGGTGGTGGGTATTCCAGCTTCCTGAACTGAAAAGAGCAAGAGATTTGGATTCATACAGATATAGGTTTTAATTTTTAGATCTGGCATGTACTAGCTATGTAGCCTTGGGCAAGTCACTTATCCTATATGAGTATTGGTGTCCTCATTTGTAAAATGGGGATAATTCTTATAGGTTTGTCAGGAAAATCAGATGACGTGTGCCAAACACCAGCAGTCTCTGGCATAGTGCGGGTGTCAGTGCTAACTCCTTTCCTTCTTTAATCAGTGCATTTCGGAAGGCAGGGTTGGAAGCAGAGAGAAGGTGATACTGGAAGATTGTTGAGGAGACGTTCTGGAACACCTTGTCTTTGCAATTTCCTTTCAGAAGACGTCTGATGATCCTGTAGAATCCCTTTTCATTTTTTTCTGTATTTTAAGGCAGCATCAAAGCTCACTCCTGAGCCCATTAGTGAAGGTTAATGCATGACAGTAAGATATTTAGGTGAATTGCATGGAACGTCTTCAAAAAGGTGGTTTATTGTTATTTCAATAGAACATTTCAGTCAGAAAATTCCTGGATGTGGGATCTTTCTTGTCCTCATAAATTTATCTTTGCAAGTAGCAGAAAAGGCCCTTGTATTAGTCAGTAGCCTTTAAGTTATGGTGGGGGTGGTGGGGGGACCGGAGTCAAATTGGCTTAGGCAGGGGAATTTATTGGCCCATTTAACTGAGAAGTCCAGGGATAGCTCTGGATTTGAGCTCAGTTGTATCTATGTGACCAATAACTGTCAACAGAACTTCTTTGATGCAGTTTCTTAGCTTTGCTTCTTTTCTCTCTTGATTTCATTCTTTTCTTTCCCATAACAGACTAGCTTTTCCCTTCTTAGGTAAGGAAGATGGGTGCTGGATCTTACAATCTTACTCCCTCCCAGTATTATGACCCAAAAGGCAAGAATTATTTCTTACAAGCTCTACCAGAAAAGTCCTAGCAAAGAATCTAACTGGTCTGATCCAAGTCACATGATCATCTCTGAAGAAATCACTGCTATGGTTTGGGGGGGTGCGTGGGAATTCAGATTGATCAGACTGGGTTTCAAGCCCATGCTTGTGGTGGTTGGCGAGAAGGAGGAGGAAGGAGGAAGTACCCTGTAATAGCCCCTCAGGTCCACATAGACTAGGGAAGAGGTGTCTCCAGAGAAAGAAACTGTCCAGGCAAATAAAACAGGATGCTTTATTACACAGAACTTTTCTATGTTCACAGTCGTTGACCTGTTTTATTAGTATTTTTTTTTTTTCTAGAGGACTCTTTCATTAAGTGTTTTCTTACAGGTAATACATTTTCTACCAACTGATTTCCACTGTTGTCTTCTACTTGGAATTTACTGATCTTTTAATTGGAATTAAAGAGCCTCCTAACCTTTCCCCAATATTTAAGTTCTAGTGTTGATCACCCAGTGGATTCCTTGGGAATGTGTCTGTAAGGAAAAAATGTAGATAAAACATCATCAGAACTCTGTGGATCATTAGTTGCTCATCTTTTAAACATTTTCTCCAGGGTTGAAAAAGCATGTTAAATAGAGCCTTAGGCTTTGCACAGGTAGTGAAGAGACAAACGGTGGTCCTTCTGGGGAGCCCGTGGAAGAGCCTGTGACTTTTAAAACATGATCTTGTGCCTTGGCAACCAAGCAGGAGGACCAAGAAGAATATATCCCGCTCTATAATGTAAACTTGGTGAGACTCGAATCTTATATTTGTTGTCGTGAATCAGATTTGGTGTTGCATGTTGCATAGCATGACCAGAAACTCAGGTGTGCCCAAATCCTGCCCTGACAACCACCCCTATTCCTCAGGACAGCACAAGTGGCTGATGTGCCCAGGTAGGGTTCTCCAGAAATGGTTGGGTTGAAGCATATTGCATGGACCTGAGATCTAAGTAGTTTTTCTTTTTTCTTTTTTTTTTTTTTGAGACGGAGTCTCGCTCTGTCGCCCAGGCTGGAGTGCAGTGGCGCGATCTCGGCTCACTGCAAGCTCCGCCTTCCGGGTTCACGCCATTCTCCTGCCTCGGCCTCCCGAGTAGCTGGGACTACAGGCGTCTGCCACTGCGCCCAGCTAGTTTTTTGTATTTTTAGTAGAGACGGGGTTTCACCGTGGTCTCGATCTCCTGACCTCGTGATCCGCCCGCCTTGGCCTCCCAAAGTGCTGGGATTACAGGCGTGAACCACAGCGCCCGGCCTAAGTAGTTTTTCTAAACTCTTCCAAAAACCAAGAGTTTGAAAATTTTCCTACTGTCTGGCCACATGCAACAATAAAATTGAAGAGGTGCTGAGAGATTGATACGGTCAGATCTGCAGAGCAGGCTGGGATGTAACTTCCTCCTCTAGCTGCTTAGGCGGGGGAAAAAGAGAAAAGAGAAGCTACAGGACTCCTTTTGGACACTGACAAAGTTTCTGATTCTTCTGCATTAAGAGGAGGAGGACTCTCAGCTAAGTGAGTGCAGTTCTTTAAGGCTTAATGGACCCACTCATGGGAATTACAGCTTAATCAATGTTCTGGACTCTGATCAGATTACTACCCTTTCCTTTGAGGGGAACGGGTAATGGGTAATTCTGCCCCACAAAGGCAGAATTAGGTCTGGCATGGGAGAAGGATTTGAAGTGATCCTTCCCCAGTATTTTATTTTGTTCCATCTTCTGGCCTAATTAAAAAATCTGAAAACATTGGCCTGTTAGTCATCTCAAACCAGTAAAAATTTACCCATGAAATCTACCCACTGTTATTGTTGATGAGAATATGACATATATACAAAAGAAGATGGTGAGCAAATTCAAACACTTTATCTCATACAGTCATTTCTGCAATGATGTGATATGGACATTCTTGTAAAACCCCACATTATACAAAATCACACACTGGAAATAACAGGGATTGTAGGAAGATAGGGTGAGAAACCTGTTCACTCAGAATGTATGCAACCTCCTCATCAGTTAAAAACCAACTGCAATCCTAGTAAAAAATATTGGCACAGTAAAAAAAAAAAAAATCCATGTTAAATCCCTAATAGATGAAAAAATCTGAACTTCACCTCAAAAAAAAAAAAAAAAAAAAGCATGGATAAGGAAGTGTTGAGGCTGATGAGTTGCACAGACAAGGGTAAAATAAAGACTGGGTGGAACCACACATTAGGCACATCTGAGACAGAGCATGTGGTCTAACCAGACTAGGAGGAAGAACACTGGATGATGGGCATCATGTACAATACCATATTCCTTCACGGCTTGCTGCATTTTCTGTAAAACATTAAAATGTTGGCAAAAATTGTACATGAACTAACATGACTTCTGTGTTAAAGTAACATTGTTTCTTTATTTCCCAGTCATGTATGAACTAATTTGCATTACAGAAACATGAGTTGTAGAAGAAGAGATTGTATATTTCTGAGGCATATGCTAACAAATATTTCATAGTTATTTTGAGTTTCATCTATAAAATGGAAGTAAGTCATTTGCCTCAGCTTTATTAAATGAAATCATGCATGTGGAAGCTTAAGTACCTGATAAATGGTCATGCAGGTATTTGATAATGAATCTTATAATTGTATATTCTTTTTCCACTTACTTGCCTACCAGCTTCGGGAAAGTTACTTAAACATTCTGTGCCCCAGTTTCCTCATCTGTAAAATGAGCATAATATTAATGTTTACCTCATACGATCTTTTTTTGGGGGGGGGTTTAGTCCCACTTTCTTCATCCTCCATACATTTTGTAATCTGCAGCTCTCAGTCTCTTTTCTCCTTGTGCAAAAATAGAAACTGTCTTTTATCATGCACAGTTGAGTTTCCTCAATTTTTATTTAATCCATCAAATACTTACATACACTGCTTACTAGGTTCTGGGCACGTTCTAAGCACAAATATTAACTCATTTAATTCTATGAGATAGGTGTATCATTATCTCCATGTTATAAATGAGGAGGAGACTAAAGGACAGAGGGGTTAGGGCACTTACCCAAGGCACCCAGCTTGTGAGTGACATGAATGAGACTGAATCCAGGTCTATCTTTTGCCCAGGATGGTGATCCTAACCCTAGCCCATGCTGTGGGGTGGGTTCTGTCAACACTGTTGATTGCTTTGATCACCTCCTCTGTCCCTGGCATATCTAGTGAGTTTCTTGGATATATGCGCAGATGGACTCAGTGCCATCTAGCTGGCTTCAGTCTGCCAGGCCCATCCTCGGGGAACTCTGGGAAATGGAGTCTGACCTTGCAGGAAGTAAGCACAAAGACAGGCTCTGAAATGTTTCCCCTCACAAAACAACACTTACCTGGGCCAATGAAATCATTTTTAGAAAACATATTATCTATCAAGAAGTTGTAGGTATAATCATTTAATTCATTCAAACTACATTCTGTGAAAGGATGATTTCCTGATCCTAGTTTTCTTTTTTTCTCCTATCCTCAAAAGTTGGTTTCTTTACTTCCAAAGGAAAAATTTATTATGCATTTTCCTTCATTTAAAAAATATTTAACAACTGATTTGTGTGTTGCATGAAAGTTACACATTTCCTAAGATGCATTTGCTATTTTATTTTCTTTCATTCAAAAATGTGTCAGTAATCTTTTTGTTAACATGAAGATAAAGGATTAGTAATGCAAGATGCAGTTTTCTTGTAACCTTCTTGAAAGCAGACTATAGTTTCTTATCTGGCTCCAACATTCATTTTCCTGAGTAGAAAAAAGGTGACTTAAAATGAAATAAACCACATTTGATTCCTAAGAGCTTCGCTAGCAGGGAAATGTACTGAGAAAGGCAGACTTTCTCGGATTCCTGAAAGCCCCTCTGCTCCCAAGCGAGGGAGTTGACTAATTTTGCATTTTAAAATAGAATAGCAATGCAAAAAGAATTGTGAATTGTCTCTCATTTGATCACCAATCAGAAGATATCAATAATTTTTTTCCTTGAAAATTCAGGCTGCTGAAAAAAAATCACTGAGGTGTAAATCTTTATGATTTCATTTTAAAATTATATTTATTTATTTTTAGAGATACGATCTCACTCAGTCACCCAGGCTGGCATGCAGTGGTGTGATCATAGCTCACTGCAGCCTTGAACTCCTGGGTTCAAGAGATCCTTTTTCCTTAGACTTTCAAGTACCTAGGACTACCGGCATGCACTATCATGCCTAGTTAATTAAAATTTTTTTGTTTTTGTTTGTTTTTTTGTAGAGCTAGAGTCTCACTGTATTGCCTAGGCTAGTCTGGAGCTCCTGGCCTCAAGCAATCCTCCTGCCTTACCTTCCCATAGTGTTGGGATTATAGGTGTGAGCCGCTGCTCCTGGCCTAAAATCTTATTTTATTTACTGCGTGCCCACTCTGAGCAAGGAACTAAGCAAGGTGCTAAGAACATTCAGAGAGAAAGAAGAAAAGCCTCTACTCTTGATGAGTCATATCCACTCTCCTTGGCCCTTGATGATGGAACAGGCATATGTGGGGAAGAAAAATACAACACATGGTTTTCACTCCCAACTGCAATGTTCAGGCATGAGTAGAGGAAATTTATAGGTCTTTTATGTTCTTTTATAGACGGTTGAGTGAGCTTGCCTCAACCTCCTGTTTTGGTGCGTGTGTATGCAGAGGCGAGGACTTTAGCTTTTGCAGTGTCACCTGGGTGTAGAGAGGGACCTATTTCCCCCAGAGTCTCAGAGGTCAACTGATCAGGCTGATGGGGCTCCTGAAGCCTGTGGTGAACCCTCACATGTGCTGATTCCACAGCAGTAACATCCAGCTTGATGGACGCTCATGACTATGTCACCACACAGTGTCCAGAGCAAGCCCAAGGCATTTTAAAGTATGAACCTTCAGTTCAGCATGGCATGCAGCTGGCCTCGCTTGTGCTAGGCTCTGGCCTGGGCCCTGGAGGAACACAGGTGAATGAGGCCTGCTCCCTGATCTCCAGGAAATACTTTCACCATATAATAAATGTTAGTATGGAGGTGAGTACTGGCCCTCCCATGAGGGCCAGAGGAGGGGCACATGGACAACCTGGAGGCTCAGAGAGCGCTTCTTGGAGGAAGTGTTAGTTGAAGTGTTGAAGGTTGAGTCAGAGCTTTCCAGGTAAGGGAGTGAAAAGGGCACTGCAGGAAAACAAAATAAAATGTGGCAGAAAGTTCCACTTTGTCAGGCCTGGAAAGTGCCTGTGGTATTTGGTGTAGAGGCTGGCAGTGTGCTTTATGAGCAGTTCTGGGATGTGATGTGTGTGTCTCTTATCCAGAGGATCTGCAGGTGCAGGAGCTGAATGTTGAGCCGATTCACTGATTGGCTCCATTTTCTCCACTAGGGAGGTGAGGCTTTTTGGCTAAGAGGAGTGGGCGGGAGAAGATGCTGATGGAATGGGTGAAGACCAGTCGAAGGAGTGCAGACCAGGAAAAGCGGGACGTTGATTTGGATGGGAGGTCAGGCTTCAGGCAACTGATGAGACTGATTAAGTCTCATTAGTCTCATCAATTTTGCTGGCCAGGAGAAATGGAAATGCAGGAAGCACAGGAGTAAGGAGCTTAATGAAAGGGGTTCTGATAATCAGCCTGTATTCTTCCCAGGGTAAGGCAGGAAGTGAGACCTGTAGAGGGTTAATAAGCTGGAGAAGCCAGAGGGATCAAGGCCCTCTTGGTCTTCTTCAAAATGCAAATATCCATGAAAGGGGCAACTGAAGAAGCCCCTAATGTTTTTAAACTTGAGTCCACTAGGACTTTTTTTCTGCAGGCTTGGAGAGTCTGGAGCCATTGTGAAGCCTCTGGTAAGGAAGGGGAAGGGAGAGAGAGTGTGATGGTGATGGCTCTTCCTCCCTGCTGAGTCCATTGAGCTGTTTGTTTATTTATTTATTTATTTCTGGATTTAATGAAAGTGTTCTCTGTTACCTTGAAATGAACCAGAAATTGTCTGGGAGGCAGCTATGTTAGGCTAGAAACAGCTCTAAGTACTGATCTGTTTGGGGCAGGAAATGCTCAGACACGAATAACAAAGCAGACTGGATCAAAGAGATGAGACCAGGGAAGGAAGTTAAAATAGGTGGGTCTTGAGAAGAGTATTTCAGAAAAGAAAGTGTCAGGTACAGTGTAGGTGTTAAGTAAAGATTCATTGAATTCAATGCAATTCAACTGTAGGCTCCCGGAGGAGGTTGGAGTGCTTCTCAGAGAGGGCAAACTCATAGCAGGAGCTGTTCAGCAGAAGCCTCAGAACCTGAGACAGGATCCCTGCCTTTGCTGTCACAGTCATGGGCTGCTCCTCTGCACACACCTCACCCTTATTAGACTGGGCCTTCTGAGGCCAAATGCCGTCTATTTTGTTCTCTGTCCCCTCAGCACCCAGCCTGACACCCATTCATAAATAAATGCCTCACCCAGAGTAGGTTCCATTTTTGAGAAACCGGACTAGAAACAGGCGGAGAGAGGAAGAGAACAAGACCCTTTGCTTGGGGCTAGAGGAGGGCTGGCTGGAGAGGAGGGCAGAGGCCGACACCTTGCGACTTGTCCATCATGCTGTAGCTGGAAGTATTTCGCCCACCAGGGAAGGAGCTAATGTAAGCAGGAGAGTTATTTTGAAATACAGAGAGGCAGTATAGTGGGACAATGGATATTTATCAAGATTTTTTTCTCCCTTGCCCAGTGGTTCCCAAACCTCTCTGTCCCCACTATTTCCACCCTTCTGCCCCGTGACCTTTCTCCTCTCTCCTGCACAGTCTGCCATATTCATTAAAGGAAATATACAAAGGAACACAGAAAGAGTCAAGCCTTGGATGTTGAGTTTCAAATACATTTAAAAAAACTCCTAACAAAGACAACATTCTTGAGAGCCAATGCTTTCAAATATATATATGATATATATTTTATAAAATATATATCAAAAGAGCAGGTCCTAAAGGAAGCTGGAAATATAATTCATCACAAATCAGTGGTTCTCAACCCCATCAAACCCAGCAGACTCCCTTTTTCTTTTAGTTCAACCTTTCTATTACCAAAAATTTCAAAAATCCACACCAGTTGACTGAATAGTAAAATGAACCCGATGTAGCCATCATCCAGCTTCAACAATTACTGATACGTGCTACCTTTTGTTTTATCTCTACCTGACCCACTCTACCACCCTGATGATTTCAGGGCAAATCATAGCATTTTATCTGAAAATACTTCTGGATGTAATCTTTTAAAATAAAGTACTCGTTTAGAAAACATAACCTCAATATGATTATTACACTAGAGATAATTAATAATAATTCCTTAATTACCATGTTCATACTTCCCTGAGTAACTTATACATTTTTGACAATTTGTTTGAAACCCCTTTTTATAATGGGTACTTTGCAAAGTCCCCTTTATTATCCTCAGATAAAACCAATAGGTAAATCTGATCTACTATGTAATTTAACGATCAATATAACACCCTAACAGATATAAAGGAAAAACAAAATAAAAGCTACTTAAAACATATGTTTCAACATTTAAGTGCTTAGACACCAACCGCTACAGTAGAGAATATAGTAATGTAGTTCTATGCTTGAACGTGAACATTGAGCCACAGTGAATATCACGGCCTTGAACACAGACTGATCTAGAGGTGTTATGTGGTGATTTAAATATCATAAATGGTATTGCCATTGGTACATACTTTTTCTGAAATGAATAACTCCTGAGAAGGTCTCTAAAAAAGAGGGTTCAACCTTTTCCTGATTTATATTATTGTTGCTGTCCTAGAAAATTCAGTGTATATTTTATGTTTAAAGTGTGCAAAAATTTCTGTGTGTTTATATGTAAAATGGAATTAGGCCCTGAGTGCAAATAATTATAAGTGATTTTTAAACCTATATGACTGTCTGGGAAAAGTACTCAAGTCATGCGGGATGCAGAACAATTCTTTATTGGTGGGACCATCCCAAGCATTGTGAGATGTCTTTTATTCTTGGCTCCTGCTCACTAAGTGCCAGAACTATTTTAGAGTAATAGAGATTGAAGAGACTTGAGAACTAAATTCAATATATGATCCTTAATTGAATCCTGGATGGAACTATAAACCAGCTGTAAGGAATATTACTGGGATAACTGGGGACACTTGAATAATAAATCATATAATAGACAATAGTATTAATGCTAAACTTCTTTACTATTTGGGTAATTATAGTTGGATCTATTCTTGCAACTCTTCCATAAATTTGAAAGCTTTTGAAATAAAATGTTTTGGGGGAAATACCCTCACAAATTTTCAAAATTGCCATGAGGGCCATACCACAAGTGGTGGCATAAGTAACAGATCCAGAGGGCAGGAGGTTGATTTGGGAAAGGGGCAAGAGGATTAGAAATGGAGTGAGGTTTCTTCCTCATGCCCTACCTTGGGCTGGGTACCAGGATGGATACCTAGAAACTCCTTTAAATTTGGGTTTCTGAGAGTAGTAATGACTTGTAACCTACTTACCCTCTGGAATGTAAGAAGTAGCAGTCTTGCTAATATTCCCCAGGGCCACAAAAGCATGGGAGAAGTAGATTGTCACAAGCTGCAGAATGTTGATGGAGAGCATCAGAAAGCCCCCACATCCCCAGGAGACATGCACAAATGGCTGATAAAGGGTGAGGAGCTTAGGTCAGCAGATACTACCAGAGAGCTGAGGGTGGCTATGGCTCAGAGGCTCCCTTAGTGCCTGCTCTCATGTCCTGGACTGGGGTGCTGTTTTTGGAACTTAGCTGTTCCCCTTGCTGAAAACGCAAGTATGGAGCAGGGGTGGAGTGCAGGACAAAAGACACACAAAATTTGACTGAGTTAAACTTAAAATGTCTGAGTAATCACTAGTGTGATTGAATTTACCTGAAAGTGTTTTCTGCTGTCAAATGGAAATGAGAATTCAAGGTAGAAATTGAGTAGAGTTACAGAAAATTAAGCTCCATTTCTTTTGGTAAATGTGATTTTGTGGCTTGTGAAAATTTGAGTCTGCTAAAGTAGTTAGATCAGATGTGTTCATGGAATACAGTATTCAGTATAGCTGAATATATAGAATGTATCAGAAAGATGACAAGAAACTGGACAGACGATTGTGCAAACAGAAATACCATTTTGATAGTGGATGGGAGCTGCTAGGGGAGAAGTTGTATCTGAAATTATGAGTATAGAAAAGCTCCAGAAGTCCTGGGGGGACCTTTTTCCCAGTTCTCTAATCCAGAAGAGATGAGGAAGACAATGTATTCACTTAGTTCAAAAAATATCATTTTAAAAACTGTTTGTATTCCTAAATGAGGCCCTTAGAGAATGCATGGGTCCCCTGTGAAATAAAACCCTTGTGACTTCAGCCCGGCTCCCTTTGTTTAATCAGAGGATGCCATAGTCACAGGCAGGGGCAGATGGCTGAGATCCTATCGCAGCAGCCTCAGGACTTAGGAACCTTAATTTTAAAGGGGGATTAAAGCACAAAAAAACGTTGTTAAAACATCATGCATTTTCATAAGCACCTAGACATGCTCGCTCCCTGCTAGATGTTTATGTGACAGGTCTTTGGAACATAAACTGTGATGGAAGCAAGGGAGCTTTTATGTTGACTCTGTATGGGGGAAAATCAGTATTTGTCTTGCTAAAAGTGCTAGGAGGGGTTCCTCCCTTGTCTCCTTTGTGGTTTCTTGGCTCATGGAATGGAGGAAAAGTCTGGTATCATTCCAGCTTGGTGGATAATGGTGACTGGGAATTGAAGCCTCTCCTAAGACACTGCAGCATACATGAGGGAGCCCTCAGCATGTAGGAGCAGTGAGGCAGTCCATGCCTTCTAAACCAGAACTCTAAAGTTTTATTTCAGTGCATTTTAGACATCAAGCCATTCTGGTGTTATGGTCTTCAGACTGGTGAATGCATCCCCACTGGTGAACCCACAGACTTCCCAGGAGGCGTGAGGGCACACAGATGGTTTAGATCCCCAGATTCCACATGTCTTCTTTCCTAATATTTATCCACCTGGGGACATGCCTGAGGTCTGCAGATTCTTCTTTGCCATCTGCCTTCATACTCTCCCATTAGAAAACAGAGGCATAGACTGGGCGTGGTGGCTCATGCCTGTAATCCCAGCACTTTGGGAGGTTGAGGTGGGCGGATCATCTGAGGTCAGGAGTTTGAGGCCAGCCTGGCCAACATGGTGAAACCCCGTCTCTACTAAAAATACAAAAAATAGCCTGGGTGGTGGTGGGCATCTGTAATCCCAGCTACTTGGGAGGCTGAGGCAGGAGAATCACTTGAACCCAGGAGGCAGAGGTTGCAGTGAGCTGAGATCATGCCATTGCACTCCAGCCTTGGGTGACCAGAGCAACACTCCATCCACCCCCTGCATCAAAAAAACAAAAACCACAAAACAAAACAAAAACAAAAAAACAAAACAAAACCCAAAAAACAGACACACATTTCTCTCCTGACCATGGTGCTTTGCCTTGGGATAGATAAATCCCTAGGGGCAACAAACAAAAGGTGCCATGTTGGAAAATGATTGGGTCACAATTGTTCTCTCTACTCAGTTGGTTTCTGACCCTGCTTTCATCAAAATGGACATGTGTCCCTTGTCCCTGCTCTGCATCCCTGCTCTTTTTACCCAGGGTAGCATTACAGGCATAATTATTATTTCTATCAGAGCTTTAATTATGCATGGATTCAGGATGTGTCTTCTAGTCAATGGGATCTTACAATTCCTTCAGTTGAGTCTCAGTCACAAAGTAGTTTTATTGCATGGCAATTTTAAGAAAGCTTCAACATTAAACTTGTAGAATGGTGTCTGAGGCTTGGAAGAAAATCCCAGAGGCAATAGTGGAGCACTCCCAGGAAATGTCTGTTCATCAATGTTCGTGATGGTATATTGGGTAGAAAACCATGATCATTAATGCCTCAGTTGAAAAGCAATTCAGAAGAGCTGGACTTAGAATATGAAGATGTTTTAGAAATACCATACCAACTTATTTCACTTATATTCCTATTTTTACGAATGTACAAGAATGACATATAACTAGAATCTGTGTCGGAGCGTCCTTGCTGGGCTTCTGGTGGTCACAGCTCTGCTGTTTGCTCCTAGATTCTGTATTTCAAGGTGGGGAAGAAGTGACTGCAGGTACTAGTGATGGAAAAAGAAGGCCGTGGACAAGTTCTGGAACATTAAACAACAAGACTTCTTTAAAAGGGAAAGGAAAGGCTGTGGTGAAGTAAAAATGATGAAGAGGTGTTTTTAGCAAAAACTGGTGACCCTGCTGATTATTTCAAAGTCAGTTATTTTGAACTATTTAAGGTATTAACCTTCTTGCAGACGTGGTGCCCTCACCTACAGAGGCTGAAAGTGTCCAAAGTGAATTACGCAGAAGGCCATTTAGGCTGAGCCTCTTGGCATTCTGAATTGGATGCCATTTTTAAGTTTTATTTTCTCATGGTTGCTGTGTGTGTGTTTATGTTTGCAAAAGCAGTTTAGGCCCTGGAATTGCAAGCTGTTCTGTTAAGGCCCAGGCCGCTTTGCTATCTCCTACCTTTGTTCCTCACTTCATTTTGGAGGATTGTTACACATTTGTAAGTACAATGGGATTATTTATTCATTGTGTCCGTCCACTCTTTTCTGTGCCACAAAAGGAGAAATAGCCTGCACTGCGACTTAAGAGCTTTCTGACCGCTCCAAAGTCATGACATTTCCTTTGCTTTTTGATGGCTGGCTTTGAAAAGCAAGGGGAAGCTGGGTGACAAACTCTGTTGGCTCCAAGAGGGAGATGACTTGTCGTTGTTGTGAAAAAACGTATTTAGTCACTTTTAAAAAGCAAATTGTGGACTTAATAGAGCCACACGGTCTTCTTTGGAGATTGCTACAAGGTGGATTGTCTTGATAAAACATTTGAAGTCAGAAATACATCAAGCGTCAGTGAATATAAGCACTGACCTGAACTCAAGCACACAACATTCTCACCAAGCTTTAGAGTTTTTTTTTTTTTAAATAGAGAGAGGATAACTGTCCAGTACTTTTCACTGTGCTTTCTTCGCAATTCTTCTTCCAGTTCCAAATCAAATGAAAGAGTTGGATGATGAACTATTTTGAGTCTATCTGAGACCGTATGCGTTGGTATCTGTAGGCTCAGCTTTTTGGGTTTCTGCAGAAGCTGTGAATGTGCGCTTGAAGCCAAGCATTTAGCAGGCCCTTTCAAGGCCAAGGGCAAATCTCTACATTAAACAGAACCAACGCCTTCTCAGCATCACCCACTCCCAAGCCCCTTCATGATTGTTATGTTTACTATCACTTTTTAGGTAATATTGACAGAGCAACCCCAAGTCATGTTGATTTCCTCCTGGACACTTAACTGTCTTTGAGGTAGCTGCCACCAGGTGAGAGTAGAGTCTTCAGTCATGGCTGCACTTTGCCAGATGTAGATGAGAATGAGTGAGAGAGAGTCAATTGTTGCTTACATTTTTTTTCTATTAAAGTAATAGCTATATTAAGTATTATTATGAGTAGTTAACTATGTTTTAATTACTAAGCCCTTTCTCAAACCTTTATTTTACAACCTCAGTATTCTGCTGTTGAAAGAAGGTAACACACCCTTCCTACTCCAGACTTTTGATAAAGCGCAAATTCAATAGACTATGTTGAGAAGGCAACAAATTTAAGATTTAAAAAGGGATTTTATTAGAAAAAGAAAACATATACTTTGAGAATGGTTGTGTTCTGTTGTGAGCAGTGGATTGAACAAGATGAAGATAAGACTTAGGTTAGGAGGAAGGGCCAACTGGAGTGGGCCAGGACAAGATGGCCCTTTGGCCCAGGTCCTTGGAAAGGCTGTGGTTGCAGCATTTGTCTTTTTTTTTTTTTTTTTTTCTCCTTTCCTTCTTTCCTTTCTGGAAAAGAAAAATACAGAAAAATGGAAAGGGCAATGTAAGATCAATGCTTGGGTATTCACATCCTAGAATTAACTAATAAAGTCATTTTTGCTTTAGGTTTTAAAAAATCATTTAAAAGAAATAGAGGCGGGCATGGTGGTTCACGCCTGTAATCCTAGCACTTTGGGAGGCTGAGGCAGGTGGATTGCTTGAGCTCAGGACTTTGTGACCAGCCTGGGCAACCTGATGAAGCCCCATCTCTACAAAATTAGCCAGACGTGGTGGCACATGCCTGTAGTCCCAGCTACTCCGGAGGCTGAGTTGGGAGGATCGCCTAAGCCCAGGAGGTTGAGGCTGCAGCAATGAGCCGAGGTTGCACCACTGCATTCCAGCCTGGGGGACACAGTGACACCCTGTCTCAAAAAAAAAAAAGTAACTAAAATTGAAGTCTCCTTTATTTTCTCCTCCCCAGTACAGTTCATATTCCTCTTTCCCCAGGAAAGGGAACTTTAGGACCTTGGTTTATTTTCCTCCCCTCAAGGAAAGCCTACAGTACTGCTAATACCATTATTATTGTTGCTTAAATGCAAATGGTATCATTGTAGTATTTATGGTATTCTCATTGCTCTTTCACTCAACATTTTCTCTTCCAAGTCTCTCCGTGTTGAGATGTGTGTGTTGATTCATTTTAATTTCTGGATAGTATTTACTTTTATGAGTATATGTATAAAAATATCCTCTTGATATGTTGAAACACATCAGGTATTCTGTCAATGTCACCTTCTTAAAGTGTCCCCTGGGGACCTCTAAACTCCAGTCAGAACTGCTTGCCTTCTACACTGGCAACACATCTGTTATCCTAAGAATTTTCCTTTCATCTTTCCTGTATTGGTTTTCCTCTTTCCTGTATTCCCTATCTTCCTCTTTCTTGGTTTATGCCTTTGTTTTGGCAAAGACTATATTACAGCAGCTTCTGGAGAAGGGATGTATGGGAGATAAACTTTTTGAGTATTTGAATGCCTAAAAATGTCTTTATTTTGCTCTCACAAAATACTTATGCTGGATGTATAATGTTAGGTTGAAAATAATTTTCCTTCAGAATTTTAAAGGCAGTGTTCCACTGTCTTCTACATTTAGAATGTCATTATTTAGGGCTGTAAAGCTATTCTGGTAACTGTGCTTTTTTTTTTTTTAACCTCTTGCTATTGTCTTTCCTCTTAGGAAGTTTGAAAGGTCTTCTATTGTTTTAAAATTTCATAATTATATGTCCTGATGTGGTTTAATTTTCATCCATTCCCTGAGTAGTTTCTGAACACGTGGGGCAGCTACCAGCCCACCCTTCCAGTGTTGGGAAATTTCTTGAATTATTTCTCTAAAAATGTCCTCCCCTCAATTTTCTCTACTCTCTCTTTCTGAAAATCTTGTTATTTAGACGTGAGATCTCCTAAACTTTTCCTCCTAAATTTTAATCATTTCTCTTCTATTTTCCATCTCATCTTTCTGTTCTACTTCAAGACATAGCCTCTCAACTTAAAAAAAAAAACTTTTAACCTTGAAAATGAGGTTTTTTTTTTGTCATCATCTTTTTAATTTCCAAAGGTCCTTTTCCTTATTTTAAAAATGGGATCTTTTTATCAATTCGTGCATATACAGCATTTTCTCTTATGTCTATAATGATACTACTAATAATTTTAAAAGTTTTATTCTTCCACATGGAATATGTTTTATTCAAATAACTTTTTTAGCTCCTGTTTTTCAATTACAGAACTTCTTCAAATGCCTGGGGATCTTGGGTTGTCCTCTCATAGTTGAGTAGGTTCCTAAGCTTGGTTGCTTCTTGCTAATTATAGGCCTCACTGTAGGGAGATCTGGCTGGGTCTTTTGTTTAGAAACTCCCGCCATCATTTTCTTTAGGTCTTTTTCTTAGACTGAACATAGTCCTTGGAAACGGTTTTTCATGCTTTTGATTGGAACATAAATATAAGCCTGGCTGTCAGAATTCTGGCAACCCAAAAAAGAAAAATGCTGTGAGCCTCAACCTTTAGAATTGAGACTTCTGACCACAGTGCAATCAAACTAGAACTCAGGATTAAGAAACTCACTCAAAACCGCTCAACTACAAGGAAACTGAACAACCTGCTCCTGAATGACTACTGGGTACATAACGAAATGAAGACAGAAACAAAGATGTTCTTTGAAACCAACAAAAACAAAGACACAACATACCAGAATCTCTGGGACACATTCAAAGCAGTATGTAGAGGGAAATTTATAGCACTAAATGCCCACAAGAGAAAGCAGGAAAGATCCAAAATTGACACCCCAACATCACAATTAAAAGAACTAGAAAAGCAAGAACAAACACATTCAAAAGGCAAGAAACAACTAAGATCAGAGCAGAAATGAAGGAAATAGAGACACAAAAAGCCCTTCAAAAAATTAATGAATCCAGGAGCTGGTGTTTTGAAAAGATCAACAAAATTGATAGACCGCTAGCAAGACTAACAAAGAAGAAAAGAGAGAAGAATCAAATAGACGCAATAAAAAATGATAAAGGGGATATCACCACCGATCCCACAGAAATACAAACTACCATCAGAGAATACTATAAACACCTCTATGCAAATAAACTAGAAAATCTAGAAGAAATGGATAAATTCCTGGACACATACATCCTCCCAAGACTAAACCAGGAAGAAGTTGAATCTCTGAATAGATCAATAACAGGCTCTGAAATTGAGGCAATAATTAATAGCTTACCAACCAAAAAAAGTCCAGGACCAGATGGATTCACAGCCGAATTCTACCAGAGGTACAAAGAGGAGCTGGTACCGTTCCTTCTGAAACTATTCCAATCAATAGAAAAAGAGGGAATCCTCCCTAACTCATTTTATGAGGCCAGCATCATCCTGATACCAAAGCCTGGCAGAGACACAACAAAAAAAGTGAATTTTAGACCAATATCCCTGATGAACATCGATGCAAAAATCCTCAATAAAATACTGGCAAACCGAATCCAGCAGCACATCAAAAAGCTTATCCACCATGATCAAGTGGGCTTCATCCCTGGGATGCAAGGCTGATTCAACATACGCAAATCAATAAACATAATCCAGCATATAAACAGAACCAAAGACAAAAACCACCTGATTATCTCAATAGATGCAGAAAAGGCCTTTGACAAAATTCAACAGTGCTTCATGCTAAAAACTCTCAATAAATTAGGTATTGATGGGACATATCTCAAAATAATAAGAGCTATTTATGACAAACCCACACCCAATGTCATACTGAATGGGCAAAAACTGGAAGCATTCCCTTTGAAAACTGGCACAAGACAGGGATGCCCTCTCTCACCACTCCTATTCAACATAGTGTTGGAAGTTCTGGCCAGGGCAATCAGGCAGGAGAAGGAAATAAAGGGTATTCAATTAGGAAGAGAGGAAGTCAAATTGTCCCTGTTTGCAGATGACATGATTGTATATCTAGAAAACCCCATTGTCTCAGCCCAAAATCTCCTTAAGCTGATAAGCAACTTCAGCAAAGTCTCAGAATACAAAATCAATGTACAAAAATCACAAGCATTCTTATACACCAATAACAGACAAACAGAGAGCCAAATCATGAGTGAACTCCCATTCACAATTGCTTCAAAGAGAATAAAATACCTAGGAATCCAACTTCCAAGGGATGTGAAGGACCTCTTCAAGGAGAACTACAAACCACTGCTCAATGAAATAAAAGAGGATACAAAGAAATGGAAGAACATTCCATGCTCATGGGTAGGAAGAATCAATCTCGTGAAAATGGCCATACTGCCCAAGGTAATTTATAGATTGAATGTCATCCCCATGAGGCTACCAATGACTTTCTTCACAGAATTGGAAAAAACTACATTAAAGTTCATATGGAACCAAAAAAGAGCTTGCATTGCCAAGACAATCCTAAGCCAAAAGAACAAAGCTGGAGGCATCACGCTACCTGACTTCAAACTATACCACAAGGCTACAGTAACCAAAACAGCATGGCACTGGTACCAAAATAGAGATATAGACCAATGGAACAGAACAGAGGCCTCAGACATAATGCCACATATCTACAACCATCTGATCTTTGACAAACCTGACAAAAACAAGCAATGGGGATTCCCTATTTAATAAATGGTGCTGGGAAAACTGGCTAGCCATATGTAGAAAGCTGAAACTGGATCCCTTCCTTACACCTTATACAAAAATCAATTCAAGATGGATTAAAGACTTAAATGTTAGACCTCAAACCATAAAAACCCTAGAAGAAAACCTAGGCATTACCATTCAGGACATAGGCATGGGCAAGGACTTCATGTCTAAAACACCAAAAGCGATGGCAACAAAAGCCAAAATTGACAAATGAGATCTAATTAAACTAAAGAGCTTCTGCACAGCAAAAGAAACTACCATCAGAGTGAACAGGCAACCTACAGAATGGGAGACAATTTTCGCAACCTACTCATCTGACAAAGGGCTAATATCCAGAATCTACAATGAACTCAACCAAATTCACAAGAAAAAAACAAACAACCCCATCAAAAAGTGGGCAAAGGATATGAACACACACTTCTCAAAAGAAGACATTTATGCAGCCAAAACACATATGAAAAAATGCTCATCATCACTGGCCATCAGAGAAATGCAAATCAAAAGCACAGTGAGATACCATCTCACACCAGTTAGAATGGCAATCATTAAAAAGTCAGGAAAGAACAGGTGCTGGAGAGGATGTGGAGAAATAGGAACACTTTTACACTGTTGGTGGGACTGTAAACTAGTTCAACCATTGTGGACGTCAGTGTGGAGATTCCTCAGGGATCTAGATCTAGAAATACCATTTGACCCAGCCATCCCATTACTGGGTATATACCCAAAGGATTATAAATCATGCTGCTATAAAGACACATGCACACGTATGTTTATAGTGGCACTATTCACAATAGCAAAGACTTGGAACCAACCTAAATGTCCATCAATGATAGACTGGATTAAGAAAATGTGGCACATATACACCATGGAATACTATGCAGCCATAAAAAATGATGAGTTCATGTCCTTTGTAGGGACATGGATGAAACTGGAAACCATCATTCTCAGCAAACTATTGCAAGGATAAAAAATGAAACACTGCATGTTCTCACTCATAGGTGGGAATTGAACAATGAGAACACATGGACACAGGAAGGGGAACATCACACACTGGGGACTGTTATGGGGTGGGGGGTGGGGGGAGGGATAGCATTAGGAGATATACCTAATGCTAAATGACGAGTTAATGGGTGCAGCACACCAAATGGCACATGTATACATATGTAACAAACCTGCACGTTGTGCACATGTACCCTAAAACTTAAAGTATAATAATAAAATTTAAAAAAAAGAATTGAGACTTTTACTTTAACCCCTCTATGTTTATAAAGATACCCCTGACCTCAACTATGCTGGTGTCCCCCAATCCATGCCTTCTATTTTGCCCTGAACCACAGAGTCAGAAAGGGGCAATTTCCCTCATGGGCAAAGTGAAGATGGAGATTTGGGGCTCTAAATGCTTTTAAAACAGGCTTTAATCTGTTTTACTCCATCTTTACTCCCATGTACTGTCCAATAGTACTGGTAAAGCCAATTGATACATCTTTTGAATATTTTGTCCATAAATCAGAGGTGCTTCTTGATTACTTCATTGCCAATTTAAAATCTGGCTTTCTTGGGTCTGCTCAGTAAGTGACTACTCACCCATCTGCTTTTCAGATTGCAAATTTTGCTGCTGCTGTTTATTTTTTATTTGTTTTTGTGGTTTTATTTCTAGGAAAGCCATTAATTGTTATTTTGCTGAGATTTAAGGAGGAAGTGAAGACAAAAATATGCATTTGTCTTTCCATCTTTAACAGGAAACCAATTTTGCTTCATCTTCATCTGTAGATAAGTTTTGATTTTCACATTCTTAACTTCGATTCATCTGGGGAATTCATTTTTATGTTTAGTGCAAGATTATTGTTTATTTTTGTTTTCTAGATAGAAAGCCAAAATTTCCAACATTATTAACTGGATATTTTATCCTTTCCCTTCTGCCATGTAAGCCAATCTCTATCACATACCATGTTTCCAGGCTTCCTATTCTGTTTCATTAATTTCTTCGTTTATTTTTTCACTAATACTATACTGTTTTAATTACTATAAAGTTTATGATATCTTGATATCTGCCAGAATTGCTATCCTTGTTCTTTTTTAGAATTGTATTGACTTTGGATTTTCCTATTCCATGTAAACTTAAGAATCAGTTTGCTAAGTTGTACTCTGTTACAAAGATTATAATCAATCATATTGGGAAAATATTACATCTTTATTCAGTTTCCCATCCATGAACAAGGTATAGCCTGTTTATTCAAGATTTCTTTCTTTTGTGTCTTTTCATAATATTTTATAATTTTCTCTTAAAACCTTTTGTCAGATTTATTGCTAGTTTTTTTTTTAACATTTTTTTGCTACTATGGTGAATTATATGTGCACACACACTCTATTGCATTTTAAAATTGCTATTGCTGGTTTATAGGAATGTTGTTGATCTTAGTATAATGATTTTGTAGCCAGCAAATCTCTCTTGTTCCTTCCTTTTTTTTTTTTTTTTTTTGAGATATGGTCTCACTCTGTCACCCAGACTGGAGTGCAGTGGTGCTATCATAGCTCACTGTGGCCTCAACCTTCCAGGTTTAAGTGATCCTCCCACCTCAGCCTCCCGAGTGCCTGGGACTACAGGTATGTGCCAGCACACCTGGCTATTTTTTTTTTTTTAATTTTTTGTAGATATGAGATCTCCCTATGTTGCCCAGGCTGGTCTTGAACTCCCACCTTGGCTTCCCAAAGTGCTGGGATTATAAGCAGGAGCCATTATGCCCAGCCTAATTGCTTCTAATAGTTGGTCTGTAGCTTATCTTGCATTTATAAGTAGAAAAAATATTAATTGCAAATAGTAGCAGTGTAGTGCCTTTCTTTCTAAATGTTTTGTTTTTCTACCCCTTATCTCATGGCATTGCCTAGGACTCCACAACAATGTTGAACAGTAACCGGGAGAGCAGTCACCTTTATTTTATTTCTGACTTTAATGGCAATGTTTCTAAATTTTTATCACAACGAGTAATGTTTGTTCTATGTTTTTGGTGAAAACATTTTTATCACATTAAAAAATTCCTTTCTATTCAGAGTTCACTAAGAGCATTTAAAAATCATAAGTGGGTGTTTAATTTTAATAAATGATTTGTCAGCATCATTTGAGGTTCTTTTTGCTTTACTTCATTAATGTGAGTTACATTTTAATAGATCTTCTGAGGTTGAACTTTCTTTGCCTCTTAAACTGAACCTCAAATGATTATGACATAATTTAAAAAATATACTATCGGATTTGATTTGTTAATGTTGTAGGACTCTTCCATCTATGTTAATAATTAAGATTGGTCTATAATTGTCCTTTATTTCCTTGTACTTCTCTTGTTATCAAGTTTGTTATTAGTTTAGTAAACTTAGTTGACGGCTTTCTCTTTTCCCCTCTTTGAAACATTTTCTGTGAGATATGGACCATCCCTTCCTTGAAGTTTTGGTAAAAATCATCTACAAAAGAAAATGGTCCTGGTGGCTCTGGTCAGAATTTGACCACTGATTCAATTTCTTGTTTCTAGTTTCTGGAAAAACTCTGAAAGGACTGCTTCATGATCTGTCAAGGCTGGTTTACCATCTGAATTAATAAAAGTAACTAGAAACACGTCTGTAACTAGATACCACAGGAAGATGCTCTTTGCCTGGCAGTTCTGGTGGATATGATGTACACTCTTCATTTTTAAGTATATTGGCTCTACTCTATTGAAAAGCAAGTCTTACCATAAAACCAGGGGAAGGAGAAAGATGCTAATAAATATCAGTGACTTTTAACAATGGACCCCACCTGATGCTGGATATGTTCTCTAGCTTAAATGTGCATTATTTTAAAAAGTATCATCTGGAAAACAATAGTGCCACCACCTTTAAGGTAAAAAAGTGAAACATTCTGCAATGTCATTTGCAGTTTTGGAGAAGATTACTCTGTAGTCTTGCAAACAGAATTGATTCCAGAGCTGCAATATGCAAGGGCATAGTCAGCATTGGGTCAGAGGGTTGTTTTTGGAAACAATCTCAGGAGAAGTCAGATTTTTTCTAGAACCACTTTTTTTTTTTAATTTGCAAAGTAAATTTTAAAACATTTAAAAGTACTTTTGTTTTTAATCATGTGGCTGCCTCTGTTTAAGTAAAATTTTCACTTGAAATGAATACAGGCCTACCTTGGGAATTACTTTCTAAATCTAAAAGACCTTAGATAAGCGTCCGTCTTAAATTTAATTCTCTTTTGAAGAGAAAAAGTAATGACTTTCAAAGTAGTTAATGTATTACAAAGGAGTGGCAAGGGGAAATAAATTTCCTTTAATATAACCTTTTATTTTAATAACATAGGTACAGATCTGACTGAAAGAAAGTCTTTTTTTAGTATATCAATTGTATTATCTCAAAACAAGGTTATGCATTGAAAATTGAGTCATAAAAACACAAAATTTATCTCCTGTTGCTAATTCAGTATGCCAAAAACACCTGCTGGAGGAAGGACATCCATTCGTATACATTCAAGTCTCATTAGTTAATTGCCAAGTAAAGCCAGATTTTGTCTTAGCTTGTCATTTTACCCACAGGGAATTAATTCTTGTAAGCAAATAAGTTAATTCTTATAGTCTTTTTTTCTCTTACTGCTTACAGTAGGAAGCCACATGATTGGGTTTCTTGGATCTTGTTTTAGGAGAAATGGAAAAATCTGACCTACAGTGAGATATGCACCACAGTAGCAAAGCGAGGAAAATGACCCTTTGCTATTGAGTTTTATCCCCAAACCCCAATATGGATTCCTAGGAAATGAAGCTAATCTAGTGGGGGAACTACATTAGTAGATACTAGCTAGGCCTAAGTGGCCTCAGACCAAAGCACCTTTTTTTTCAGAATGATAATCACTCTTCCGTTCATTTAAATGAACGTTTCCATCTTGATAGACTCATTCAGAGGTAACCACACTTTTCATGCAGAGTGAAGTAGCCACAAGGAGATACTTGTACAGTTCATTGCAAGAGGTTCCAGTGCCTTCCCTTGGACAGAGTTAGGCTTACAGCTTATGCTAGTATAATCTGGGTACACGCTGGTTCATGCTCTGCTGGAGGCATGTGCCTCTGCTTCCTTTCCATTTGGAATGACTGCTTAGTACTCAATTGAATTGATAGTCTGCCGGTTATTTAACCTCTCTCTAATATCTGGCTTTTTGTTTTCACTTTCTACTTTTCAACAGTGTGTGTGTGTGTGTGTGTGTGTGTGTGTGTGTGTGACAAAAAGAAGGAGAGAGAGGGGAAAAGAGAGTCATAGCATCATTTTATTGTAGGGTTTAGGGGTATGATGTGATGAAGGGCCTTACATTTGGAGCTTTGGTGTTGGGTGGCAGGGACACGTTTGTGAGACAGTAATTGCTGAAAACCATTCAATGTCTTGTCTTTCATGAGAGATGTGAACCAGAGTAGTTATGAAAAATTCAGCTTGGTGCTATGCCTAATCCTTTTCAGTAATATGATTGTAATGCTTGTGCCTGGTAGGTGATCGATACATATTCAGTTATTAGTTGATTAGCTCTATATTAAAGATGCCTCAATATCAATGTGAACACTCTAGGTTTCCGTATTTTAGGGTAGATCACGGGGAAGAGGCTCTGCCTTATGTTTTTGTGATGTGGAATGGCTGCACTGCACCAAAGGGTGTTTATTATTCTGATGCTATAAGATGTGTCTACCTATTTAATAAGTTGCTATTGCATCTTTTTTTCTGATTTTCTGAGATAGTCCACAATGGTTGCAAAACAGCCATTCATAAAGGAACAAATTCTATCAATCTTGCAGTTTTCTTGGTTTACATTATTTCAACATTATTTTTGTGAGTTCTCCCTTTCCCCTCTCAGTGGGTTGCATGATATTTTAAAAATAAAATCTTGTTGTAGACACAGTCCCAGAAACAGGGGAAGGGGAATGAGTCTACCTAGAATAGAGGAGTTGTTTTAAATTTAATTTTCTAGTGCCTAGTTGCTATGGCTAGTCTGGGTAAATGGATGAACAGTGAATAAAGAGAATGAACAGATAAATCAATATTAATGTTTTCCTTTCTGCACCTCAGAATCAATCATAAGACCATGACTGGGTCCCGATTTTTGGCACCAATCAAAATGACAAGCTTGGTTGCTGGGACCATTCTTTGATGCATCTGTTTTTGGAGGGCAGAGATAAACTATGGAAAGATGGAATGCTGTATTTTTCCACCAGAGACATTGTTTGTGTTGTTCTTGTCCTTTTTCCTTTAAAGAGGCCAATGAGTTCTTTTGGTCCAGGGCTGTGTGCTAATGTTCCCAGAGTCACCACTGAGCTGCTCAGAGTACAGGCAGACACGGCATTTCCTTCCCTGGGAGATCCCAGGGCTGTTCCAACAGTATCATCTCAGCATTTCGAACAAATGTCCCACCTGGAGAATTCCATTATAAATGTGGCAGCAAGTAAGTGGAGAAATTATGCAGGACTGGCTGCATAGTTTGCAGGACTCCGTGCAAAATGAAAATGCAGGGCCACTTAAAATTGTTAAGAATTTCAAGACAGTGACAGCAAAGTGTTAAACTAAGCACAGGATCCCTTTTAAGTAGGGACCCTGTGTGACTTCACAGGTTTCGTGCCCATGAAAGCTGGCCTTGCCTATAAGGATGTTTGTTTTCTCAAAAGGTTGTGCTGGAGACACAGATTCTCTGAGGCAGGGGCAGCTGGAGAGACTTTCTCCATGCCTCCTATTCCTTTTTTCTCTTGTCTGGTCTTGTCGTGTCTCCCCATGGCCTCTGAGGGCCTTGGCCACAGTCCCGGTTTCATCTTCCTCTCTTTACCTGCTCTTCTATCCCACCTACAGGTCTAGCCTTCCCTGCTCCCATGCTGTGCAGTCATTAGCAAAAAGGTTGGAGGTATCTCTGCCAGTTGCTTATGCCTCTTCTTTTTCTCTCCACATCTGTTGGCTCTAACTTCAGAATCTGACTTCAGATACTCATAATTCCACCACTTCTTTCCATGTCCACCTTGATCACTCTGGGTACTCTCACCTGTATTATTGCAATGCAAAAGCCTCTGAACTACTCTCTCTGCCTCAGCTCTCTTCCCCTGCACCCTTATTCTAAGCTTCAAGAGCAGAACAGGTTTCTCTTCTCTCCAAAACCTTCCAATAGCTTTTGTTTCACTTGTCTTACCTTTCTTTTATGTCCTAATCCTCTACTACTCTCCCTTTCACTCTGTCCTAGACACTCTGGCCTTGCAGGTTTTCCTAGAAAATACCAGGTGTATTTGTACCAAGGTTTTTGTGCTTTCTATTCCCTTTACATACAGTGTTCTTCCTTAGTTCTGCCATGCACTGCTTCCTCAGTTCTTTAAATGCCTACTTTATTTATTTATTTATTTATTTATTTGAGACAGAGTTTCACTCTTGTTGCCCAGGCTGGAGTGCAATGGCGTGATCTCAGCTCACTGTAACCTCCGCCTCCCAGGCTCGAGAAATTCTCCTGCCTCAGCCTCCCAAGTAGCTGGGACGATGGGTATGTGCCACCACATCTGGCTAGTTTTTGTATTTTCAGTAGAGATGGGGTTTCGCCATGTTGGTCAGGCTGGTCTCGAACTCATGACCTCAAGTGATCCACCTGCCTTGGCCTCCCAAAGTGCTGGGATTACAGGTGTGAGCCACTGTGTCTGGCCCCTACCCTATTTAATATTGCATACTCCCCCCACCCCCTACACTTCCTAACTCTGCTCTGTTTTTTTTTTTTCCTTAGCACTTTTCACCATCTGCTGTGTAATATATTTTATTCATGTATTTATTTATTGCTTGGATTCCCTTATTGGAAAAAGTCCATGAAGGTGGGGGTTTTCATCTGCTTGTTCCCCTGTGAATTCCCAGTACCTAGGATAGTGCCTTGTTGCTCACTTGATGTTGGCAAGTGGATAAATCTCTGTGAGAATCAGGCTTCCTTGGGTGTTTCTTGCTTTTTTCAGAGCTGTCTGGCTTTGGCCTGCTTAAACTAGTTGGATAACACTTTCTGAATATCTACACTTGCTCCTTATTCATTTGTCCTGAAATGTGCTAGGAGCTACAGATTCAGCAGAGAGTCTTGTCCCTGGCCTCATTAAATATGCATGAGAGTGGGAAAGAAGTAAAAAAAAAGAAAAAAAGCGTAGTATTTCAGATGATTGTGACAAGGATGTGGTGGCTGAGAGAATAGTAGCCTTAGGTCTGGTGGTCTGGGAAGGCGTCTCTGGGGAGGTGACATTTCAGATGTAACCTTAATGATGAGAAACCAGATTGTGAGAATCTTCTGGAAGAGCTTTCCAAGCTGCAGAAACCAAGAGTGGCCAAGGAGCAGAAAGAAGCCATTGCAGCCGGAGTGTGGAGAGAGAGGTGGCAGCAGGGCCGGGGAGACAGGATGATGGGCTGAACTTGCAAGGCAGGTAAGCAGTTGGGATTTTCATCTAGGTTCTTGAGCCTGTAGTAAACAGTACGGTCTGCTTTGGCTCTCAGGCCTCAACTGCCTCATACGCTGATGCTTGTGAGGGCTCTGCCTCCTCGGACACAGATCATGGTCTTTGGACTCAGATCTGGGTCCAAATTCCATATCTACTATTTAGCAAGGACATGATTTGGGGTTTGTTTCTTGAGCTGCATTCACTCAACACAGGCTTACTGTTATTTCCTCTGCAGGATGAAATTCCAAACATTTATACCCCAGGAGGCTCAGGTGCCCACCTACCAGGTAGAAGATTTGCTGGAGTCATTGGAGCAGGGCTGGAGTCCCCTGCTATGCTAGGAATTAGCTCTTAATCGCTGGATTTGGGGAGATCAGGGAAATCTCGTAGGAGGGGCTTAAGGCAGTGGCTTGTTAGTAACAACTTGATATCGAGAAATCGCTCAATATTGTAGTACTTTAACTGTGTATTGACAGAGACTAAGCCCAGCAAAGAGGATACAAGATTGGTAAAAACAGTCTCTTCCTACCGGGCACTTAGTCTTGTAATTGGTAGGGAAATGCAAAGCCCTTGATATACATGGTTTGAATGTTTATCCCCTCTAAAACTCAAATTGAAACTTAATCCCCAAAGTGGCAGTATTGAGAGATGGGGCCTTAAGAGATGATCGAGTCATGAGGGCCCTGCCCTCATGAATGGATGGATGCATTCATGGATTAATGGGTTAATGGGTTATCATGGGCATGGGGCTGGTGACTTTATAAGAAGAGAGATACCTGAGTTATTATGCTAAGCCCCCTCATCATGTGATGTTCTGTGCTGCTTTGGGATTCTTCAGAGTCTGCTGCTTTGGAACTCACCAGGTCCAGCCCCTCAACCTTGAACTTCTCAGCGTCCAAAACTGAGAAGTAACTGTTTTTCTTTATAAATTACCCAGTTTCAGGTATTCTTTTATAAGCAACAGAAAACAGACTAAGACACATGGTCTTATTTAATTTGCATAGTATTTTGCTTAGGAAGAAGTAAAACATAATGGTCAAGAGTGTAGGCTCAGGACAGCTCTTTATGTTCAAATCCAGGCCGGGTTACTTGCTTAGATTTGTGATCTTGGCAAAGTTACTTACCCTGTCTGTGTCTGTCACTCTTCTGTAAAAAGAGATAATTACCTGAGGATGATACTAAATTTGTAGGGTTGATGTGAGGATTGAATGTGTTTATATAGATAACATAATTGTAACAGTGCCTTAGGTACATAACACTATGCTTTTTTACAGATGGGAAAACTAGGGTTCAACAGTTAATGAAGCTCTACAAGTTCACACTGCCGGAAGTCAGAACTGGAACCCAGATCCTTGGATTTAATCCTGTGTTCTATTTCAAATCAAGAATTCCTGAGGGGGCTGCTAGTGAAATTTTATGTAGAGGTTTATTTGGACAGACAGTTCTTAATACTAAAATAAGATTAAGTTTAAAAATACTTTGAAATTTTATTATAAAAATAATATAATCCTATCAAAGAAAAGTTAAAAAGAGAAAATAAAAAGCTAACTCTCTAGTTGTACTTTGTCACCAGTTGCTCCAGGCAGATAAAATGAGGCCTGAGGAACAGTGGGATAGGCAGAAAATGCTGCTGGGATGGACAGACTCTGTGGCCTGGCACTGATTAAGCTCTTGATTCTAAATATGTTCCTGTGCTTCTGATGTGGGGAACATCCAAGAGGAAACTATTCCCTAGAGAAAGAAGATCCACTTTTGATGGCCATCATCATCTGGAGAAGGGAGGGCAATTTGGGTCACTGGTGTAAGGGTGTGTGTTAAAAGTTCAGGTACTGGGTCCCATTCTAGAAGATCCCAATGCCCACTTGTCATAGTAAAGCTTCTAGGGTCTAGTAATACAGCAGTCTTAAAACATCACGCTTAAGTGAACTGTTCCCAGACTTATTTAGTAATGGATTTAAGAGAATGTATAATACCCAGTAGCATCCCAAGCACTTGGATTCTATGGAACATACTTTGGGAAATGCTTCAATAAAGCAGTAAGAAGAAAATTCATTCTTTTGAGAAAAAATGTTTGGGGATATTAAGTCAGAGGCTTGGGTTTTTTTTTAAAAAAGATGGTTTTTCAGATGCTGATTTAGGGACCAAGAATAGGACTAAGGAATGCCCCTGCTAGCAAAGCATGATGATGAGGCGAGGCCATGATAGCCCCCTCCTTGGGTGTAGGTATGCATGCCTGTGTGGCCATGCTTGAATACTTTGTATCCACATGCACGAATACTCTGCATCAACATCGATGTCCTCTCATCACTAAGAATGTCAGGTTTGTGAGGACTGGTCTGCAGCATGTGTGGACAATTATTTTTTGGCATTCGTTTCCCTTTCTTGCTTATTAGTGCACTTATTTTCTTTTGGGAAGTATCCTCTTCCCTATTCTCAGTCCTTGTGGTTTAATTGAAACTGACCCGTCTCTAGCCCTTGGGTGGTGCTGTGACACCTAAGGCTTCAGAGGCCCAGTGCTGCAGGCCACAGTGATTGGTCCAGGAGAACCAATGAGAAGCAAGGACACTCTTGCTGGAGATGTTGGGGTAGAACAGTTCCCGCACATATGCAGCGGCTGTTTCTGGGGTTTCTGTTCCGTTAATCAGTTTTTTGATTCCTGTGCCAATGCTGCCCTATCTTCAGTACAGTAGTCTATGAGAAGCCATGAGATTTGATAAGACAATTTCCCCAAATTTATTCTTTTAGGCATGTCTTGGCACACTTTGCCCTTTAATATACATTTTAGAATCAGCTGGCCAGGTTTCTTTATAAATCTTGATTGGAATTTGCAATGAAGTCATAGAAGATTTTGGGGATAATTAACATTAAGATTTTGAGCTTTCTTAAATACAAACATAAGGTATCTCTCTATTTTTTTCTGAGTTACCTTAAAACTTTTAATAAAGTTGTATATATTTATTTATAAAGTTTATATATAGATTTATTCCCAGATACTTTATATTTTTGTTTCTATTATGAACTATATCTTTCTAAAGTATATTTTCTAAGTTTTTCTGCTAGCATATTGAGATACAATTGATTTTTATATATTGATCTTAAATTAGGCACTTGAGTAAACTCTTTTATTAATTCTAAATTTTTGTGGATTGTTTTGGATCAGTGTTTCTCAGCTTTTTTATTATTGCCCCACCTCCAAGGACACTTTTAGATTATTTTTTTTCCTAATTGCCCCCTCACCTGAATCAATCAATTTTAATATCACAGGGTCACTATGTATCTGTTTAAGTATATCTATGCTTTATACGTAAAAAGAGTAAGATTATTTTGCCTACCAAGAATGGATTTTCTCTCTTTATGGAGTGACATCACCTCATTGAGAATGCATGTCTTGATTAAAAGGAAGATCATTTGAGACCTGATGTATATTTTTTAGAAGTTCCTTGCTGTAGTTCTCTTGGCGGTACACTCTTAGTTTTGTTTATCTGAAAGATAATATTACCAGGCATAGTTCCAGGTTGACTGTCATTTTCTGTCAGTACTTTGATACTATTCTACTAACTTCAGGCTTCCATTGTTGATGTTGAGAAACCTGCTTGCGATTCCTTTGTAGGTGATCTGTTTTTCTGCTTTTTGAATGCCTTTAAGATCTTCTCATTGTTTTCAGTGGTCTGTACTTTCACCACAATATGTCTGAATTTATTTTTATTTATCTTGCTTAGTATATGTTGTACTTTATATTGCTGAAGATTCATGTTTTTCATCAGTTCTAGAAAGTTCTCAGCCATGTTCTTTTCAATACTGCTTCTCCTCCATTCTCTCTAATGTTTCCTTCTGGTGCTCTGGATGCATGTGACTCTTTTGCCCATGTCTCTTAACCTCTTAAGTGTTCATCTCATCTGAACACATGGAGCTGAAGAACACATGGAGTTTCTTCAGCTCCATGTTTCAATTCATGTTTTTTTCAGCTGTGACTAACCTGCTATTTAACCTATTGATTAAATATTGTTGTATTTTAATCTCTAAAAGTTATTTTGACTTTAAAAAATCTATTAGGCCATTTTTATACCTTCTAGTTACTTGTTCACTTTAAAAATTTTATCTTTTTCTTTTTTTTTTGAGACGGAGTCTTGCTCTGTCGCCCAGGCTGGAGTGCAGTGGCACGATCTCAGCTCACTATAACCTCTGCCTCACGGGTTCAGGAGATTCCCCTGCCTCAGCCTCCTGAGTAGCTGGGACTACAGCCTAAAAATTTTATCTTTTATTTTGTTAGACATTTATAATAGCTATTTTAAATCCTGCTTTTGAGAATATTTTAAGTCCTTGGGTGCCAACAACGGTTTTTTTTTTCTGTTGATATACACTCATGCTTGCTTATTTCCTTGTGTGAGTTTTGTAACTTTTTATTGTGAGCTCATATTTTGCTTTCCTTAATTTGTGTGAACTCCCAAGGGCCTGTAACAGCGATGTGTGTTTTCATAGAATATTTTCCTTTGTCTCTGCCTGGAGCCAGGGAGCATTAGTGACCTGGAAACACTTTAGCCCTGTTTGAGGGTGCCAGAATAATGCTGGGATCTCAGGTTCAGCACTTTAATGAAGATCAAGGCTCAGTTTCTCAGTAGCAGATCTGATGTTAGCAATGTTAATGTTTTTAACCAGGGCAGCACTTTCGTATTTACTTACTGCCCAATTTCCCAACACTGGGTTCAATTTGCTATTTTTTTTTTTTTTTTTTTTTGATGGAGTCTTGCTTTGTTGTCCAGACTGGAGTGCAGTGGCGCGATCTCGGCTCACTACAAGCTCTGCCTCCCAGGTTCATGCCATTCTCCTGCCTCAGCCTCCTGAGTAGCTGGGACTACAGGCGCCTGCTACTACGCCTGGATAATTTTTTGTATTTTTCAGTAGAGATGGGGTTTCACCGTGTTAGCCAGGATGGTCTCGATCTCCTGACCTCGTGATCCACCCGCCTTGGCCTCCCAGAGTGCTGGGATTACAGGTGTGAGCTACCGCACCCGGCCAATTTGCTATCTTTTTAAAAAATTATCTTTTGGATTTCTCCAACTTTCTGGAGAGTCCAGCAACTAATTAAAATGTTTATTTATTGTAGTTTATCCAGGATCTACTTGTATTTAGAATGAGAGCCTTTCAGAATATCTGCTCTGCCATATTTCTGGAAGTTGGAATGTGTCTCTTGTATATTGGAGTTTACAATGTACTTTCACATACAATATCTATTTTGATCTTCACAATTTTTAAAATAAAAATACTCAGTTTCACTCATGCTAAAACTGTGCGTGGAATAACTCTGGTGTAAAAACAGTTCTTTTATGTTCAGAATTATTTTAGCAAAATATTCAAAAGGAAATATGTATATTCCTTTAAGACAGATTTTATGGAGCATAGTTAGTTAAAAATGGTTTAATCTGTCGGTATGAATCATTTTGTTCTCATATAGGAATCTTCAAAAGAGGTGAAACAGTCAAATGAGTTAGAGGAGATAGTAGTGTAAAAATGTGATTGCCAAGTGTTACCTTTTACTTGACTGGAAGAGAGACAAACATGAGTTTTAAGAAGTCAGGGAGAATGACAGAGTTTATCTTCCATTGTGCTTTTATCTTCTAATCTCCAAAGGCAAAGGAAGGAAAAAATAGTTGCCCTTAGCCAAAAGGGTCTTGAGCAAGACTGGAAGACAGGGGGCCTGGATTTACAACTCACAGAGGGAGTTAGAATGAAGGGTTATTAGGTCTGAGAGTGACAGTTGAAATTTACTGAAAGTACCTGTAGAAAAACTGCATGCTTTTCAAGTCTTAAAAGTCATTATCCTTTATGATTTTCTTAATAGTGTCCTTTGATGAATAAATTAAAAATTTTTGATGAGGCACAATTTATTGATTTTTTTTTCTTTTGTGATTAATGCTTTTTGTGTCTTGTCCAAGGTCATGAAGATTTTATTTTATATATTTAAAAAAATCTTTATAGTTAATTTTTTACTTTTAGAACTGTAATTCATCTCTAATTTTTATGTATAATGTCTAATTTTTAAGAGTTGGGGTTCATTTTCACCTATATGTTCAATTGTTTTAGCATCATTTGCTGAAAATGTTTTCTTTCCCTGTTGAATTTTCTTGACACCTTTGTAAAAAACCAATTGACCATATACGTAGGCCCTATTTTGAGGCCTTTAATTCTGTTACATCAACATATTTGTCCGTACTCATGGAACTGTAAACTTAATATCTGTATATTTTATTACATGAAAATTATACCTCAATAACAAATGATGTAATGATAAAAAATTACGTACTTGAGTTGTTTGACAAAAGTAGTAATTAGTGAATTAGAAAACATGTTTGATCATATTTTTCTATTTTTATATAAAAGTCCATCTACTACCCATCCATTTAATACAGATTTATTAAGAACTAAAACCTGCTTGGCACCATGGTGACCTCTGGGCCTACAGAGCACATAATCCATAGTCCCTGTTCTTGAGGAGCTCATAGTTGAGTAAAAAGAGATGGATGTGAAAAGTATATTGACAACCCAATGTGATGAGGGCTGTGAGATAAATAAACGTAGGGCCCTGTGGAAGCCAGTCACCCTAGCCATCTTACCCTCCTAGAGTGCTTAGATCAGGGAAATATTTGTCAAAGAGCTTAAGAACTGGCTGAGTGTTCAAAGTAAGTGGGAGTAGGCCTGGCATAGGCAAAGTGCTTGCCTGTGGTCCCAGTAATGCTGGGGAGTGGGCAGGAGAGGGCAGTTGGGAAATGCAAGGCCCTAAGACCAGTGATTTTTAAGTGTTTCAAATAGAAGGGTACACATGCCCACTTAACTAAAGAAGTGGCACTTTAATAAAAATAAAAAATTATATTCCTTATTAGAGAAGCAGGGAGCAGGACTGTTGGAGAGAATGACATGTAAATATATACTGCTATGGAGAACAGTGTGAGGGGCAGTTCTTGACATTGGGATTGGCCAAAACAAGTGGCCAGGGCTAGGGTCTGGGTGAGGGAGTAGACACTGAAAGACAGGATGACAGCACAGATGGGGATGTGGTGACAACTAAACACTACGTTTGTTTCACAAGGTAATTTATCCTACTGATGGCATTGGTTCTTATTAAGGATGAAAAAAATAATGAACTAAAAAATAGCTACTATTGATTGAATGTCACTCTGTGCCAGGTGTTGTGTCCTACTCTTTATGTACATTAAATATCATGCTCTCCATTTATCTGTTATCATCACCATTGTACAGGTGATAACACTAAGCCAGAAGCTTAAGTCGTCAACTTGAGTCCACTCAAGCTTACTTAACTGGTAAGTGAAGCATCAGGATTTGAACCCAAGTCATTCCAAAAACTGTGTTCCCATCACTATTACATGTAGCTTATCCCTATAATATTTACCTGTGTTTGGGATACAAATGAAATTCCCCTCCCCCCCCGCCATAAAATTATGCTGCTTGTTCATAGTTTGCCAGAAAAGCTTCATTTTAAAGTGAAAACCCATCCCACTCCTGGAAATAGTTAATGCATGATGGCATCTGGCTAAACTAGGGCAAGGACTATCTATGCAGTCACTGTTTTATGAGTTCTCATCAGAGCAGGATGCCTCTATGGATAGAAAGGCAGAGAGGGAGTGGGAAGGACTTCTGCTAGGAGCCCAGCCAATAAGCCACAAACTTTCTTTTCACTGGCTCAGTTAAGCATTTTTTGAGAACCTTAACCCCATTTATGAAAATGGAAATGTCAATAAAAATCACATTTTCAACATCGTGTTTCAAAACAGGAGGTTCACTTTGATCGTTCTGAGCAAAATGGTCAATGAATACTATAGAAAAAATATTTACAAAAAGATCATTCTATATATGTATATATATGCATATATGTGTATTTATAATCTCAGTGATGTTACTTTCTGATAGCTACTTTCAAGGCAGACATTTTCTTTTGTAATATGATTGCCATCTTGCCAAATATATACTTAATGCCATTACTTGTTAGAGAGATTTTCTCATTTATCTTTAGACTTTATGCCTACTATTCTCATTTTAAATATTATATTTGTAAGACTTGATTTGAAGAAATTGTCAACTTTTGTAGCTCCATATATTCTAAAAGTATTTGTCTAGGTCCTCACACTGAGTTGGAATTCCCAGCAGTTGTAATATGTACTTTTACATGAGTTATCTTCAAACTGTTGTATAGCAGGGCTCAAGTGATTGGGAAGCATTGAAACTTAGAATGAGACTTGCTTCCTGAGGGACAGCAGGTATTGAACATACACCCATATGTTAAGAAAGGTCAATTCAGCAGAGAATATAGGTGCGGTGGGATAATGGCCTGATTAAAAGACCAGTGTTGAGCACTGCAGAAGTGAGGGATGTGTTCCACCCAAAGAAATCTGAGTTCTGAGAAGCATGTGGAAAACAGTCCATCAGCCAGGATGCTTTCAGCTATAGTACTAGAAAAGCCCAAAACAACAGATTTAAACCAAAGGGAAATTCATTCAGTCATATAACTAGAACTCAGAAGCAGGGCTGACTTCAGGGTTGATTTTATTCAGTGGTTTTGGCTCCATTTCTGTGTGATTTTCTTCATTCTGTCTTCTCCTGCATGCCAGCATTATCTTAAGACTGGCGATGAGGTGATTAACCAGCCCCGGGCATAACGTGGATATGATAATTTCCAGAGGACAAGTGAGAATGTCCCTTCTGGATAGTCTCCCAGCAGAGCAAGGAAACACTTTCCCAGAAGCCCCTAGCAAGTCAATCCTCAATCCTCAATGACTCATTCTTAAACCAATCACTAGCAAGGAGGAAGAGATTTCCTCTGGATTAGTTAGGCCAATCCCTGGAGTTGGAGTAGCTCTCTGCTTCCCCTGAGGCATATGAGCTATCTGGCAGAGGATGCTTTGTTTGCATGGATGAGGAGTGGATGCTGGGTAGGCTATCTGGTATCTACAACTATGGTGGGATTCAGAAACAAGTGGCCCTCAGAAATTTAGGTATGTTGTGAGCACCAGGAATGTTTGAGAGCAGCTAGCAAAGTCCTAGGCACCAGGAGAGGGCTGGCATTATTGAGAAAACAGAAATTAGGTAATACGTAAAAACCATGAACAGGGTCCATGGGCAAGATGATCATCCAGAGACTCACATAGGAAAAGCAGAATTCAAGTCTGGATCCAGATCAGCACAGGTGTGAGCTGATGGCTGAGCTCAGGATTGGCCCTAGATATGTGCCATGGTTTAGATATGGTTTGTCCCCACTGAAACTCATGTTGAAGCTTGATCCTCAGTGTGGCAGTGTTGGAAGGTGGGGCACAGTGGGAGGTGTTTTGGTCATGGGGAGACATTCCTCATGAATAGATTAATACTGGGAGTGAGTTCTCGCAGGACTGGATTAGTTACCCTGAGAGCAGGTTGTTGTAAAGTGAGGTTTCTCCTTGTGTTTGCTGTCTTTTGCACGTGTTTGCTTGCCTTTTCACTTCTCTGCCATGTTATGATGCAGCATGAGGCCCTCACCAGAAGTCAGTCAGATGCAGGTGCCCAATCCTGGACTTGCTAGCCTCCAGAACTGTGAGCTAAATAAATCTCTTTTATTTATAAATTACCCAGGCTCAGGTATCCTGTTGCAGCAACACAAAATGGACTAGGACAGTATGTATCTCATAAGTGCTAGTTGCCTGGAGTAGCACTGAGGTAGCAGAGTTTGAGAACATCAGTGCATGAATTAGACAAGAGTAAATAAAAGGAAATTACGAATAGGCAAGGGGAGCTTTAGACCAAATGGCAGAACGATGGGCAGGACCATCCCCTTTACTGAGGCAGACACACTCAATAAAACCAGGCCAGATGGGGAGTGAATGGGTTGAGATGAGGAAAAGGATACATAAGTGCTGGAGAGTTGGGAGCCAAGAGAGGGTTGTTGGGGTGGGTGAGGAAGGCTGTCTTTATGGTTTATTGCAGCCTCTTTTGTAGCTGTGCTGGCCATGCTTATGTTTAAAGTAACAGCATTCATTTATTGCTGTCTATTACTGATAGCCAAGTGGCCTCAGTGGAGGGGTGAGGAAGAAAGCAGAAGCTGGGGAACTAGTTCTTTGTGTGAAAACTGAAAAATTTCATGGTGTTGTTGCATTCCTGGGTTTAGTTGACACTCAGGTTTCTTAATGAAGTGAAAAAATCTTCATGCTGAAAATCTGTTCTCAGGTCAATGAGAAAGGTGACAGATAATATGTTACTAGCTTTTCTGTCGATTATCCATTACTTTATGAGGATTGTATGTTGAAACACTGCAGATAAAGTGTCTCAATTAAGACTTTAATTTAGATTTAATAAGAGTTATTATGTTAATAAAAGATCAATTAGCAGTTAAATAGCCATTGATCCAGGTACAATAAGTATGTCAGAAAGACATCAAGTTGTCATTGAAAAACTGGAGATTACATGAGCAACATGTGAGCAATTAGATTCTCAATATATTCAGGCTATAATGAATGTCAATGCATTTAATTGCCATTTAACAAGAAAGCTAATGTTAAGTCTCATGCCTATTAACTCACATACCTATTCACAGTTCTTCAATAGATTCATTTTTTCATTGGTTCCTTCAAGAAATATTTAATTAACCACACACCAGGTAAAGTGAGAAAAATATGAGTATGATGCATAATCTCTGCCTTCAAAGAACTTAAAATCTAGTGTTGAAATAAGACTCATCTACAAGGAAAAATAAAGGAACGAGGCAGATAGTAGAACATTTTCCACATATTTTCTGATTAAGCTCTAAATATTACCACCATAACTGAAATTTCTCACATGTTGAAAGAAATCTTTGTTATTACAAGCCACTAAATTTAGGGGTTGTTTGTTACTGCATTATGCTGTAGTAAAGCTGACTAATATGGTGAATAGAAGAGGGTTTGACAGGCCAGAGATACATTCTCTGGTGTGATATTGTCATAAGAGAAGCTAAAGTTTTATCATCCTAAATATTGGAGAGGGGCACTTGAGAAATATATCAACTCTCACTAGGGCTAGGAGGCATTGAGAAGTAAAAGTTACTCTTGGTTGTTTGCATGCCCAACCTCCAAAAATCTCATTTTCTCCAGGACCATAGACGGACATGGGAGAGAGGCAGATCAATATCTGATAAAAATGGTTAAAATGGTGAATTTTATCTCAATTAAAAAAAGAATAGACATATAATCTTTGTTACTGGAGTGGGAACATTTTGGAGTGAGTGTGTAACTAAACTCTCTGTTCACTGAGAATCATACTTCTTCCTCTCAGGGGACCCCGGAGGCCATGCTCCTGCCTTCTCACGTGGCTCTCCTGTCACACCAAGGGCTTTTTTTGTTTTGTTTTGTTTTTGTTTTTGTTTTGAGACAGAGTCTCGCTCTATCACCCAGGCTGGAGTGCAGTGGTGCAATCTTGGCTCACTGTAATCTCTGCCTCCCAGGTTCAAGCAATTCTCCTGCCTCAGTCTCCCAGGTAGCTGGGACTACAGGTGCCAGCCACCACACCCGGCTAATTTTTGTATTTTTAGTAGAGACGGGGTTTCACCATATTGGCCAGGGTGGTCTCAAACTTCTGACCTCAAGTGATCTGCCCGCCTTGGCCTCCCAAAGTGCTGGGATTACAGGCATGAGCCACTGTGCCCGGCCACACCAACACCTTTTGGATGTGGAGCCTCTCCGTGAGGCTAGTGCTCCTTCCCTTGTCTCTCTCTGGAAAGTGAGGCAGTGGTCACCTTCTGAGCTCTTTCTTTCTCCAATTATGTTCAGCTCTTCTAGGCTCTAGATCTTGAAAATCACAATTTACTTTCTCTTTTAGAAAGCTAAGCTTTTCCTAGGAGCTTTAAGATCACATTTAGTTGTTCAAAAGATAATCTGTCTCTTTCTCAGCCGTTCCTTGAATGAAACTGAGGGCAGGAGCTGCCTCAGGGCTTGTGGTGGGACAGGTCCTGTGTTATACGCTATGACCTAATGGACCCTCTTGCCCAAAACTTAGTAACTCTCCTATGTACACCAGTCTTGGCTAGTGTATTACTTGGGGAATTAAATATAAAGGGCCTGTGTTTCACCCTGAAATCACCTAGAAGCTTAAATAAGAGATGCAGCACAGAAGGTGTGTGTCTATGTGACAGAGATTGAGAATTTGGCAGGGGGAGGAAACCGAAGCTCGTAGTGGCCCTGAGAATGTAAGTCCTTGGATGTTAGCAGGAATCTGACATCTACCAGTTATGGGAAAGAAAGCTTCAGAAGGCTGGAAATCTGGGACACTCATGGAGATGACACCTGAATTACAATTGTAAAATTAAAAAAAAAACAAAAACAAAGGAAAAATCTGCTGGAAAAGTGAAAAATTTAGCCAAATAAGATATTTTGAAGATGGACTAAAAGTGTTTCTAAATTCATTATCCTTTCTGCATTTCAATTTAGATTTAGTTAGGTGAATTTGGGTTGAGAGCTAAACTTTAGCTTTGAAAACTACCTTTAAATTATGTAGATTGTCTTAAGGAGTTGCTTTCTAGGGTCTGATTTTACTTTGCAGCCGGAAGAGCTCTCTGTTGAGCACTCAGTATGTGAAGGGGCATGGTAAACATGAGAGTGGAAATAATAGAAAAGACAAATGTTAGACCCAAGGGAAGCACAGCAGAGGGTGGTGTGTGGAGGGAGAGTGCACAGACATATAAACAAGCAGCTGTTACATAAGACAGGCTCAGTGCTGTGGCAGGCCAGTGTTGAGGGCACCGTGGTTCTTGCTTACGTCCTAAAATTATTTTATCAGATGATCAAATAGATGAACGGACTGTACAGAGTAATTATTTTGCAGTTAAGCTGCGCCCCCTCCCACTTTTGGCAAGTGGAGGGAAGATAAAATAAAGGAACTGAAATGGTAGAAACTTTGTGTGCTTCTTGTTCTCAGACCTTTCTTTCCCCTGGAGGAGTCTGAGCTGGAACAAGCATGACATCACTGAGTAAATTAATCCTGACCATAGGAGGCAGGGAAGCTTCCACCAGTGCTCTGCCACATGCAAATGGTGGGTTTAAAGGGAGTAAAAAGGCGATTTGAATAGGAAGCACTTAAGAAGCCTCCCTTGTTCTCCACCTCCAGGTCTAATAGCCTCCCAGAGCAGACACAGAGCCTTCTAAGAGAAATGAAAATATCCCTCCTAAACACACGCAAGCACATAACAAAAGCCAAGTTAAGAAGGTTAGCGATTTAGTTGTCTCAGCAACATGTCATCAAGTTGAGATGAGCAGGAAACACAGATAACACAAGAAAGAAGGAAAACATCATAAGCCACAAAGAGGGAAAACCTGGGATGCTGAGAAAAGCAAAGCAAAGCCCTTTTCCTTTCTGTTTCATTAAGGGGAACTTAACTTTTAAACAGCCTCTCAAAAAAGCTAAAATAGAATCTGCTTTTGTGTAACCTATGTACTTGATGTGTGTTAAGAAATTGTGTTATCAGCATTTCCTGTGTGGTACCACCTTCAAAAGCAACATTTTTAGAGATGTCCACATAATTTCTCAGAGAAACAAAATAGTGTCATGTTAGAATGGGATTTGTTTTTTTATAAGTATTTTATTGGATATTAACAGTATGGGATGAACATACAGAAATGATCAAAGGTAGATCACTCTGCTCACATGAGTTAAAACTCATAATATTACAGCACAAAATGAGACAAATGGACATTTTAGAGACTGATTCTTTCTCTGCTCTTATAAAGTTGTATTCAGAAAATTGCTGACATTTGGTTCCCAGGAGAAATAAATTTGTGATTGTGGAAATGTGAGATCTACGCCCTCAGCCGGGGCTATAAACTTGTTGTTGGAACAGCAGAGCAGGGGTAGGAGGAAAATGAAAGGAAGGCAGGAAAAGAGGCAGGAGAGGGTGGAAAGGGCTGGCCTATTCCATTGGTAAACACCTCCAGTTATTTGAAAATGTGTTCTTATGTTGAGTCAAAAATCTACCTCCAGGTAACTTTCCAAATAATTTACTTAGGAGCCATGCTGAACAAACCAGCTTTCTCTGGGCCACAACACTTCTTAAGATATTTGCATGATAGCACATCTTCACTTCATCTCTTCTCTGAGCAGGGATTCTAAAAGGGTGGTCTCCAATCAGCAATATCAGCATCAGCTAGAAACTTGCTAGAAATGCTCCTCTTTCCCCACCTAGGGGTGGGTCCCAGCAACCTGTGGTTCAATAAGTCCTCTAAATGATTCTGATGGATGCTCAAATTTGAGAACCCTGCTCTAGGCTAAGAATCTGTGTTTCTTCAACTCTCCCACCTTAATTCATCCACTTACATGCACATTCATATATTTAATCATTCATAATCAAGTATTTCTTTCTTTCTCCATAAATATCAGTTTGATATTTGATTCTGTGTTCAGATATTGCTGAGAAAGGGTTTTCTGGAATATGTTTTTCATGACATTGGTTGGTAGAAGTGAGTGACCCTCATTTTTTCCTTTCTGAAAACCTCTAGTATTTTGGATACTTAGCATCTGCTAGGCCTTATACTCAGGGAAGGCGATCTCCTCGCAGAGCTAGAGGATGAGTCATTATGTATGAGCCAGTTGTTGTGGTCTCATTCCCCTTGCCAGGATTGGTTTAGACATGAGCACGTGACTCAGTCTTGGCCATTGGAATTTGTTCTTATGACTTTTTTCCTTTTGTATTTCTTTAATGTAAGTTCAATGGACTTGGGGAGGAAAGGCAGACAGATATATGTGCTTAGTCTTTCATCTTGAACTCAGCTTAGCTGGGCAGCTTTACTTCCAACTTCATCTGGGGTCACTCAGTGGCTGCAGTTACCTGGCAGCTTTGCTGGGGCCAGATGACCAAGACATGTGCTGGTTAGTGCTGGTTGTCAGCTGGTTGTCTGGACTGTGGGGCTTGGACAGCTCCTCGCTGCTCCACGTGGCCTCCGCTCCTCCAATAAATTAGCCTAGGCTTCTTCATATGGCAATCTCAGGGGAGTATTCCAAGAATGCGAGAGAAGAAGCCACAAGGCCTTTTAAAACTTAAGTTCAGAAATCATGTATTATTTCTGCCACTTTCTATTGGATAGAACAAGTAATAAGGCCAGTTCTGGCTCAAGCGATAGGAAAATAGATTCTACCTATTGATGGTAGAGCTGCACAGTCATATTGCAAGGGGCGTGCACACACAGATGAGAGAATTTTATGACAAATTTTTGCAATTTGGTATTTCAGTACTTAAAACTCTATGAATTTGTTTTTATATAAGTAGTATATGCGAGATTGAAAGTATGTAAGCAAAATAAAAAAAGAGAAAAAAATGTTGTCTCAAATTCTATAGTCAAGAAGTAGCCTAATAACTTCAAGTGAAAATCATTCCAGGTAGCTCCTTAAGTGTATAAATGAAATAAAAAATGCAGAATAAATTAGTAAAAATTGGGTCTTACTCTACGTTTTTAGAAAAATAAAAAGCATTAAATTGAATTTTTCTTGAATTTAACAGAAGAAAAAGAAACCAAAGAGAAATCAAAGAAATTATGGAACTTCAGATTTTTTTTTTTTTTTTTTTTTTTTTTTTTTTTTACCACCAGAGATATTAGATCCTAAAAGTTCTCCCTAAGGTTACAAAATGATTATAAAAAAATTAAGAAAGCTGGAGTTTTTTTTTTCAAAGATCCATGTTTAATTTTAGACATATTGATTGACTCTCTGCTATGAAAGATAAGGAAATTAAAACTTTTAATCTTCCTCTCACCTTATTTTCCACTCCCCTCATCTTCTGAGTTTTTTAGTAACATTTTTATAAAGTCAGTATAAGGGATTTATATTCTACAATTATAGTTCTATGATTCTATCATTATGATGGTTTAGTTTTATGTCTGTAATTAAGTGAATTTGCTGCTCCCTACCTGTCCTTGTACCACAGCTTCTGCTTTCCTGAATTCTTTATTTTCTAAAATTATGGTTCATTTTTAGTTTGCTGGATTTCCTTGTGAAGTTCTTTTCCAGGTGCACTCAGAGAGTTTGCTCTCTGGGTTCTTGTATACTTCCAAATTTCTGTTGGTTGTCTTCACATTGAGTTGGCTGGGTATAAAAATTTGATGTCCCGCTTTCTTTCCCATCAGACTCTGTGAGCATTGCTCCAGTGATTTTGGGTATTGAATTTTGCACTGTTTCTTCTATCATTGCTCCTCTATTCATTTTTGGTTGGCTGAATTTATTATTGGTTAGGTTTTAAAAGAAGAACTCTTAGATGTTTTATTCTCCATGCCCGTTCATGTTGAGAATGTTTGTCTGCTACCTATATATGTCTGGTATTCATTTTCTTATAGGTGATTCTATACTTTTTTGGAGGGTACTGGATGACTGAATACTTTTTTTTTTTTAATAGTGTTGGGTCTCAATAGTGCAAGAAGGTGATATCTTGTTGATAATTCCATTCTGGAATATTCAGGCAGATGGTATTAGTTATTATTTTATTTTATTTTATTATTTTTTTGAGACAGAGTCTTGCTCTGTCACCCGGGCTGGAGTGCAGTGGCTCAATCTCGGCTCACTGCAATCTCCGCCTCCTGGGCTCAAGCAATTCTCCTGCCTCAGCCTCCCAAGTAACTGGGATTACAGGCAGATGGTATTAGTTATTTTTTTATAGCAAGGATTTTTTTTGTGTGTGTTATATGTCCAAGTATATTTTTATTCTGATTTGGGTTCTTTTTCAGGAATAATTTCTGTGTTGGATGACCTTTGTCCATTATATTTATCATCATCTAAGTGCTTTAAAAAGTCATCTTTTCCCCGAGATTCATTTTTAGTCATCTCAATGTCTTTCCTCAATCAGCTATTTATTCTTCAGTCAAGCCTAGATTATTCATTGATGTTTAAAATTGCATTATTAGTTCATTAGTAATGTGACTTTTGTCTTCAGGTTATTTCATAGCTATATAATTTCTCTTTTGGTCTTTTGGTCTCATTCTGTTTTAAAATTTCATTTTCATGTTCTTGATGATTGATTGCATGTTTCTGTTATTTCTCTGTAGCCCAAATCAGTTGTAGGAATTTCTTCTAAGATGGGTACTTTGTCAGGAGCATGTTATATTCCTTTTGCTGTGGTAAATGTATAATTGCCTGCCTCTCTCTTTTCTTCTTTCTCTCTTTTTCTTTCTTTCTTTCCCTCCCTCCCTCCTTCCCTCCCTTCCTTCCTTCCCTCCTTCCTTCCTTCCCTTCCTTCCCTCCCTTCTCCTCCCCTTTCCTTTCCTCTCCTCTCCTTTCCTTTCCTCCCTTCCTCCCTCTCTCCCTCCCTCCCTTCCTCCCTCTCTCCCTCCCTCCCTTCCTCCCTCTCTCCCTCCCTCCCTTCCTTTCTTTTCTTTCTTTTCTTTTCTTTTCTTTTCTTTCTTTCTTTCTTTCTTGCTTGCTTGCTTGCTTGCTTGCTTGCTTCCTTCCTTCCTTCCTTCCTTCCTTCCTTCCTTCCTTCCTTTCTTTCTTTCTTTTCTTTCTTTCTCTTTCTGTCTTCTTTCTCCCTCCCTCCCTTCCCTCCCTCCTTCCTTCCTTCCTTCTTTCCTTCCTTCTCTCTCTCTCTTTCTTTCTTTCTTTTTTATTTTATTTTATTTTATTTTATTTTATTATACTTTGTTTTAGGGTACATGTGCACAATGTGCAGGTTAGTTACATATGTATACATGTGCCATGCTGGTGTGCTGCACCCAGTAACTCATCATTTAGCATTAGGTATATCTCCTAAAGCTATCCCTCCCCTCTCCCCCCACCCCACAACAGTCCCCAGAGTGTGATGTTCCCCTTCCTGTGTCCATGGGTTCTCATTGTTCAATTCCCACCTATGAGTGAGAATATGCGGTGTTTGGTTTTTTGTTCTTGCGATAGTTTACTGAGAATGATGATTTCCAATTTCATCCATGTCCCTACAAAGGACATGAACTCATCATTTTTTATGGCTGCATAGTATTCCATGGTGTATATGTGCCACATTTTCTTAATCCAGTCTGTCATTGTTGGACATTTGGGTTGGTTCCAAGTCTTTGCTATTGTGAATAGTGCCACAATAAACATACGTGTGCATGTGTCTTTATAGCCGCATGATTTATAGTCCTTTGGGTATATACCCAGTAACGGGATGGCTGGGTCAAATGGTATTTCTAGTTCTAGATCCCTGAGGAATCACCACACTGACTTCCACAATGGTTGAACTAGTTTACAGTCCCACCAACAGTGTAAAAGTGTTCCTATTTCTCCACATCTTCTCCAGAATCTGTTGTTTTCTGACTTTTTAATGATTGCCATTCTAACTTGTGTGAGATGGTATCTCATTGTGGTTTTGATTTGCATTTCTCTGATGGCCAGTGATGGTGAGCATTTTTTCATATGTTTTTTGGCTGCATAAATGTCTTCTTTTGAGAAGTGTCTGTTCATATCCTTTGCCCACTTTTTGATGGGGTTGTTTGTTTTTTTCTTGTAAATTTGTTTGAGTTCATTGTAGATTCTGGATATTAGCCCTTTGTCAGATGAGTAGGTTGCGAAAATTGTCTCCCATTTTGTAGGTTGCCTGTTCACTCTGATGGTAGTTTCTTTTGCTGTGCAGAAGCTCTTTAGTTTAATTAGATCCCATTTGTCAATTTTGGCTTTTGTTGCCATTGCTTTTGGTGTTTTAGACATGAAGTCCTTGTCCATGCCTATGTCCTGAATGGTAATGTCTAGGTTTTCTTCTAGGGTGTTTATGGTTTGAGGTCTAACGTTTAAGTCTTTAATCCATCTTGAATTAATTTTTGTATAAGGTGTAAGGAAGGGATCCAGTTTCAGCTTTCTATATATGGCTAGCCAGTTTCCCCAGCACCATTTATTAAATAGGGAATCCTTTCCCCATTTCTTGTTTTTGTCAGGTTTGTCAAAGATCAGAAAGTTGTAGATATGTGGCATTATTTCTGAGGGCTCTGTTCTGTTGCATTGGTCTATATATCTGTTTTGGTACCAGTACCATGCTGTTTTGGTTACTGTAGCCTTGTAGTATAGTTTGAAGTCAGGTAGCGTGATGCCTCCAGCTTTGTTCTTTTGGCTTAGGATTGACTTGGTGATGCGGGCTCTTTTTTGGTTCCATATGAACTTTAAAGTAGTTTTTTCCAATTATGTGAAGAAAGTCATTGGTAGCTTGATGGGGATGGCATTGAATCTATAAATTACCTTGGGCAGTATGGCCATTTTCATGATATTGATTCTTCCTACCCATGGGCATTCTTTCCTTTTTCCTTTTGCTCTATTTTTTTGAGACGGAGTCTCGCTCTGTCACCCAGGCTGGAGTGCAGTGGGTATGATCTCAGCTCACTGCAATCTCTGCCTCCTGGGTTCAAGCAATTCTCCTGCCTCAGCCTCCTGAGTAGCTGGGACTACAGGCGCCTGCCACCACACCTAGTTTTTGTATTTTTACTACAGATGGAGTTTCACCATATTGGCTAGGCTGTTCTCGAACTCCTGACCTTGTGATCTGCCTGCCTCGGCCTCCCAAAGTGCTGGGATTACAGGTATAAGCCACTGCTCCTGGGCCCTTTTTCTTTTGTTATTCCTGTTGATGTGGGCAGCTCTGTTCATTCCTTTCTTTTCTCTGATCCGGTGTGTCTCAATTCTCCTTGGCTCCATTCCTCTATAACTGAGATCTGTTTTTCGCCTCAGCTACAGATTGAAGGCTGGGCAATTGCAATTTTATTCACTTTTCGATTTTCCCAACAGCACAGAGCAGGATCTAGGGTGGTGGGTAGAGGAGAATTCTCCTGCGGCTGCATGACCTGGGTTCTAGGCTATCTTCTGGAATTTTATTAAGTACCCCGTTCTGTGTTTACATGTTCTAGTCAGAGTGTGTCTGTTTCCTAGGGAAGATTCAGACTTCAGATTGTCCTCAAAATTCAGCATGGCACCTTGGAAAGCCATTTTCCTTTTTCTTTGGGACCTCAAGATTCCCCTCTGGGTGCTACAGGGCTTTTATTGATATCTTGAGAGTTTTACCATGATATTTACTTGGCTCAGACCCTGGTCTTCCCTTTACACTGGAGGCTGTTGGAGGAAGTCTCAGGATTTTTTTGTTTCACCTTTTCCCCAGTTTGTTTTCTAGGAGCTAAGCGCAATGTTACTTTGTAGTGTGGAACTTACAGAGTCACACTAAAAACTTGATTAACTTCTTGGTCACCACTTTTTGAAGTTTGTAGGTATTGGGGTTGTTGTTGATGCATTTTTTTTGCTGGTATTACTATTGTTTACTAATTTTGGATTATTTCATCAGACACAAGAGAGGGAGACCATGTCTGTCTACTTTTTGCCATCTTTACCCTGAAGCTCTGACATAACTCTATTTTTACATAGTCATATATGTTGATTGCTTCCTTTGAGATTGTGAAGTGGTGATATAAGGCATTTCCCCCCAAGTTTTCGTGCTCTTCTAGAAAGTGTAGGAAAGCCTCTTTTTACTTCTTTAATTCTGATAATTCTCCAGACACAGTAAAGGTTGGTGATAGCTAAGAATACAAAACAAAACCACAAAATTAATGACAGTTATAAAACAATATTAAACAAAGCAAAAAACACCATACAACTTTTATTGAATACCAAAATTGAGCCCAGAGCCAAGATTTTTACATAGATAATATTGCTTAATTTGAGATGAGTAATAGCCTAATTTTTTCAGATAAGTAAAATGAGATTCAGAGACTTTAAATTACCTCGAAGCTCAGGGTCACACAGCTAATAAACACCAGAGTCATACTTTGAATGCAGGCATGTGTTGCTCTAGACCTTAAGTTCCTTCCCTGGACTTCTCCAGGAAAGAGCCTAGAAGAATTCCTGTGCCACTTCATTGGAGGGAGTGCAGAAGGTAGCTGAGACAGCAACTTTACCAGACAAAGAGAGAACAGAAGGACAGCTCAATCTGTTAGTAAAAATACCAGATTTGCAATAGTTCCCCAAGGGGTAGGCTCCCCTCAAAAAACTTAAAGTGCAGTCATGTTTTTGTTCGGGCTTCCAGAGGGAGGCTAATGGAGTTTTAGAGAGGACAGACTTAGGGATGTTTATACAAATTGTAGGGGACTGTATGAATCACCTACTGTGTAATAAAACACCTCAAACTCAGTGCCTTCAATCAAGAATTATCTATTCTCACTCACGCATCTGACAATAGGCTGGGGTGGGCTATCTAGGTCCAACAGGCCTGACTCCAGGTTGGATCCGGGTTTACTCCACTAACCTTTCACCCTCCTTACATCAGTGGACTGCCTGGGGCATGGTTACAGTAGAAGTGTAAGAAAGCATGCCCATGCAAGGAAGCACATTGTTTTTGCCTAAGTCATGTTTGCTAACATCTCACTGGACAAAGCAAGTCACATGGCTAAGCCCAGGGTCAAGGCTCTCCTGTAGAAGTTTGCAAAGTCACTTGGCAAAGGGCATAAGTATGAGGGACGGGGGTAAAGAATTGGGGTCAATAATTTAATTGGCTACAGGAACTAGGAAGATTTTTAAAAAGCAGACAAGAAAACCAGCACAAAAACCCTGAGAACTAAAGACATTAAATTGAGAGTTTCTGTCTTGTTTGAGGATGTTATCTTTGGAAAAACAAAGTACAGGCTCTATAGCTAACTCAAGGACCTTTCTAGATGAGACCTGACATTGAATGATGAGGATAGAAATGTGGCCGTTATGAAAGTCAGAAATTACTCATTGTCCTAGAGCCCTATTTACCTCACACACTATTTTGCTAGGCTGCAATCCTGAGGAGAACGAGGATTATTTCTGTCATTTTCTTTGGTATTTTCCTCTCATTTAATTCAGTGCTTGGCATATAATAGGTGTCTGACAGTTCTTTATTGTATAAATGACTGAATGAATAAAATACAGAAGCTGTATTTGGGGAAAATTTTAAGCTTTTTTTTTTTTTTTTTACTTTGGCTTGCATAAAAAAATATGGATAATCAGGCAGTAGTAAGTTGGGACTGAACCAGCATCCAGAGTAAAAATGGGTTCAAAATGTCACTCTCTTCTTAGATCAGAAATCTCACAATTTGCTGAGCATTAATAAAGCATTAACCCTGGAAAAAATGTGTGAGGAGGGCGTGGCCTCAAATTGATGCAGAGAAGAGTTAAAAAGAGGAAATGGAGAGCAAGCCCTTTTCCAGATTGAAGAAAGAACCATCCAGGGACCTCCTGTCACAAACCAGATGGCAGCCTCCAGCTGGCTGCCCTGGAGATACTGAAATTGGAAATACTCCATAGCCAAGCAGACCCACCCACTTGCAGGTCTGTGGGAGGCCCTGGATGCTAAGGTTTGTAATTACCTCCCAACTGAGTCTTTGTGTGGTAATACAGCTGGCAGAGCTGAAGCTACTACAACATTTTCTGTATTAATTTGAAATTGCCTCAAATCATATTATTTTATGGATGTAAAGACATAATGCTGGCTAAATCAACATTTAGGTCCTGAATTTTTTTTTTTTTTGATAGTATGGTAATGGTGGTGGTGCCAGGGAGGTGAGGAAGTTATAAAAACACATCTTACTTGGACTTTCCAATATCATTGGTGGTGATATGACTTTGTCTACCTTTTTGCAGAGCAAGTTGATGATGATTATCAAAATTTTAAACCTTTGGCACCAGCAGGGGCCTTTCCAGTAGGGCTTTGTGGGCCATGTTAAGCCATCTTGTTTATATGTTAAGAGTACAGGGAAGCTATTATAATGTGTTTAAAGCAAGAATGGCTGGATGTTGGGGATCGGTGATCTGATTAGATTTCTACTTTGAAAAGGTACCAATTGAGAGACAACTGTAGAAGTGCAGATGAGAGAAGATGGTAGCTTGGACTGAAGTGTTGGTAATAAAAATGGAAAGGAGGGGTACATTTGAGTGAATTCTGGAAGAAAATTTATCAGGATTTTGTAACTATTGGATCTGGGGTGATTCAAGGAAGGCAGCTAAGTTTTTATCTAGATGGGTGATGATTCTCCTCAGATGGGTTTGCTTTTGGGCTACGAAATACTGTGCTCTTATAAGCAGGAGCTAAATGATGAGCACATTTGGACACATAGAGAGGAACCACACACACTGAGGCCTATTAGAGGGTGGAGAGTGAAGGAGGGAGAGGATCAGAAAAAAAATAACCAGTGGGTACTAGGCTTAATACCTGGATGATGAAATCATCTGCACAACAACCCCCCACGACACACATTTACCTATGTAACGAAACTGCATCTGTATCCTGAACTGAAAATAAAAGTTAAAAAAAGAAATACCATGCAGCTATTAATAAGGACAAGTAGATCAATCTTTCAAATTATTCAGATGCTAACAAATGTCCATATGATGTAATTAAGTGAGAAAATTAGCTTGTAAAGTAGTAGAAATATTTTAGAGTATGCTAACATCTACCTTCCTATCAATTTTTATATGCTTTGAAGGGGTTTGTGAATATCAGCACCAAGTTAATAACGGCATTCACCTCTAGAATGTGGGCAGAATTATAGGGAAGTTTTACTTCCTCCTTAATATATTTTTATATTATTTGGTATTTATAACAGGCATGCTATAATTTGACAGTATCCCAGTAGCTGACCAGAAGAAAAGCCAGAAAGATTGAGGGCTGAATATTTAAGGGTCAGTCCTTCTAGGGACCTAATGGAGCCTGAGGGAATGCAGAACCACCAGCCCCAGCTCAGAAGCCAGTGTATGTAGAGGAGCCAGTGAAAGGAAAAGCAGCTTTGGAAGGAACCCCCAGTGGTTTTACCTGTGCCAAACAAACCTGTGGGTATGAATCGACGGTGTCCCTGGAGTGTATATAATCCAGTACAGTGTGGTAAGAGCTGTGTGGATGTGGGGCTGCAGCCAGTCTGCAGGGTGGCAGAGGAAGAAGGATGACCATGTGTCTCTGGTGCATGAAATGTTCAAAATGGGGAATAAAACCTGAGCAGGCAGAAATGAAAACTTGACAGGTTTCTGCAGTTTATGTTTCTGTTCTATTTTTCTTAAGTTCTATCCATCTCTGCATGGAGCCACAAACCACAGGGACATTGTACCCATCAGTTAGACTGCTTGTCAAGGATGCCTGCAGTCAGCCCAAATGTGAGATGTTTAATCCTCTAATTATAGATGACTCCAGTAGCAACAGGCGCTCTGAACCCCCAGCCAGGATCACAAGAGACAAAATCCTGCCTCCTTCAGGTAAATCCTGCGATTACCCAGCACAGGAAAAAAGTGGGATCTGAAGGGTTCTTTATTGGAAGTCTGCATGAGCACTGGCTTTCTGAAGCCTGGCTTCATAGGCCCCATGTGGTGCCCATCAGCTCAGTCTTTCTTCACCACACAACCCAGACCATGCTGTTCAACCTGCCAGCCAATTTGAGGTGTGAGCTGCAATTAATCATCATTTAATTTTCAATCCTGGGTATTTAATGCAGCATAGTGCAGTGTAATCTCTTGGGTTTGAATCCAGCTCTGCCACTTTACCTAGCTGTCTGAGATTTGAAAAATTATTCCTGTTGCCTCAGTTTCCTCATCTGCACAATAATGATAATTACTAGTACCTACTTCATATGGCCAATGTGAATATTGAAGGAGTTACATGTGAGACTCTTAGGGTTGTGTCTGCAAAGAGTAAGCACTCAGTAAATGCTAATCATTTATATTTGTTGTATTCCGATTAGTGTTAGAAGTCTTCAGAGTAAATCAATTCCACATCAACCACTGCCTATCTTTTCAGTATTTGGGCATATAGGGAGGATCCTCTATTTTGGAAATGAGGAAAATAAGGCTTTCCTGTGAGAATGAAACAAAAAGATAAATGCATGGTAGATCACAACAAAGTCACCTCAAAGTGGTGGAATGGCTCCTGGGCAAGCAGGGCTCAACTGTAACCACTCATCATTCATTCATTCAATGACTTCTGAGTGCCTACCATGTCTCAGGCATGAAGCTGAGTGCTAGATGTAAATTGGAACTTGATGCTTGACTTCATGGACCTTACCAGCCAGTGGGGGAAACCGGCAATAAATGAGACTGAACAAATTGCATTAGATATTATAAAGAAAAGAAAGAGAATACAATTAGAAGGTGGGTGGGGGGTTGGCTGTATAGTATTCCATTGTATGACTGTAACATGCACTATCTGACCTTTCTATTGTTGGTGGACATTACGTTTTTTTTTCAATTTCTTTTGTGATTATGAAAAATGCTGCTATGAACATTCTTATATATTTGTTCTGGTATACAGAGGCAGTTTTGATAAGTTGTAATTTTCTACAAATTTGTCCATTCAGTAACCAAGGCCAGGGCGGTGGCACTCATGGATGTATGCAATAAGGGAGCTCATTGTAGAAAATTTTTAAGCAACAGTACAATCGATGAAAATCTCAGCAATTCCAGATAATACCCCAACATCTTGTGGGTTAAATTCTAAAATAAGGGCTGAGATTTCTGGTGCATCTTCACGATATGTGTGTAAGCTTCAAACTGGCACTTTAAAATCTTATTTAAAACACACTACATTATGTGTAAAAGTTAATTCGGAGAATTCGTAATTATAGAGTTAGCTCTTGAAACACTTGGACTCAGCTATACACCTTTGCTCCTGGGGTAAGTTTATACAGTTGGGAATTATTGGAGCTTACCTGCTTTGGGTGCAGCTAATATATCTAAGTCTTGTGTTACTACATGTTTCCGGGCTTAAAGTGTATGTTAGAAATTAACAGTGCTAGCACAGTGATTAGAAAAACAAAGAAATATAACTTGAATTACATAAATTCTATAATTCTGTGACCACTTGGTGTTTTCAAATATCTGTATTGATATTTGAAAGTGGCTAGAATGGATCCTAAGGAAACAAAGGCGGCTGGGTGCAGTGGCTCACGCCTGTAATCCCAGCACTTTGGGAGGCCGAGGCAGGTGGATCACGAGGTCAGGAAATCGAGACCATCCTGGCTAACACGGTGAAACTCCGTCTCTACTAAAAATACAAAAAATTAGCCGGGGCTTGGTGGCAGGCGCCTGTAGTCCCAGCTACTCAGGAGGCTGAGGCAGGAGAACGGTGTGAACCGCAGAGGCGGAGCTTGCAGTGAGCCCAGATCGCGCCATAGAACTCCAGCCTGGGTGAAAGAGCGAGACTGTGTCTCAAAAAAAAAAAAAAAAAAAAAAGGAATGGGCAGTATTGCATTTTCTGAAATTTATTGTGAAGTGAGATTTTTATGAATAGCAGCCGAGTTCAATATTGTATTTAAGACTTTTTCTAAAGACTTATGTATCTATTCCTTCATATGGAAGATACTTTTCAAAATTAAAATAAATAAAATAGACGTTTTGGTCAACTGAGTGAAATAGATTGACAAATCTGGCCAGATTGTCTATGGACATGAATATAAGGAGAAGATAAATTTCGATAAAGTCATTGAAAAAATTACAGAAATTTAGGCTCAAAAATGGAAATTATGATATGTGTATTCATTACTATGTCACATAAATATGTAAGCATAAGTATTTTCCTTTTAAAAATACATTAAGGCAACTGAGCACTGTGGCTCACACCTATAATCTTAGCACTTTGGGAGGGCAAGGCTGGAAGATCACTTGAGTCCAGGAGTTTGAGACCAGCCTGGGCAACATACAGATATCTCATCTCTACAAAAAAACTTTAAAAGTAGTCAGGCATGGTAGTACATGCCTATGTTTCCAGCTACTCAGGAGGCTGAGTTGGAAGGCTGGTGTAAGCCTGGGAGGTCGAGGCTGCAGGGAGCCATGATTGCACCACTGCATTCCAGCCTGGGCAACAGAATAAGACCCTGTCACAAACAAACAAACCCAAAACCAACACAACATTAAGGCAATTGAAAACTATTAATCCATTACTTTTTCACCCTTTTCCTTTTTTTTTTTTTTTTTTTTTTTTGGTTTTCCTTCCCTGGCCTCAAAATATACTTTGAAATTACTAAATTCGTGCCTTCAGGATAGTCCAGGAATAGGAATTTAAAAATAATTAAGACAACATAAGATAACATCTACTGTGAAACATACTTCCATTTAAAAAGTATTTGATCCAGTTTTCATCCTTTTTCTATAATAGGTATTTTATTACATTTTTCAAACATATGTCTATGTTTACTAGCATATAAGATTTAATAAAAAAATTTTCACTTTTTTCCCCATTATTATTACCTGTTTGATTATGTAATTATTCCTGAAAATAATTTTGTTGAATAGAAGATGAGAATGTTAAAAATTATCTGCTCCGGGTATCAAAGATGCCAGATATGTCATGGTGTCCATTTCATTTATGTTTTCAAATTTATAGGTATTAAGTTGCTCAAAATTTTCTCTTAGCTGTTAGATGTCTTCAACGTTTATCTACATGGATTTCCTTTTCATTCCTGCTGTGAGTTATTTGTCCCATCTCCTATTCCAAAGAATCAGCTTTGACTTTGTTTCCTCTTTCATATGTCTGGCCCATATAATTGATTTCTGTTATTCCCTCTTCCAATTTTTTCTTCCCTTTTTATCCTTTTTTGAGATGGATGCTTAAATCAATTTTTTCTTTACTAATAGATGCATTTTAAAGCTTATATTTACTACAAGTTGTTCAGTGTATAGTATTTTTAGTGTCATTTAGCTCTAAATGTTTTAAATTTCCATTATTTCCTCTGTGACCTATGATTGATACATCTTAATTTCCAAATGTTTGAGAACTTAAAAATTGTTTTCACAGTATTTCTGATTTAATTGCATTGTGCTCAGTCCTCAGAAATTTGTTGAGACTTGCTTCATGGTCCATTATATGGTCTATTTTTGTAAATATATGTGTATGTTTGCAGAAAATGGTATATTCTGCAGCTGTTGGGCATAGCATTCTCTAGATGTCTATTTGGTCAGGTTTATTGATCCTTTTTCCTAGTGTTGTTACAATAAAACACCTTAGACTGGATAATTTATAGAGAATAAAAATTAATTTTCTCCCAGTTCTGGAGGCTGGGAATTCTAAGATCAAGGTGTCAGTAGATTGGGGTTGTCTGGTGAGGGCTTACTTTCTGTTTTGAAGATGGTGCATCTTGCTGCATCCTCATATAGTGAAAGAGGTGAAAAAGAGATGAATGCTGTGTCCTCACATGGCCAAAGGAGTAGAAGGGCAAAAAGGGAAGAACTTGCTCTCTCAACCTTTTTTATAAAGGACTAACCCCATCTATGAGGGCAGAACCCCACCTCTTAACAGCATCACCTTAGGGTTTCAGTTTCAACATGTTAATTTTGGAAGGATACATACATTGAAACAATAGCAATACTGTTTTTTGAATCTTCTATATCCTTACTAGTTTTTATCAGCATATTCTGTCAATCACTGAAAGAGAGGTGTCAAACCTTCACAAATTGTGCATGTTTATTTTTCCATCTCTCTTTTTTTTTTTTTTTTTTGAGACGGAGTCTCGCTCTGTCACCCAGGCTGGAGTGCAGTGGCTTGATCTCGGCTCACTGCAAGCTCTGCCTCCTAGGTTCTTGCCATTCTCTTGCCTCAGCCTCCCAAGTAGCTGGGACTACAGGTGCCCCCACCACGCCCGGCTAATTTTTTTTTGTATTTTCAGTAGAGACAGGGTTTCACTATGTTAGCCAGGATGGTCTCGATCTCCTGACCTCGTGATCTGCCTGCCTCGGCCTTCCAAAGTGCTGGGATTACAGGCGTGAGCCACCAAGCCCGGCCTTTCCATCTCTTCTGTTAATTTTGCACTATCTATTTTAGGCCATGTTATTAAATGCACATAAGTTTAAAAATCATTTTGTTTTCCTCATAAATTGAACTTTTTTATTGTTAAGAAGTGATAGTCCTCACCTCTAGAAATGATCTTTGCCTCGAATTCTGTTTCCTCTTATATTAATATAGCAATATCATCTTTCTTTTTATTTGTATTTTCATGCTACCTTTTACTTTCAACTTTTCTATATCTTTATATTTTATGTGTCTTTTGAAAACTGTATGTAGTTGGATTTTATGTTTTTCTAACTTCATTTTTTCCTATATTGAAGCATTGTTGATTTATATTAATTGTAATTTCAGATATATTTGGAATTTTTATGCTATACATTTTCTATATCAATTTTATGCTTGTTCCTCCCTGTTTATTTTTACTATATTTGTTCCACCTCTTAATTGTTTTGTGTATTATGTGCTTTATGTTATTTTAGAAGCTACTCTGGAAATTACAAAAATGTATCTTTAAATTATAAAAGAACAAATTTAAAAAATAACTGTTATCCATCTTTCAAATAACTAGAACATTATAACTCCATTTATCATACTTTTTATTTATATATATTTGCTATCTGGTAATAATGTCCTTTGAATTTTTAACATTATTAGGCATTGTAATTTAGCTGATTTACACAATCAATGTTTATTTTCAATTTCGATATATTTTTACTCAATTTTCACTTTATATACACTTATACCTCAGATCTTCAATCTGGGATCAGTTGCTTACAGCATGTCCTTCAGAATTTTTTTTTGGTGAGGGTATGCTGGTGATGAGCTTTTCAAAAGTATTTTTCTGAAATATTTTTATCTTCTCTCTTCAAAGATATTTTTACTGAATATAGAATTCTACCTTTTTCTTGCCTTCAGGACTTTAAAAAGATATTCAATTGTCTTTTAGCTTCCATTGTTGATGTTCAGAAGTCAGTTATCCATCTAAATGCTACTTCTTTGCAGGTAATCTCTCCATTTTCACAGACTGCAATTATGATTTTCCCTTTATCTTTTTAAAAAAATAGTTTCTATGATTTGGGCTGGGCATAGTGGCTCAGGCCTGCAATCTCAGCACTTTGGGAGACTGAGGTGGGAGGATTGCTTGAGGCCGAGAGCTCGAGACCAGCCTAAGCAACATAGAAAGACTCCATCTCTACAAAATAATTTAAAAAAAGTTTCTATGATTTGTATAAAAGTGAATTTCTTTTTATTTATCCTTTTTGGGATTCTCTAGGATCTTTGAATCTGTGGATCTTTGCCTTCAATCAGTTTTAAAAATTCTTAGGCATTCTCTTTTCGCAGATTGCCTCTGTCCCTTTTTCTTCCATTTTTCTGAGCTTTAAATTTGGATTATATTTTTTTTTAGAAGTTCTATTTAGTTTTTTTCTAAATCTGCTATAATGCTTTTTATAGTGTTTTGTTCCTAGCAGATATTTTCAAGTTTGTCATTTATGGGCAATTTATCAATTTATCATTGTAAACATGATAAATAGCTATGGTAAACATCATCATTTAAAAAAATTGTGTCTGATAGCTGCAATATTTGAATTGTGTGGATCTGTGTCTGCTGTCTCCGGTTTCTCTTAGTTATTGAATATATTCATATTATCTTGTATTCTTATAGGCTTGGTAATTTTTGATTGCTAACTGGTCATTGATTTGCAAACATAATTTGTGGAAGTTCGTTGAGGGCTAGAATAGATGTGTTTACCTTTAGAGAGACTTTGTACTTGCTTCTGCCAGTGGCCTAAATACCCTACCCTTTACAACCACCACAAAATAAGTTCATAGATAAATGTGCATGAGAGCCTATAGAGCCCCACTTAAATTCCCTCCAGTCCCTCCTACTGGCTCTGTGTGTTTATGCCCCAGATTTGCTGCTGGGTTTATGCCCCAGCTTTGCTGTTTTGCGGCTAATAGCTGGGACCTGTAATATTCTTCAGTGGATTGTGCTTGGACTATTGAGTCTAATTTGCCCGTTGAGATAGCTGAAAGTTTCTGGGAGCACAACCCCTCAGAGCTGTCTATAACCAATGACTGCTTGGTACTAGAATACCTAGTAGTTGATATCATCTCAGGAAAGCCTGTAGTCAATGACTGCTTGGTGCAGGAGTACAGAAGTCCAGCTCCCTTGTCTGGAAGTGGGAAAACCTTGACATGAAATTTATACATCAGAGCTTCCTGCAGGATCAGGCTAAAGCTAGGATTCACCGGAATTTTCTTCCTAGCTTGGCTTCTCCCCTTTTTCAATTATGCTTCCCCTAGTCACCAGTTTCTCCTGAGAGTGTTTCCCTAACAAATCACTTGAATTGAATCCTTGCTCAGGGTCTGCTTTTTGAAGAACCTGATTGAAGATAAGAACTGCCTACAGCTAAAACCTACCAGAGATAGCTTCTTTGATTTTTTTTCATTTTTGATCTGCTTAGCAAGGCAGCTGTTTCCACCATTCCCAGTGGGCAGATCTAGCTAGATCTGATTTTTCTCTTTTCTTGAAGGTGTATCTTTCTGGGATCTTAAGTTAATATAAGGAAAGTCTCGAACAACACTCCATACCTGGATGAATTCTGGACTTTGGCCTTTCTCTCTTACTCCCCCTGTCTCTGACCAAACGGTGACCCAGAGAACAAGCATTTATGTTATCTGCAATCCCTCTTTGATGCTCTGGCATGTTGCTAATGTTGTTGGCTACAACTAGAGTACATTTCCCGGTGCCTCTACCAGTTAGTTGGGACCTCTGACTGAGTCCTGGCCAATGGAATGTGGGTAGAAGTGATAGATGCCTCATCTAAACCTGGCCCCTAAAAAACCTCCATGTGATTGCTATAATTTGGATGCTTACACTCCCCACCCCCAAATCTCATGTTGAAATTCGATCTCCAGTTTTGGAGGTGAGGCCTAATGGAAAGTGTTTAGGTCATATGGGCAGATCCCTCATCAATGGCTTGGTGCAATCCTCATGGTAATGAGTGCATTCTTACTCTGTCAGTTCTCATGAAAGCTGGTTGTTAAAAAGAGCCTGGCACCTCCTCCACCCTCTCTCTTGCTCCGTCTCTCACTGTGTGATCTCTGGACATGCCAGCTCCCTTTCACCTTCTGCCATGAGTGAAAGTAGCCTGTGGCCATAGCTGGATACAAATGCCCAATCTTAAACTTTTCCAAACATCAGAATCATGAGCCAAATAAACAGTTTTCTTTATAAATTACTTCTTTATAGCAACACAAACTAAGGCAGTGATCCTCCATGTATTTACTTTTCTGTTGTACCAGCTGGATACAGATGACTTAATGAAGGACTCTGGGGCTCTAGGAGTGAGTGATAGAACTCACAGACAAAAGAAGCTTGGTTTCCCGAATGACTTTGTGGAAGCAGAGTTTTCTCCACCAATCCTGACCATCAGATTATAATGGGAATAAGAAATAAATCTTCATTGTTTAACCTGCTAAAAATTTGGGATATTTATTATTGTAGTTGGCAAACCCTGAGTAATCACCTACTATTTTTTCGTTACTGGTGATTTTCTTTGTACCACCTGTGTCTATTCCTCAACTCTAGCATTCTGAGTTATGAAATCATTTATGTATTTAACATTTATTGGGTGCCATCCACTATTCTAGGAACGGGGGACACAACAGTAAATAAAAAGCAATCCCTCCTCTCATGAAACTTACATTGTGTATGGCCATTTATTTGCCGTGATAGAACTTATTGTTTAATGAACAGTGAACAGATTTATCAGTCAATGAGGTAAGATCTTTCCTTTTCTTTTCCATTATAGTTATTTTCTTCTCTCTAGTATCCTTTACCCTTAGCTACTTTTAATTTACATGGAAAGGTTAATTTCAGAATAGTCAGACTGTTTCCCCCGTTTTATTACACTGAGGTTGAATCCGCTTCAAATGTACCTCCATTTACTTCTTTTCTATTCTCGTAATCATGCGATCTCTGAATTTTACCTTGTTTTTTATTTCTTTAAATTTTTGTTTTTGTTTTGGTCTTTGCTGTGGTCTTGACACAATTCCATTGGCTTTGACTGTCCTGTATGCTAATTTTATTTATTTATTTATTTCCCATTTAAGTAGACTATTTTTTTAGAGCAGTTTTGAGTTCACAGAAAAACTGAAAGAAAGGTACAGAGCTATCCCATATGCCTACTGATCACATGCATGCATAGCCTCCCCCATTATCAACACCCCGAGTCAGTGGTACATTTGTTAACACTTGATGAGCCTACATTGACACATCATTATCACGCAAGGTCCATGGTTTACATTTGGTTCACTCTTGGTGTTGTACATTCCATGAGTTTGACCAATGTATAATGGCATGTATCTATCATTATAGCATCATATAGAATAGTTTCACTGCCCTAAAAATCCTCTGTGCCTTGCCTGTTCATCCCTCCTTCCCCCTACTCCTTGGCAACTAAGATCTTTTTACTCTCTCCACAGTTTTGCCTTTTCCAGAATGTCATATAGTTGGAATCATACAGTATTAGCCTTTTCTGATTGGCTTCTTTTACTTTGTAATATGCATCTAAGATTCTTCCAGGTCTTTTCATGGCTTGAAAGCTGATTTCTTTTTAGTGCTGAATGATATTTAATTGTACAGATATACCACAATTGATCCATTCACATACTGAAAGACAGCTCGATTGCATATATGTTTTGAAAACTATGAACAAAGCTGCTATAAATATCCATGTGCAGATTTTTGCATGGACATCTATTTTTAATTCCTTTGAGTAAATACTAAGGAGTGGAATTATTGAATAATAATGGTAAGAGTATGTTTAGTTTTGTAAGAAACCACCAAACTGTCTCCTAAAGTGGCTGTACATACAGCATGAAAGCTCCTGTTTCTCCGCATCCTCACTAGCACTTGGTGTTTTCAGTGTTTTTGGATTTTGGCCATGCTTATAGATGTGTAGCTGTATCTCTTTGTTTTAATTTGCATTTATTTAATGACGTGATGTGGAGCGTCTTTTCATATGCTAATTTGCCATTTATATATTTTCTTTGGTGAAGTGTCTGTTCAGGTCTTTCGCTCATTTTAAAATCAGGGTGTGCTAAGGGATAGACACAGGTAGTGTGAGAATAATGTCTCTGGAAGGGTTGTTTGGGGAGACATATGAGTGATAAGCCCACTACTTTTCCTTTAATTGACATGGTGCACACACTTAAGCCAAGCTTACCTTTCTCCCTCCTTGAGCAAAGTGGAGTCAGTCAGTCTCTATGACATCCTCTTAGCCCTAAATCAAGCCAAACTGAAGACTTTTCAGTAAAGTGACCCATTAAGTTCTCTTGTCGAAGTCAGTCTGGAAAGATAATGAGAGTGCCCATCTCTTTTAACTATACCCTGCTATGTTGCTTCTCTTTGGTTAGGAAGACACAGGACGTGTTCAGGAGAAATAACCCTTGGGGGAAACTGCATGGTTGTAAAGCCTTCACTCAGTCACCCAGATGCATTATCTATATAATATCAGTAATATATATATATATATTACTAATATATATAATAGTAACATAACTGGCAATATAAGAACCAATAACCAATTCTAACCAGGTCGTCGTTCTGTCACTCACTAGCTATGCAGCTGGGGTCAGGCTCTTTCCCTCTAATGCTCTCAGTTTCTTCCTGCAAAATAAATATTCTTAACACTGTAGGGCCAAGATCATGGCCTGTCTTAGATTATGAAACTTTTCTGAATATCTGCGCTGGAAGTTTTTCTTGAGAGCTAATTCATAACTTTCCTGAGTCAAATTTGGGGCTTGTGATTTCGGACTTAAACTTTAGCATATGGACTCTTTATTGCCTGTCTCTATGCTGCCCACCAGCTTTCTGTATCTCAACACATGTTTTAGCGATTTATAGACAATATCAGAGTTCCACTGTCTCCCATCTAATGTTGAATATGTTCTTAAAAAAAATTATTGGCTGGGCTTGGTGGCTCACGCCTATAATCCCAGCACTTTGGGTGGCCAAGGTGGGATCACTCAAGGTCACGAGTTTGAGACCATCATGGCCAACATAGTGAAACCCCGTTTCTACTAAAAATGCAAAAATTATCCGAGCGTGGTAGTGCATGCTTGTAATCCCACCTACTCAGGAGGCTGAGGTGGGAGAATCGCTTGAACTCGGGAGGTGGAGGTTACAGTGAGCTGAGATCATGCCCCTGCACTGTATACTGGGTGACAGAGTAAGACACTGTCTGAAAAAAAAATTCCTTAATTATTTTCTTTTAAAGTTTTATTAGGGTAAGTTTTCTGGGGGAGCGGGTCCTAGGAAAAGCCAGAGTGCCTGGGCGGCAGGCAAAGACCAGTTCTGTCCTGAGTGGAAGAGGCCTCCGACTGACCTGTTTATAGCACACAGAAAAAAATGTGAAGTTGAAATCTCAGATAGGAGAGCTCCAAATTTCCAGAATATTTGGGAAAGAGTAGGTTTTCTTCAAGGTCCAAAAATCTTGACAAGAGCTCAGATGAATGCTGTGTCAATCTTCACCCCTCTCATAATGAGCAGCCCAGGGTGAACACTTCTGGGAAAATGAAACCCTATGTCTTAGGAGAATATGCTCAATATGATGCAAATGCAGTTCTAATCAGAATCACTGCTTGCTGAGCTGACAGTGTATCTCATGCATTGGGTTAGGGTTTTGCTGCTGAATTCTTCACCCAGATACAGTTGATCCAGTCAAATACAGAAAAGTGGGTATTTTATTTGGAATTCTATAACCTTCCAAAAGGGGATAGATCTATGAAGAATCACTCTAAATTTTTCTTTTTTTCTGGAAGCTCCTACTTATTACTGACTATAAACCTTATAGGGGGACATATAGGGGAGAAAGGAGAAGGAGAGGGAGGTAGGAAAGGAGAGAGAGAGAGAGGGAGAAAGAGAGAGAAAATGAACATAAAACAGCACACTCACTTATCGAGAGGTTTGGACCATGGCTGATTTGAAATATTACTAACCTTGCATTTTCAAATTTGATGCACAACAACCAAGATGCTAATACTTTCCTTAGTTTAGAAAAAAAATTCTTTTACCCATCTCTTCTAGCTGAAGATTAGGAGAGAGGCTTTAAGAAGATTTAAAAAAAAAAAATCCAACTTCTGAGCAGCGGAAAAAATGGTTTGTGATTCAGGGGCTTCGGGCAATTCATCATGGAAATTGGGTTTCTTAGCAGACATCGTGTGAATCCTTTCGTCCCTGTCAACTTTTTAATACATTACATTGAGAATGTAAATCGTGTTGGTGAGGGGGAGCAAAGAAAAAAAGGGAGCGAGAGAAAAGAGAAAGCTTCTTCATTTTGGATTTAGAAGGGAGGAAGCATGAGGCCTGTAGTTCATATTAACTAAATAATGAAAAAACTGTATAAATACATAGATATGCAGGTATATCTCGGAAGGAAGTGGGGAGAAGTGAGTGAGACAGTAAAATTGAAATCATTTTATCCTTTCGAAGGGTCTTTAGTGGTTACTCCTTTTAATTTATTTTTATTTCCTTCAGTTTTTATGCTTTCACTTTTATTTCGTTAGCTATATGAATCAACTTACCTCTCCCTCCGCCGAAAAAGCAGAGAACAAAGACTTGAGGTCAGAGTTTCCAAGACTGAGCAAATGAGAAAAGAGGAACAAATCTAATGCCTCCTTAATAGGGACTATTGGTAGGAGGGCTGGAGTTCTAGCCCGTTTCTGTCACCATCAGGGTTGGGCAGAGCCCCTGGCTGGCCTCCTCGCTACCCAAATGCTGCCCAACATCATTCATTGCTTATTCTGAAAGTGTTTCATTTGCTCTAACTTCATGGCTCACATCCACTCAGGACTGTTGGGGATATTGCTTACTGGTTCTGTAGAGTGTTCTTCTGCCTATCTTTCCCTTAGCATAAGTTTGGCCCCCATATGGGTTTCTTACCCAAATTCATTACAGAATTCCTTTTGCATTCCCCTTTTTAGACCGTGTCTCTCTGGTTTTCTGGAGACTGGAGAGTTTCAGCCCAATGAATTTCATCAATGAAATGCAAGGGTTCAGCTGCACTGGGCATCACCAGAGCCAGGAAGGATAGGTCTTCTAGGGCCATTTTCCTGTTGTTGTTTCTGACAAAGGGGAAAGATATGAGCAGGAGGTGAAATCTGATTCTGTAACTTCTTTCTTCCCATGCCCCCAGCACTCAATTCAGTCTCATGCACACAGGCAATCATGCATTGTCTATCCAGCAGTCTAGTCTGCTTTTGAAATGGAGTTGGAGTCTGCCTTCCTATTGATTTTGTTCCGTACAATTAGGTAGCCAAGTGGGGCAGGGGCCTGGAATCTTGCTTTGGCTTTAGGCCTCACTTATTTTCGACCAATATTCCTTTTCCTCTTGTTACTGAAGAAAAAGCCAAAAAATCAAAATAAAAAAAGCTTCTTCCTAGAAATTGATGAAGAATCCTATGGAAAAATATATCAGAAAGTTGTGGAAAAGAGGGAGAGGTGCCACCTCCTTTGTGATGTTCAGAGGTCATAATGGAATAAAATGGAGACTGAATCCATTCTTACCCAAGTGGAAAATTGACTGATTGAATTTACTTAAAAAATTAATAAAAATGTATTTTTATCAATGTAATATAGTTAAATATTACTAATTATTGAAAAAATATCCCCCAGCTCCTTTACCCTTGAAGATGTTTCTTCTGTTATTTTCCTCCGCACATGTAAACACCGTGGTTATTCTCTTCTTTTTTCATTGATCCATTTCACACCGTATCCACTCACTTCTGTTGTGGTAGTTAGACTTAGCTCTCTTCACTTGCTCCCTATGTCACTACTCCTCACCCTTCCAAAATAGTTATATCATAATAGTCGGTGTTGACATTTTGATGAATCTGCAGATATTGTTCACAGCTGAGTGCAGTAGGGTATGGGTACCATTGCTACATTTGCTTTCTCCTGCAACATTTTGTTTTTCTTAATAACTGTATCTAACCTTTTCAAACAGAGTAGGTATATAGCAATTCCTCAGTCCTGTATTGTGCTCTCTCAGGATTAATTGCTCCCAGCCTGCTGAAGGAGATTATTCCGGAATTTCCTTTTCCTTTACTTCTGAGCTGAGTCCCCTCTTCCCTAGATCCCCATGCCTTTCTTTTTTGGTTTTATGTTTTGGTTGATTCCTGCATGTAGCCGAAACATGTCCTCTATTAGCTTCTTAAGTTGCGGGAGGGAGGTGTAAATAGAAACAATTTTGGACTCTGATATCTTTATTTTACCCTTATGATTAGTTCATGCACTCCCACGCACGATTGATGGTTTGGTTATTTACAGAATTCTAGGTTGAAAACCTTTTCCCTCAGATGTTTGAAAACATTGCCCACTTTTCTCTAGCATTCAGGTTTGTTGTTGGAAACTAGAATGTTGTTTGGATTTTTATTTCTTTCAGTGTGATATTGTTTTTTAATTTCCCTGGAATATTATAGTATGTTCTATTTAACCCCAAATTCTAAAATACGATGACATGTGCTTTTCATTCTTGAATTGTGCTGGTCAGTGGACCTTTGTAATCTGGAAACTCAAATTTTCATATAGTTTTTCTGAGAATATCTTCTATTTTCATTTTGCTCTATCTGGATATCCTAGATTAATTCTCTAACTTTCTTATTCATTTTCTCTTACTGTTCTTTATTTTTTGCTCTATTTTTGGAGAGTTTCTTGACTTTACATATATTAATTTTGCTATCATATATTTTTGTTATCATATATTTTCTGTGTTTTTTTCCCCCCAAAATCTTTCTAGTTCTTTGTTCCTTTTTCATTGGATAACTTTATTGTAGATAATAACTTCCATCCCTCTCTTTTTTCGGTATAAATTTAGGGGGTACAAGTGCAGTTTTGTTACATGTATATATTTTGTAGTGGTGAAATCTGGGCTTTTAGTGTAACCACCACACAAATAGGGTACACTGAACCCATTTGGTAATTTCTCTTTCCTCACCCTCACTTCCACCCTCCTGCCCTCTCACCCAACTTCTATATCCCTGAGATTATTTTCTTCAAGTTTTCTTCTGCGCGAGTGCTTTTGTTTTGGTTTTCCTTGAGTTTTCCCCCACTTTTCTTTTTTGTTTTCTTGGTGTTTCTGTTTTGGGTTGGAACAAAGAACTAAGGCCAATTAGAAACCCTGTGGGGGTAGGGGTAAGGCTTCCCTACTGGTTGTCCTCACTGTGGTTGAATCAGAAGAGCAGGCAACCACCTTATGGGAGAGCTTCCAAACAGTAATTAGTGGAACTCTTTCTGGGGTTAATTTCCCCTAGAGAATGATCTTCCTATTCTTCACCAGGACATGTGTATTTTTGGCTGCCTTTTCCTCAGAATGAAGTAAGGGAAGGGTGGGGGTGCTCCATAGTTCAGTATCTAGGCCTCCATTAATCCCCTGTTTTCAGCTTCACACCCAATCCCCACCCTCTGAGCTGAAGACTCTCAGCTTATCTTCTCCAGAGAATAAATCTTCTATCTTCTGCAGAGGTAAGGGGATGGGGACAGTTTGGCTGCTTGGGGTGGGCACGGGGGACTGGAGGATTCAACTGCTCCTTATATAGATCTTTGACAACTCCCACAGTTTTCAGCCCCACGTCTCAGCCCTGCTTCCAAAGTATTGGGTGCTTCCAAGGTCTACGTCCCTTCATCTGACTGCAGGACAAATGGTTTGCTTCTCATTGGTGTAGCTCCCCTGCAGGCAGAAAGCTTTTACTTTTTCTGCTCTCCTAGGGCAATTACCACTCATTCATCTGCTTTCCATCCTCTGAAACCTGTTGACACTGTTTTCTGCCTTCTTCTACCTTCCTATTCTTCTGGTCTTTGTTGGTGGATTTTTTTTTTTTTTAAATTCCTTTACTGTCATTTAGATGAGGCTGGGGGAGGGAGGAGATCAGTGTGGGTGGTTAATCCACCATGTTTGACCAAAGTCAAATATGTGTAAGATTCTGGCTCATTTTCTCTTAGGTTGCTGCAGTTTGTTTCTGACCAGGCTGGTGGTGAGGGTCCTAGTGGCTGGCATCAAGGTAGGCCTCAGTTTCACACACTGTCCCAGTGCTCTGAGCCCAGAGAGCCTCCAGGAGAGAAGATTTGGAGCAAGCCAGGGTCCCCTGGTGATCCAGCCTCCTCTGCTGTTTATGAAGCCTCGGTGTCAAGATCTAAGGCCAAGACCACCTGGAAGACTATTTGGGGGCTCAGCTGAAGAGCTTTGCAGAAATGGGCTATTTCAGGACTTGTTTTCTTTCTCATTGGTAGGATTGCTGCACAACCCAGGCCCAGCCCAGCTGAAATTAAAAACCACCACCACCACCACCAACTCTTTGTCCTCCACACCCCAACATTAGAGACCTTTGTATTCTGTACATATTGTTCAAGGCTTCACATGAAAAACTTTAAAACTCTCAGGAAGTTTTCAGGCAAAGAACATTTTAAACCTTACTCTGCTTTCCTGCCATCTTAACTGGGAAAGTGAATAGAGGAGAGAAAGAGTTCATGAAGGAGAAAAATAAGGGAAGAAGGGATTGTGGCAGCTCCCAGCAGCAGCCATCCAGAGTAGCATCTTGATTTCATAAGCCCCATTTCAGCATAAATTATCTCATTTTTAGCTTGTCAATTTGGATAATCTTGGCCCCGGAATGGATTCAGGGGGTCTTAAATGATCTAGTTTGGCTCTTCATGGAGTCCGAATTTGCAGATAATTGCCAGAGCTCTTTTGGCTGTGTAAACTTGTTATCAATTGCCTTTTTAAAAGTCAGCACTAAAATAATCATTCCCGTGAGCAAAGCCCATTACAAACCTTAAATTCAGAAGCATAAACACATTTCAGTGCTAGGGAACAAATGTGTTAAGATTTCATCATTGCTACATCTGTGAGGGCTTATGAGAAGTCGGAGATGCATTAGGAGAGTCTCTGTGTGGCTAAGCCTCAGGCCTGAGCTGGAAGTTGACATAGTGGCTTCAGGTGGGGATCATATGCCTTCAGTAAGCCCTGAACAAGGGGTCACTGGGTATCTCTCATGTGCCTCACCCTGTGCAGCCAGTGGGCAGCAATCCCGGCCTCACGCATCACCACTCCTATCTCACCTCCTGCCTCAGTATTGACCCATGTCAGGTCCTTCCTTATGCCAGTCTGTCTCATCCTCTTTGGTAGGAACCCTTCATTTACAAAAGAAGAAGAAAAAAGAACCTCAAGATCAGGCTGAGAAAGCAATCAGTGGGCGAGTAGAAAGTGGTGGCCAAATAGGCTGGAGCCTGTGTTCTGGCCTCCTGCCATTGATCTTGAGCAACTCCATTGCTTTAGGCCTGAGTTTCCCAATCCCCCAAAAGAAGGGTATTAATACCTGTTTGCTGTCTTTCAGGGTTGTTTTAAAAATTCAACTTTAAAATTGTAAAATTATTGTATAAATATAAAACTTATGCATAATACTTGTTATGTTAATATAAATGCAAGTTATTATTTCAAGACAGGCATGGGCTTAATCCCAGATCAAAATTTAGTTTCTTGGGTCTTAAGGCTGCCTAGAATATGTATATCGCAAGCTTTTGAAGTCAACTTGTCTCATGCTAAAGTTTATGTCCATTTTTTTTTTTTTTTTAGCTTTCACTACTTGTGGGCAGTGGGTCTAATGTGATTTATAGAGCGTAAAGGCAGCCCGTATTATTTTCTGTAGGGTTGAGTGGGAGGAGTGAGGAGGTGGGAGCTCTGGTTTCTGTTAAGTTAGCTTTTATTTGCGCTAAACATGTTAAAGGGAATTTGCGCCACCTGCCACAGGTGAAAAGAGGAATGTGGGGACAAGTTTGGTGTTTACAGGAGATTTTTCGGAAGATTTGCCCAGCTTGGTGGGATGTAACCGTCTCCTCCTCTCCCCACAAAATCTTCCGTAAATGCTATATTGTTCATCAAGGCTTTCAGAGTAGGATCATGTTTGAGGAGGAGATATGACCGTGTACGGAGATGAGTCTATTGTAGGTAGGGCTTGATCAAGGATGATTCAAAGAAGTTCAACTACTTTCGGATTATATAAAGATCACTCAAGTGAGGAGGATCCTGGAGAATGGATTTAGAGTAGAAGAGGATCCGAGACTGGACATAAGAAAACCAGAATGGAGACTCCTGCAATTGTCCTGTGAACAGGCCTAAGGCAGTGACCCAGACAATAGAGAGAAGGAACAGAACTGAATGATATCCAGGAAGCAGAATCAATAGAAGCTTGTTGCTAGCCAGATGGAAGAGTTAACGGAGAGGGAGGAATCAAGGACGTATACAGGTCTCTGGTTTAGGGAACCCAGAAGACTGTGTCCTCCTATCCCAGAAAAATGGGGCAGTTCTAGGGATAGTCCTGTTTGGGATATGATGATTTTGAGATATCATATGAGACATTCAAGTGAGTACGTGCAGTAAGCAGTTGGACATATGGGACTGTGCTAGAGATACCCACTACCATTTCTTACCTGGATTATTGTACTAGCCTCCTAATGGGTCTACTGCTTCTACCTCTGACTGCCCCCTGCTATCTGAATTATAAAAGAGTTTCTGCAACACTTTATGTTAGAAACAGCTTAAAATGTGCAGGTTGCTTGATTGGCAAAGGATGTAAATTTCAAGTAATACTTAGTCAGCAGCCACTGCTGGAAATACCTGACTATAGGAAAGATGTCTTTAGGAGTTGAGAAGATAGCTACTTTCATTGAAGAATAGTATGAGTTGTAGAGTTTTCCCATGTTAGTAGTGGATGTTTCCTCTTTGTCTTCTTCTGCCAAATGAAAGAAAAGGAAGAGCAAGAGGAAACTAAAGAGAAGATACTTTTCCATCCTTGTGATGGTTCCTTCTTACAGTTAATATGTATAATTAAGACCAGGATGCAGAGAAGTCCTCAGCAACAGTGGGGCCTGGCTCAGAGGGGCCTTTGATGCACACGATCCTGAATCCTCGGGAATGTTATCCAGGCCTTGATGAAAGTTGATTCCATGGTAAAATATAGGGTGAATTAGAAAGGGTTTGTGACAATACATCCTCTGCAGACATGACCACACTACTTATTCCTTAGGTGCAGCCACTTACCTGGTTTTACCTGAGGACCCCATGCTACGTATACCATGGGTTTGGTCCACCCCCAGTAGGAAGTATGTGAGCACCGTCAGGTTAGGCTAGAAATTATCTTTATGATCCTGTTGACCTGTGCTTGATATTATTTCTGTCTGGCTACCTTGGTTCTGACTTGGTACCTGTTCTGATATCTGGGTTCTGCTTGCCACTCAACCTCTGTTGGACATATCTGGATCTCTGACTCAATCTTATTCCGCCCTCCAATTCTTCTCTAACCCTTCTCATCAAAGTGCCAAGGGTCAGACTCAGCTGTAGTTAATGGCAAAGATGACCCAGAAATGCCCTGAAAGGCATTGGAATTGATTTCTTAAACATCTTCATCAGTGATCATTTACACCATTAGTATGTGCTGTATTTAGCTGTTTAATTTAATATGTGTAATTAAATAAAAAGGAAGAATGGAAAATTTGTAGCCAACTTCTCAAAGAGTTAGGAATACCTAAGGTGCCATCTTTCTTCATCAGATCTATTGAACCCTTTTGAGCCACTACAGCCACTGCTGTGGTCTGGCCAGTTGCCTTAACATAGCATAACCTATAAATTCATCATTCCTGCCTTCCTGCCTTGCACATGCAATTCTCCTTTGTGATCCAAGTGTCTGTTCCCACCTCTGCAAATTCAGATCTGACAGGTCTGGCTCAGGCTTTGTCTATGGGTATCTCCCTGACCATATTATAATACACTGCTTCCTCCTGGTTCCAAATTCCCATAGGAGATCAGTCTGTTTTATAAGCTCAATGTGCTAGGGTAGGGCTCTGTGGGAAAAGGAAAGGGCCTGGGTTGAATTTAGAATGACCTGGATTCAGATTCTGCCTCTAACGCTTACTAGTAGTGTGACTACAGACATGTTGCTTAAACCCTGTCTTCTCAACTGTGACCAGTGGATTATCACAGCACGTTTAACAAAAAGGTAATTGTTGCAAGGATCAAATGGGATAATCTATGCAAAGCAACCAGCAAGTGAATGGGCTCAGTAACTGTTTAAAAGCTCACAACAGTCTGAGTCACACGTTACACTCTGTTGATCCCAAGTTGCTTTGCGCATGCAAAGCTTGTATCTTCTCTGCCTTGAAAGTGCTAAGAAAATGCTTTTTAAATAAAATGAGGCTAAATGCTCCCCTCACTGCCACTTTCTCTGCCTTGCCACATAGGCACTTAACAGAACGTAAGTATTAACACGCATTTACTGTTGAAAAACATTTTCTTAATTACACATTCTTAATTAACATTTCTTAATTACACTAATGATTCTTCATGCAAGACCCTGTGGGAGATGGGAAAAAGAATGTATTTTTCTAATTTTTCTGATGAAGAAACTGAGGTATCAATTAAGACTGTGCTCTTCAAATTATCACACAAAGGTGTAGTAAGTGTGGAAGAAGCACCAGTGTTCTGGTCCCCAGGCCATGTCTGATCCTCTTAGTTGCGCTGCCTCTCCAATTAACTTCTCTGTGTGCTCATCAGCTCTGGTCACCATGATTCAGGAGACTTGAGCACTCACACTGTGGGGTTTTCAGATCTTGTAGACCTGCTCTGCACTGCCCTGGGGCAGGAACCCCACCATCTTGGTGGCCAACTGTATTACATTGGACAAGCTGTGGCCATCCTTGGGCAGGTTACAGAGAGCAGAGAAGGACAAGAAATGGAGGCACCACAGGACTGAGCCATAACCATGCCCTGACGAAGCTGCTGAAGACACACAGTCCCTTTTCTTGGAGGCTTTCCTTCCCTAATGCCACGGGCCCAACCTCCTCTACTGTCTTCTATTCTTCTTCCTCTTTCACCCATTTAAGGTGACATTTAATTATTTCCCACCTATTTCTTTCTTGATAATTACAAACAACATTGTGATGATTATTCTTATAATTAGATATCTGTGCATATTTAAACTATTTTTTAGATAGCAAAATTTTCCACCTACATTGTGTTCCATTCCCATAGGGAACGGGGCATAGTTCTGGGACAAGAATGTTCAGCATGTTTGGTCTTGTGGATAAAAGCATGCTGAGGACGACAAGAAGTGTGCATGGCAGGACTGAGACCAATACTCAGGTCTGGTCAAAGGATCTACATCCCGCACAGGGTGCAGTGAAGACCAAGATCCACGTTCAGAAAAAAATACCACTCCTTCACCCTCCGCTCCCACATGAAGGCTGTAGGAACTCAGGGAATTGTGGAAGAAGAGAAGAGAAAGAGGAGGGAGGATGTATTAGCTTTTTATTGTTGTTGTAAAAAATTTTGTGGCTTAAAACCACAAACTTAGTGGCAAGACAAATTTATTCTGTTATAGTTATAGTGGTCAGAAGTCTAAAATAAAGTATTGATATGGTTGTATTCTTTTTGAAAGCTTCAGGAGAAAATCAGTTTGTCTCTTCCAGTTTCTAGGGGTCACATGCATTCTTTGGCTCATGGGACATCACTCTAGCTTCTGGTTCTACCCTTACGTTTTCTTTAACTTTGAGCTTCCTACTTCTCTTTAATAAAGACTTATATAATTACAGTAGGCCCACCTATATGCTGCAGAATAACCCTCCCCCACCACAAGATCTTTAATTTAATCATATATGCAAAATTCCTTTTGTCATATAAGGTAATATATTCACGTGGTCTGGGGATTAGGACATGGATACCTTTGAGGGGGGCTATTATTTAACCTACCACAGCGCACCCTCTGGTCACCCAAAATTAATATCCATTCCACACTCAAAAGACATTCACCTCATCCCAGCATCCCCTAAAGTTTCAACCCATTACAGCATCCACTCAAAGTTCAAAATCTTACCTAAATATTGTTAGCTAAAAAGCTTCAAATCTCATCATCTAAATCATTTAAATCAGGTATGGGTGAGGCACCAAGTGTGATCCACCCTGGATCAAAATTTCTCTCTACCTGTGGGCTTATGTAACTAGAGAACAAGTTATCTGCTCCCTAAATACAACAGTGGAACAGTCCTAGGATACCAGTTGCAGACATTCTCTTTCAAAAAGGAAAAAAAATGAAAAGATGGAATGAGTCACTGGTCCCAAGAAATTTTGAAATCCAACCAGAAAAACTCTAGTCTGTTTTAAAACCTGGGAATAATCCTCTTTGATTTGATGTTCTGCCCTGCAGGCCCTCAGCTCTGCCCTCTGAGTTATTCTTCCTTTTTCTGAGGGTAGCATATGTTTGTAATTGACCAGTTTTTTTTTTTTTGTGACTTTTTAAATCGTTTATTCAAAAATACTACTGCATATCAGTACAAGTTGGAAAGAGGCTTAAAAAATTCATACATTTCTGCCTTTGAAGCATTCACAATTTAGAACAGTATTGTCCAGTAGAATTTTCTGCAATTAACAGAAATGTTCTTTGTACTGTCTAATATAAGTAGCTGTTGGGCACTAAGAATATAGTTAGTGTGAGTGAATAATACAATTTTACATTTAATTTTATTTTAATTAATTAAAATAACAGTAGCCACACATGGCTATTAGCTATTGTAGTTGAAAAGATGCACATGGAAATAAATAATTACAATGCACTAGTGCTGGGGAAGCAGAGAGAATGGAGATATTAACTTTTTTCATAAAAAACCTCCAAGAGGAGATACATGTTGGGCAAAGTCTTACGTATAGGTAGAAATTCATTCTAGAAGGAAGAGCATTGCAGGCAGAGGACACTGCAGTGGCAAAGGCATAGCGTTATGATGGGCTTGGCATTTTAAGGGAGGTGCAGTGTAAAGAGATAGAAAAAAAAACCCACTTGAAGAAAAGAAAAAAAAAACAGGCAAAGCTCATTTCCCATCAAGAAAGATGGGCAGAGGCCGGGCGCGGTGGCTCATGCCTGTAATCCCAGCACTTTGGGAGGCTGAGACGGGCGGATCACGAGGTCAGCAGATCGAGACCATCCTGGTTAACACGGTGAAACCCCGTCTCTACTAAAAATACAAAAAATTAGTTGGGTGTGATGGCGGGCGCCTGTAGTCCCAGCTACTCGGGAGGCTGAGGCAGGAGAATGGTGTGAACCAGGGAGGCGGAGCTTGCAGTGAGCTGAGATAGCGCCACTGCACTCCAGCCTGGGGGACAGAGCGAGACCCCGTCTCAAAAAAAAAAAAAAAAAATGATGGGCAGAATAAAGTCCTTAGAATGGCCTATTATTTTAAAAACCAAAGAAGAAAGATGGGCAAAATACATAAAGATTTGGTGAACAAATCCAGGAATATTAAGATGTGTAGAAAGGAGTCATCTGGGTACATCTCTAAGGGCATAGTGTCAGACTTCAGATAGTAACTTTCTTTTTTTTTTGTACTTTTTTTTTTTTTTTTTTTTTATTGATCATTCTTGGGTGTTTCTTGCAGAGGGGGATTTGGCAGGGTCATAGGACAATAGTGGAGGGAAGGTCAGCAGATAAACAAGTGAACAAAGGTCTCTGGTTTTCCTAGGTAGAGGACCCTGCGGCCTTCCGCAGTGTTTGTGTCCCTGGGTACTTGAGATTAGGGAGTGGTGATGACTCTTAACGAGCATGCTGCCTTCAAGCATCTGTTTAACAAAGCACATCTTGCACCGCCCTTAATCCATTTAACCCTGAGTGGACACAGCACATGTTTCAGAGAGCACAGGGTTGGGGATAAGGTCATAGATTAACAGGATCCCAAGGCAGAAGAAATTTTCTTAGTACAGAACAAAATGAAAAGTCTCCCATGTCTACTTCTTTCTACGCAGACACAGCAACCATCCGATTTCTCAATCTTTTCCCCACCTTTCCCCCTTTTCTATTCCACAAAACCGCCATTGTCATCATGGCCTGTTCTCAATGAGCTGTTGGGTACACCTCCCAGATGGGGTGGTGGCCGGGCAGAGGGGCGCCTCACTTCCCAGTAGGGGCGGCCGGGCAGAGGCGCCCCCCACCTCCCAGACGGGCTGGCTGGCCGGGCGGGGGGCTGACCCCCCACCTCCCTCCCGGACGGGGCGGCTGGCTGGGCGCGGGGCTGACCCCCACCTCCCTCCCGGACGGGGTGGCTGCTGGGCAGAGACGCTCCTCACTTCCCAGACGGGGCGGCTGCCGGGCGGAGGGTCTCCTCACTTCTCAGACGGGGTGGCCAGGCAGAGACGCTCTTCACCTCCCAGACGGGGCGGCGGGGCAGAGGCGCTCCCCACATCTCAGACGATGGGCGGCCGGGCAGAGACGCTCCTCACTTCCTAGATGGGATGGCGGCCGGGCAGAGATGCTCCTCACTTTCCAGACTGGGCAGCCAGGCAGAGGGGCTCCTCATATCCCAGATGATGGGCGGCCAGGCAGAGACGCTCCTCACTTCCCAGACGGGGTGGCGGCCGGGCAGAGGCTGTAATCTCGGCACTTTGGGAGGCCAAGGCAGGCGGCTGGGAGGTGGAGGTTGTAGCGAGCCGAGATCATGCCACTGCACTCCAGCCTGGGCACCATTGAGCACTGAGTGAACGAGACTCCGTCTGCAATCCCGGCACCTCGGGAGGCCGAGGCTGGCTGATCACTCGCGGTTAGGAGCTGGAGACCAGCCCGGCCAACACAGCGAAACCCCGTCTCCACTAAAAAAATACGAAAACCAGTCAGGCGTGGCGGCGTGCGCCTGCAATCGCAGGCACTCGGCAGGCTGAGGCAGGAGAATCAGGCAGGGAGGTTGCAGTGAGCCGAGATGGCAGCAGTACAGTCCAGCTTCGGCTCGGCATCAGAGGGAGACCGTGGAAAGAGAGGGAGTGGAAAGAGAGGGAGAGGGAGACCGTGGGGAGATGGGCGACGGGAGATGGGAGACGGGAGAGGGAGAGGGAGACCATGGGTAGACGGGAGACGGGAGACGGGAGACGGGAGAGGGAGAGGGTAATTGACCAGTTTTATTGGCCTGTTTCCCACCTGTAGAATTTTGGGCATGTAAAAACTTTCATTTATTTCATCCTCTCTCAGTCCTTTCAGTCCAAACTGGCAGTATTTTTGCTGATGTAACATTCTCAAAAGCCTTGTGGCTCTCTTGTGTGAATTGTCATGTTACAGCAGTTCTCCCTAGTAGACCAAGTGTTCCTCCACAGATCATTTCTGGTTAATCTCAACTCTATTTCTGGCTCCTAATGAAATGGCTGAGGGGGTCCATGATTCACATTCTGAATTTCATCAAAGATTCCTCTTATAGTTACTTTTTGTTTGTTTGGGGGTGTGAGAAAAGGATTGTCTAGCCTCACCATTGGCTTTTCCTCCAGAGCATACTTTCCTGATAGTGAATCTCATAATTGTCTTGCAAACTGTACAGGCTAAGAATTTCCCCAATAGTCAAGTCCTAGTTTCTTTTTCTAAACAGTTCTTCCCTCAATTTTTCTCTTTTCTCTCACACTTCACTATAGGAAACAAGAAGAAACTAGGTCATACTTTCAATACATTTTTGGAAATCCCCTCAACTAAATATCAAAATTCATTACTTAACAAGTTCTGCTTCTCACATAATGATAGGGTACAATTCAGCTAAGCTTTGTCACTGTGAAATGAGAATCTCCTTCTTTCCAATTTCCAACAAGATGTTCTTCATTTCCTTCTGAGCCCTCCAGCAGCACCTTTAACATTCATATTTCTACCAACATTCCATTTGTGATGATTTAGGTATTCTCTAAGATGATACAGGTTTTCTCTACCATGTTCCTCATTTCCTTCTGAACCCTTGGTGGCAGAGTCCTTAGTACCCAAATTTCTACCTACAGTTTCTTCAAGGAAACCTAGCTGTTTTCTATCACGGGCCTCAAAATTCTTTCATCTTATGCCCATTGCTCAATTCCAAAGCCTCTTCTACATTTTAATGCGTTTGTTACAACAGCACCCCACTTCCAGGTATGTATGAGTTTCCTAATGCTGTTGTAACAAATTACCACAAACTTAGTGGCTTAAAACAACACAGATTTATTCTCTTAAAGTTCTGGAGGCCAGAAGTCTAAAATCAAGGTATTGGAAGGACTGTGCAACTTCTGGAGGCTTCAGGGAAGAATCTGTTTCCAGTTTATAGAGTCTACCAGCAGAAGGGAATCCTAAATTTGATGAATTTTCCCCTAAAAGAGTTGAGTTTTAAATTGGAAGTCACTGGTACCTTGAATTGGCAGGTGTAATTTTCCCTTTACTGAATGTGAGGGCTAGAAGCTACGTTAAAATATAGATAAATGAAGAAGGCTACATTATTATACAACTTATTTCCCTTATTCTTGTGACTTTAAAAAAATCTGCTGCATACATACTGTCAAACTGTCCTCCAGAAAGATTGTACTAATTGGTGCTTTTTGCAATTGTGAGTACCCCTTTCTTTTGAATCTTGCAAAAATTAACTGCTATTTTTATTCTTTCTTTACTTTTGGCAGTTTGAAAAGGAAAAATGATACGTCATTGTTGCTATAATTAGCATTTATTGAATTACAAGTGAAATTATTTCTTTCATAGGCATTTGAAATATTTTTGAGTATGATAGATATTTCCTAGTTACTCTGTCTTCTCTGCTCCTATAAAGCTTTGTACGTATCTTTGTTATTGGTAGAGACGGCAATTTTTCTCCAAATTCTGTTCTCTCCCTCTTCTTTGGCAACAGGTCTGTGGCAGAGCATGTGGGTGGCCAGGGACACTATATTTCCCAGATTCCTTGTGGGAAGGTATGGCTGTGTGGCTAAATTCTTTCCAGTGGATGTGAGTGGAAGTGATACATGCCACTTCTAGGCCTGGCCTATGAAATCTCCTATGAAATAGCAACCACAGTGACGTGGTGGCTATATGTTGAAGATGGCAGACTCTTGTTAGTAGCATAGTGGAGGACCACCTGCTCTGGACTATTAGATAAACAAAATTTTGCTTCTGTTTTGCTTGAGTCAACTGTGGTTTACTTTAACATAACATACAGTTGTAATACATTTAACTCTTTATTTACTTAATCAAGTTTTCCACCTTCATTGAGCTATGAGTGGAATTCTTGCTTTAGTCATCTCTGTAGCCCCATGGCACAGAGTAAGTTTCCAATAAACGGAATGAATGAATGAATGAATGAGTTGCACATTTACTTGAAAAGATGCTTGCTGCTTCTAGTTCAATTCTCAGAGATATTGTTTGTTCCATTACCTGGGGGAAAAAGGGAAACTATACATGTGAAATACATGTTAACACTCAAGTCAATTCCAAGACATGTTTCCACTTATAAAATGTGATCTATTTTCTAACCTGATTAAGTCAGAGATCAGAAGGTGCTGATTTTACAGTCTTCTGACCTCTCAGGTGATGAGGAAGAAAACGACTCAGAATGATTGTTTATCATGGTGTAACCATTACCACTTCAAACTGAATTCATGTGAAACTTCAGGCCTCCTACCTGGAGGAGAGTAACTTTTTATCCCATACTGGAAGTTAAATGGGCCCAGTGAGATCCAAAGAGCTTAACAAATCCTCCGCTTTGTCACAGTGAAGACCTTTGCCTAATGCAAGGTCTTATCCTGCAGATTGCTTGGGGCCAGAAGATAGCCTGGTTAATCTAAGCTGCTCCTACTTCCCTACGGTGTTCACTGAACTGGGTTTTTTTGGTCTGTGAATAAAATGGACCAGATCTGGGTTGGTTGCCATGGTGACTGTATCAGGAGCCTTTGGGCCCTCTATCTTCCACTGCTGACAGCTCCTGTGCAATGAACCCCCTGTGGGGTGTGGGTGCCTCAATCCACAATCTTACACAATCACCTTTCCAAGAAGGTAAAGTTCATTATGAAAAGACAGGTCAGTTTGTAATGGAAATGGGTTCCTGGTTACCTCTTCTGGTACATGGCTCTATGGTCACATGCGGCATTCCTAGATTATGATTTTAGGAACCCTCATAAATTAGCTCTTCAATCAAAACCCCTCTTCACTAGGGATAGCAGCCTTTGACTTCCCCATCTTCTTCAGCCAGGAGCAGTCAAGGCTTTCTGGGACTAGAATTTATTATTCCTTAAGTAGGCTTAAAGTATAAGTCTAGCCACATGGAGGCAAATCCCTTCCTATTGGGCTCAAGGGCAGTATCTTTTCAGCTGTCCTTTGGTTAGAAATGTGGCTTGGTTCCTTGGCTCCTTTTCAGCATTCAACCTTTTGCTCACCAAGGGCACTCTGGATGTGTGTCCAGGGCTATTGGCTCAGCCTTCTTGCACTGAGGGATGGCCTCACTCAAAATGGTGGTCTGAGGAAGGTGAAATTCGCACTGTTGATCTAGGTTAAAGTATCATGAGAGTTCTATTCAATCTTCCCTTCCCAAATAGTAGCCATGTTTCTGTATGTCTGAATGTCTATATAATATTAATTAAGTAGTAACCATTTATGTGCCATATGCTGTCTCAAATTCAATTCTTTTTTCTACGTGGCATACCAAATTTCATATTTTCAAAATTAAACTTGGTCACATCTGTCTGGACTACTTTAGAACAACCTAACTGGTCCATCCATATCCACTCTTGCCCCTCCAATTCATTCTCCACACAGAAGCTGGAAGAGCTTCTGAAATGCACATGCGATTATGTCACAGTCTGAATGCCTCCCAGGGGCCTCCCCTTACTCTTGGGTCAAGGACGTGGCTGGCAGAGTCCCAACGCCCTTTTCACTTTGTGTTGCACACGCTACCTTTTGTCTCTGCTCCAGCCACACTGGCCTGCTTTTGGTTAACTCTCTGCACTGGGCTCATTTCTGCAACAGGGCCTTTGCCCAGGCTTCCTCCACCCCACTGCCGTTGCAACTGGTTTCTCTTGCTTCTCTCTTTATCTACTTTTCTCTTAGACAGTAGACAGCTCTCAGATCTCTAAGTGTTACTTTTTTAGGGATGCCTTTCCTGACCCCTAGACTAGGTGAGGTTTCCCTACTACATGCTTTCATGGCATTTAGGGGTACATGTTTCACAGGATTCATATCTGTAGGTAATTACATACTAATTGTGTGATTATTTCCTCAATGTCTGTCTCCCATACTAGATTGTGAGGTCCACAGAACACAGTCTGGGTCTGTGATCATTCATCATTCTATCTCTGTATCTAACACTGTGCCTGGAACACAGTAGGTGCACAATAAATGTCTATTGAATAAGTACATGAATCTTCATAATCACTGGCAAGGTAGAGATTATTATACTAATTTTACAGATTGAACAGATTTAGGGCAAAATCTCTCAATCTCCATTGACTACTGATTAAAAGTCTCAAAAATTTGTTACACTGATCTTAAAGCCTGAGGACCAATATTTGAGAATTTATATTTCAATTCTGTTTATGAGTTTGCGTGATTTAGGGGCCATCAGGAGCTAGGGGCATTTGGGAATGTGCAGAGGGAGGTCATCAGAGGTTACAGAGGACTAACCTTCTGTTCTAGGAAGGCAAAAGGTTTCAATTTTCCTCCACAGCCTGACATAGTACCTCATTATTTAAAAAACAATTCTCTCATTCATACGCATCCTCCACACCTGCCTCCCAATGATTTTCAGTGAGGGTAGGCACCTCTTTTCTGAGCTCCCATAGTGCCTATGTTTACCACTGTCTGAGCACTTCATAGTGGGCTTCTTATAATTAATTTTTCATGTTGTATTTATTACAATTGTGTTGTGACTTTCCTACTATTCTGCAAACTTCCCTTTTTACACTCACACCTCTGTGGCAAAGGCACTGGTACACAGTGCTTGGCATCCATTTTTGTAGTTCTTAACTCCATCTGCACATAAGATTCAGATTGGTGGCTGTTAATGGATCTCAAAGTCTGAGTTTTGGGTCAATTGGCTTGGTGTGGGGCCCAGAGCTTAGCAATTTTTCAAATCTCACAGATGATTTGAAATGTGCAGCCAAGTCTGTGAATCTTTAGAGTAGATACTCAATAAGCATTTATTGAAGTGAACTAAGTGGAATCATCTTTTTGTGTGTGGGTGCATACGAGCAGTATTGGGGTAGAATTAGCCTTGGAACTGGGAAACTCCTGTGCTGTTCCCCTCTCGCCTAGTGAACCTTGTAGATTCTGAAGATCAGGATAGACTTAGGGTTGGAGGGCTGCCAGAGACAAAGCTGAGCAACGTCATGGTTGTTAACAGAGACCTATTTCCCAGCTTTAATGTGGGCTGAACATGAGAGCAGCAAGTCAGTAATTTATCTGCTTTCCATTGCCAAATGTAGCAACAGGAACATTTTATCCTGATTCTGCATGCTATTTGGAAGTCCAAATCAATTAATTTATCTTGGGTTTTGCAGATGGTGCATTGACTTTTATTCACTTATTCATTTACTCCCTCAATAAGTACTGGCATTATGGGCACAGCACAATGCCACCTCTGGGGTCACATGAAGGAGATGTTATACAGGTGCCCTGAATAACTTAGAATCCAGCTGGGTAGACAATATATGCATATCAGACATGAGTGGCTGTACATTTCGCTATTAAGAGGGCAGGATTTGGGCCAGACAACCTGGTGGATTGCCTGGCCCATTATTTATTAGATGTGGACCCTGGGAAGGTTATTTTAGCTCTCTAAACCTCAGTTTCCTCATATGAACATTTCTCTTCTGTGAATGATAATAAAAACTACATCATAGGGTTGCTGTGAGGACTAAATGAGGTCATTCCTGTAAAGCTTTTAGTATAGTGCCTGGCACATGGTAAAAATTAAAGTGTTAGCTATTATTACAGGGAAGATAGCAACATGGGTTAGCAAGAGAGCAGGATTGAGAATAAAGGATATAGAGGAATTTAGAGAAGGTAGATATTGATGTGGTTATGGGCGTTGGGGAAGAAAGTCTCAGGAAGGTAGAAATTGAGCTGATTCTTGGAATGGGTATAATCTTGAGAAGCAAGAAGGATGTGCTGGGTGTGTGAGGTGGGGTTGAGGGTGGGAGTTCTGGGTAGGGATGAGTGCATTTGCTATTTGAAATGTGGCAAAATTATTGGCCTTGCACCCTTGCCTCTGCTCCCCAGGCTGCTAGGGAGGCTGATTTATTAATTGGTTATGTCTGAGAGTCCCCCTCTAATCCTGTATTCAGCAAGTGTGGTGGTTTATCGTTATGGACCAAATGTTCCAAAATGCCAGTCACAGTGCTGGGAAGTCTAAATTTAGCACACAAGTCCTGGGTATTTAGAACTTCCAGTGACAATTCTAGATTCTGAGATGAGGTTAAGACCACTTTGGCCCTTTAACTGCAGTTAACATTTTCCTTGAAAAATTCCAAACTTTAAAAGCCTCTATTTGACAACTTGCTTGCCAATATTTACATTCCACTCCATTAGCATCACCGGGGCTGACTCTCCACTTTAAAAGATATGCATTTGGCTGGAAGAAATCACTGCTGTTTGCTTATTTCACATGCTTATACAAACACATGCGTACACACACACACACGAAGAGACACTCGGCATGCTCCTAACAGAAGTGCACATGTGCTTGGTCCCCTGGAAAGTTGTCTTGAGTGATGCCTTCTCTATGCTTGTCTTCATCTGTCTTTATTTTCTTCAAGTATTTATTCTTCCTTATTCAGCTATAAGTCTTCTGGAGAACTAAAGGTCAATATATTATGAATCTCTAATGTTTGTTTTCAGGGCCAATTATTTTAAGTACATTTTGCTATGATAAGATCCCCAAATATGTATTCAATGGATTTTAGAGTTAGAACTGTTAGTATTGCCTTGTACCTCAAAAATAGAGACAAAGACTCTGGGGACTATGAGGGAAAAGAAAAGAATGAAAACTTCATTTTAACCTAGGTCTATAGGTTGTTGATTAAAAAAAAAGTCTGCTTTATTATGACAAGCCACAAAATGTGAATTTGGGCTGTTCCTTTTGCTGGTTGAGTGAGAGCTTATCAGAAAACACAGATTTAACTAGGTTAGCGATTTTTAATCCTTTTTAGAGTTGTGTGTGAATTAGTGGATAGTCTTTAAGAATCGGATAAAAGCTATGGATGCCTTATCAAGAAAAATACATATAACCACATTATACACATTTTCTGCATACAATATATTTTGCTGCATTGCAAACATATCTTTCCCACAGTTGGAAAGTTAAAACATACTTAAAAATACTCATGATCCTCTTAATTTGATTTTTGCATGCAAAAGTTAAGTCACATTCTGAAAAATCTCACTAAATCAAAATGTGCAAATAAAGTAAGATATAATTTAGTTAAAAAGTAACTTTCATAAGAAGATTGCTATTGTTTATTTAGAACAAGAGGTTGATATTATAGAGTGTTTTTTGACACATAGTACAAATATCTTTCTTTCACATCCAATTAATTTTTGGTGGTAATAAGGGTGGCAAATTCTAACTTTCAATGGTATTTGCTAGTAAGAGAGTTTTTACAGGTTACTCTGACAGATGAGGATGGGCTTATGTTGAGGAACACTAAAATTCTCTAAAACACTTTTAGTTGAATTCATAGAATTCATATAATATTATTTTCTTTGTTTTCAGTTCAATGAGGTCAACTTTGCTGATGTCTGAATCATAAAAGTTATGTTTGTTATGAAGGAAAAAATCATTAGTACCATACATTTAAAGATCTTAAGACCATCCAACAAACATAATCTTCAAGGGTTTCTTTGCCTACTTGTCCTGCAAAACAGCCAGCAAAGTCTTTTTACTCTTGGCTCTGGCCTTCAGATAGCCTTTCTCCAACAATGCAAGGAGTACATAGCTTTTTCCAAACACCACTTCCACAGTGGTAACCCGGTCAGAAGACTTTTCTTGGTAGCAGCATCAAAAATGGGGTCCGAATCTTGAGTGAAGAGAACGGCTCATTCAGATTGCCAAAAATATGAACAAGTAACCTGTCATGAAATGAACTCTTTTTTGTCAAATTATTCTGAGTACAGGCTTTGCGAATCACTTGAGAGAGGTATGGGATTCTGCCTGAAGTCAATCAATCGCTTCAAAACTTGTAGTTTAGAAAACCAGTGAACTTCAGCACTATTTCTTGACAAATCCTGTTGATAAAGTATAATTCAAGGCCCTGACTCTAAGTTGAAGTGGACATGACTTATTTTAGAATTATTGCCCATATCACATGAATGTACAAAACAATGTCTGTGTGAAGTGTGGAGTTTCTTTCTAACAAAAATGATAAAGTGGGATGCTTTGTGGAACAGCAATGTGCTCCATCTGTACCCATGGCACCAACATTTTTTGTTCAAGGTTTTCCCTGGCAGAGATATTTTTATGATTCCAAAGGCATCCCATTAAGTATATGATACTTCCAAAGAGGGCTCACCAAATGGGCATCAGTATGTATGTGACAGGAAAATGAAGAACTGGCACACTGAAAACTGGCAATACATTCATTCAGTTGCATGCTGAAGGGAACTTACTTGGCTCAAGTATCCCTGAGACCTTCTTTAAAAGGAGAAAAAGCTGGCAACTCTGGATAGGGTAACACTTCTTATTTTATTTTATTTTTTTGACGGAGTCTCACTCTGTCTCCAGGCTGGAGTGCAGTGGTATGATCTTGGCTCACTGCAACCTCCGACTGCCAGGTTCAAGCGATTCTCCTGCCTCAGCATCCTGAGTACCTGGGACTACAGATGCGCGCCACTAGAGCCAACTAATTTTTGTATTTTTAGTAGAGACAGGGTTTCACCATGTTGGTCAGAATGGTCTCGATCTCTTGAACTCGCGATCAGCCTGCCTTGGCCTCCCAAAGTGCTGAGATTACAGGCATGAGCCACCACGCCTGGCCCAGGTAATACTTCTTGACAGAGGCACTGATTTAGCATCATTTCTCCTCCCAGAGTACAAACACACTTGACTGCTTTAGGGCGGATGGCTCCAAGGTCTGCCCAGTCCCAAGGCTTCTTTTGCTTGGCTATAGGATGAGCATTGTTGCAGGATGCTCTAGGTTCAGGCTGTTGAGTTGGTGCAATTTTCTGTAGTTTTGATAAAATTTCGCTTTTTTCAGTTCAGCCATCTTCTCATGAAAATTATCTATTCTTAACCAGGCATTTGGCAATGGACTTGCTGCGCAATAGGGACCATGTTTTTGATGTTCATCACATTTGGGATGAAACCAAAAGAAACAAACTTTCTTCTACTTGATTTTCCTCAATGTTTTCCTACTTAAGCTAGCCCATGTACTAAAAGATTCATGCCTATAATCATAATGTTAGCTTACATCTAAAAAAAATATGTCAGAGGAAAACACTTTCATGGTGATGACTTTGCTACCTGACAATGTATAGTAACATCCCATGGCACTCTGCACTTGCGCAGTAGGAAACAATTCCTTAAAAACAAAATTCAACAAAAATTTATATTTTCACAGAGACAATTTTCAAGCTATTAAGAAAGATCTCAAATATGACAAATTTTTCCCCACTTTGCTGACTTCTTAAAATCCATTCAAAGACTCATGAACTCTTTTTTTTTTTTTTTTATGGAGTCTCACTATGTCACCAGGCTGGAGTACAGTGGCACAATCTTGGCTCACTGCAACCTCCGCCTCCCAGGTTCAAGCGATTCTCCTGCCTTAGTCTCCCAAGTAGCTGGGACTATAGGCATGCACCACCACACCCAGCTAATTTTTGTATTTTTAGTAGAGATGGGGTTTCACCATGTTGGCCAGGATGGTCTCAATCTCTTGACCTTGTGATCTGCCTGCCTTGGCCTCCCAAAGTGTTGGGATTACAGGCGTGAGCCACTGTGCCTGGCCTCATGAACTGTTAATCCAGAGAAAGACCTATTTTGCTGATAAAATTCTTTATTTTTATTTTTATTTTTTTTTGAGACAGAGTTTCACTCTTGTCGCCCAGGCTGGAGTGCAATGGTGTAACCTCAGCTCAAACTGCAACCTCTGCCTCCCAGGTTCAAGCAATTCTCCTCCCTTAGCCTCTTGTATCTCTTGCTGAGAAAATTCTGAAAAGGTTGAAACTAAAACAAGTGAGAATAGTATACTGCTTCCATCATTGTTTAAACAAAACCCAGGAACTCGCTAATAGCCCCCCAAAGTAAATAAGTTGGTCCATCTAATCATTTAGCCATTCTGCTCCTAAAAAGTCTCCCATGGAAGTATGTGCATACCTGTATGATATATTTTCTAGGTTCAGTTGAATTTTAACCTGATTCTTCAACTAAATTGGGAGCTCCCTGAAGGCAGGACAATATTTTTATAATTTCAGGATAAATATATTGTGTGGTACTTGGCACATAGCTCTTGCAAATGCTTGAGGAGTGAATAACCATCAGTTATTTTCAAATTAATCATTTAATAATATAGTTTAGGTCCTCCTAGGATACATAATTCATCACCAATACTTGATACATCTGACAATTATAAGCTACACTTGCCATTGGCCTTGGGTCTAGGGTTAATTAGTCTTGCCACTTTTGATAGACTTTCTAATAAGGGCCCCAATTCCTCTTATGAAGGATAACCAGGGTAGTCATGTATGGTGCCTAATGAGGAGACAGTTGTTAAATATGTAGGCATTTTTGCCACTCTGCTAGGGTTCAAAGGGGATGGGGTCTTGCCAAGTCCAGAATATCAGGGGAGATTTGATCTTCAGTGCCCTAGTTGCTACTGAGATGCTCATAGCCCAAACCCTTGTGGTTTCTTGAATGTGGATTTCAAAGTTGCTCTTATGCCGTACTTGGTAAAGAGTCTTCTACATAAAGACACCTCAGTCCTAACCAACCTATTTCTGCTCTGCCTGGAGGCAGGGCCAGGTTCTAACACCAAGGGCAGGCACCTGGGCTGAGGCTGTCAGCAACCCCCAGGACCAATGGGGTGTTCTGACCCAGGTCCATGGGAGCAATCACACAAACATGAAAGGCTCCTCTTTGAGTCTGCTTTCTCTTTGGGTCTAACCATTAATGTTTTCATCACTTTTTCCACCTGCCTGATATAGCATCTTTTCATCATTTTATCAATGACTATCATGCTAACATATTATTCTAAGAAACCCTTACAACGTGAAGAGATGTGACTTTTGGAAAATGTGCTGAGGGGAGCATCCTGTCCCTAGCCCCACCTTGAGTGAGTGCTCTGGCTGCTCTTTCTTTCCACCCCCAGGGGCAGGAGCTTCTTTCCCCCTTGTCCCTTCCTTGAAGCTCTCTTGAAAGAGCTTCAACTTTCAAGACAGAATCTAGGAGGAGGACCTTTTCAGTCAACTTCAGCTTTCTGCCCTATAATACAAACACCCCTGAGAGAAGGGAACACAAAAACTAGGCCTTCTCTGAAATGAGGAGGGGAAGTTACAATGAGAACCAGTTACAGATTAATTGAGCAACTATTTTCCAGCCACACACTCTTGTTGAATTTCCTTAATTGGATGTCAGATATTCCAAGAAGTCCAAAATCTCAGGAATCATACAGTGTAAGACCCATACTATACATCTCCACATCAGGAATCTTTGTAAGTATTTTCTTTTTTCCTACAACTTAAATATGTTTGGATTAAATAGTATTAGAAAGTATTCCCATTCTATTTGAAATGCTGCTAAAGAAAAATATGGTGGGGGAGGGTATGTTCCAAGATGGCCGAATAGGAACAGCTCTGACCTGCAGCTCCTAGCGTGATCGACGCAGAAGAGGGGTGATTTCTCCATTTCCAACTGAGGTACCTGGTTCATCTCATTGGGACCAGTTGGACAGTGGGTGCAGCCCATGGAGGGCAAGCTGAAGCAGGGCAGGGCATCGCCTTACCCGGGAAGTGTAAGGGGTCAGGGGATGTCCCTTTCCTAACCAAGGGAAGCCATGACAGACTACCCAGAAAAATGGGTCGCTCCCGCCCAAATGCTGCACTTTTCGCAAAGTCTTAGCAACTGGCAGACAAGGTGATTCTCTCCTGTGCCTGGCTCAGTGGGTGCCACGCCCATGGAGCCTTGCTCACTGTTGGTGCAGCAGTCTGAAATCAATCTGCAAGGCAGCAACCTGGCTGAGGGAGGGGCATCTGCCATTGCTGAGGCTTGAATAGGTAAACAGAGCAGCCGGGAAACTCAAACTGGGCAGAGCCCACCACAGCTCAACAAGTCCTACTGCCTCTAGACTCTACCTCGGTGGGCAGGGCATAGCTGAACCAAAGGCAGCAGACAACTTCTGCAGACTTAAACTTTCCTGTCTGACAGCTCGGAAGAGAGCAGTGATTCTCCCAGCATGGCATTTAAACTCTGAGAACAGACAGACTGCCTCCTCAAGTGGGTCCCTGACCCTCCTGTAGCCTAACTGGGAGACACCTCGCTGTAGGGGCCGACAGACACCTCATATAGGTGGCTGCCCCTCTGGGACGAAGCTTCCAGAGGAAGGATCAGGCAGCAATATTTCCTTTTCTGCAGTATTTGCTGTTCTGCAGCTTCCACTGGTGGTACCCAGGCAAACAGGGTCTGGAGTGGACCTCCAGCAAACTCCAACAGACCTGCAGCCCAGGGACCTGAGTGTTAGAAGAAAAACTAACTATCAGAAAGGAGTAGCATCAACATCAACAAAAAGGTCATCTACACAAAAACCCCATCTGTAGGTCACCAACATCAAAGACCAAAGGTAGATAAAAACCACAAAGATGGGGAGAAACCAGAGCAGAAAAGCTGAAAATTCCAAAAATCAGAGCGCCTCTTCTCCTCCAAAGGATTGCAACTTCTCGCCAGCAATGGAACAAATCTGGACGGAGAATGACTTTGACGAGTTGACAGAAGTTGGCTTCAGAAGGTCAGTAATAACAAACTTCTCTGAGCTAAAGGAGGATGTTCAAACCCATTGCAAGAAGCTAAAAACCTTGAAAAAAGATTAGATGAATGGCTAACTAGAATAAACCGTGTAGAGAAGACCTGAAATGACCTGACATAGCTGAAAACTATGGCACGAGAACTTTGCAATGCATGCACAAGCTTCAATAGCTGATTCGATCAAGTGGAAGAAAGGGTATCAGTGATTGAAGATCAAATTAATGAAATGAAGCGAGAAGACAAAGTTTGAGAAAAAAGAGTGAAAAGAAATGAACAAAGCATCCAAGAAACATGGGACTATGTGAAAAGACCAAATCTATGTTTGATTGGTGTATCTGAAAGTGACAGGGAGAATGGAACCAAGTTACAAAATACTCTTCAGGATATTATCCAGGAGAACTTCCCCAACCTAGCAAGGCAGGCCAATATTCAAATTCAGGAAATACAGAGAACACCACAAAGATACTCCTTGAGAAGAGCAACCCCAAGACACATAATTGTCAGATTCACCAAGGTTGAAATGAAGGAAAAAGTGTTAAGGGCAGCCAGAGAGAAAGGTCGAGTTACCCACAAAGGGAAGCCCATCAGACTAACAGCGGATCTCTTGGCAGAAACCCTACAAGCCAGAAGAGAGTGGGGACCAATATTTAATATTCTTAAAGAAAAGAATTTTCAACTCAGAATTTCATATCCAGCCAAACTAAGCTTCATAAGTGAAGGAGAAATAAAATCCTTTACAGACAAGCAAACGCTGAGAGATTTTGTCACCACCAGGCCTGCCTTACAAGAGCTCCTGAAGGAAGCACTAAGCATGGAAATAAACAACTGGTACCAGCCATTGCAAAAACATGCCAAATTGTAGACTATCGATGCTATGAAGAAACTGCATCAATTAACAGGCAAAATAACCAGTGGACATCATAATGACAGGATCAAATTCACACATAACAATATTAACCTTACATGTAAATGGGCTAAATGCCCCAATTAAAAGACACAGACTGGCAAATTGGATAGAGTCAAGACCCATCAGTGTGCTGTATTCAGGGAACCCATCTCACATGCAAAGACACACATAGGCTAAAAATAAAGGGATGGAAGATCTACCAAGCAAATGGAAAGCAAAAAAAAAAAAAGCAGAGGTTGCAATCCTAGTCTCTGATAAAACAGACTTTAAACCAACAAAGATCAAAAGAGACAAAGAAGGCCATTACATAATGGTAAAGGGATCAATTCAACAAGAAGAGCTAACTATCCTAAATATATATGCACCCAATACAGGAGCACCCAGATTCATAAAGCAAGTCCTTAGAGACCTACAAAGAGGCTTAGACTCCCACACAATAATAATGGGAGACTTTAACACCCCACTGTCAATATTAGACAGATCAACGAGATAGAAGGTTAACAAGGATATGCAGGACCTGAACTCAGCTCTGCAACAAGCAGACCTAATAGACATCTACAGAACTCTCCACCCCAAATCAACAGAATACACATTCTTCTCAGCACCACATTGCACTTATTGTAAACAATTGACCACATAATTGGAAGTAAAGCACGCCTCAGCAAATGCAAAAGAAAAGAAATCACAACAAATTGTCTCTCAGACCACAGTGCAATCAAATTAGAACTCAGGATTAAGAAACTCACTCAAAACCACACAACTACATGGAAACTGAACAACCTGCTCCTGAATGACTACTGGGTACATAACGAAATGAAAGCAGAAATAAAGATGTTCTTTGAAACCAATGAGAACAAAAGCACAACATGCCAGAATCTCTGGGACACATTTAAAGCAGTGTGTAGAGGAAAATTTATAGCACTAAATGCCCACAAGAGAAAGCAGGAAAGATCTAAAATCGACACCCTAACATCACAATTAAAAGAACTAGAGAAGCAAGAGCAAACAAATTCAAAAGCTAGCAGAAGGCAAGAAATAACCAAGATCAGAGCAGAACTAAGTGAAAGAGATAGAGGCACAAAAAACCCTTAAAAAAAATCAATGACTCCAGGACCTGGTTTTTTGAAAAGATCAACAAAATTGATAGACCACTAGAAAGACTAATAAAGAAGAAAAGAGAGAAGAATCAAATAGATGCAATAAAAAATGATAAAGGGGATATCACCACCAATCCTACGGAAATACAAACTACCATCAGAGAATACTATAAACACCTCTACGCAAATAAACTAGAAAGTCTAAAAGAAATGGATAAATTCCTCAACACATACATCCTCACAAGACTAAACCAGGAAGAAGTTGAATCTCTGAATCGACTAATAACAGGCTCTGAAATTGAGGCAATAATTAATAGCCTATCAACAAAAAAAGTCCAGGACCAGACGGATTCACAGTTGAATTCTACCAGAGGTACAAAGAGGAGGTGGTATCATTCCTTCTGAAACTATTCCAATCAATAGAAAAAGAGGGAATCCTCCCTAACTCATTTTATGAGGCCAACATCATCCTGATACCAAAGCCTGGCAGAGACACAACAAAAAAAGAGAATTTTAGACCAATATCCCTGATGAACATCGATGTGAAAATCCTCAATAAAATACTGGCAAACCGAATCCAGCAGCACATCAAAAAGCTTATCCACCATGATCATCCCTGGGATGCAAGGCTGGTTCAACATACGCAAACCAATAAACCTAATCCATCACATAAACAGAACTAATGACAGAAACGACATGATTATCTCAATAGACGCAGAAAAGGCCTTCGACAAAATTCAACAGCCCTTCATGCTAAAAACTCTCAATAAACTAGGTATTGATGAAACATATCTCAGAATAATAAGAGCTATTTATGACAAACCCACAGCCAATTTCATACTGAATGGACAAAAACTGGAAGCATTTCCTTTGAAAATCAGCATAAGACAAGGATGCCCTCTCTCACCACTCCTGTTCAATGTAATGTTGGAACTTCTGGCCAGGGCAATCAGGCAAGAGAAAGAAATAAAAGGTATTCAATTAGGAAAAGAGGAAGTCAAAGTGTCCCTGTTTGCAGATGACATGATTGTATATTTAGAACACCCCATTGTCTCGGTCCAAAATCTCCTTAAGCTGATAAGCAACTTCAGCAAAGTCTCAGGATGCAAAATCAACGTGCAAAAATCACGAGCGTTCTTATACACCATTAACAGAGAGCCAAATAATGAGTGAATTCCTATTCACAATTGCTACAAAGGGAATAAAATACCTAGGAATACAACTTACAAGGGATGTGAAGGACCTCTTAAAGGAGAACTACAAACCACTGCTCAATGAAATAAAAGAGGACACAAACAAATGGAAGAATATTCTATGCTCATGGATAGGAAGAATCAATATTGTGAAAATAGCCATACTGCCCAAGGTAATTTATAGATTCAATGCCATCCCCATCAAGCTACCAGTAACTTTCTTCATAGAATTGGAAAAAACTATTTTAAAGTTCACATGGAACCAAAAAGGAGCCTGCATTGCCAAGACAGTCCAAAGCAAAAAGAACAAAGCTGGAGGCATCATGCTACCTGACTTCAAACTATACCACAAGGCTACAGTAACCAAAACAGCATGGTACTGGTACCAAAACAGAGATATAGACCAACGAAACAGAACAGAGGCCTCAGAAATAACATCGCACATCTAGAACCATCTGATCTTTGACAAACCTGAGAAAAACAAGCAACGGGGAAAGGATTCCCTATTTAATAAATGGTGCTGGGAAAACTGGCTAGCCATATGTAGAAAGCTGAAACTGGATCTCTTCCTTACACCTTATACAAAAATTAATTCAAGATGGAGTAAAGACTTAAATGTTAGACCTAAAACCATAAAAACCCTAGAAGAAAACCTAGGCAATACCATTCAGGACATAGGCATGGGCAAGGACTTTATGACTAGAACACCAGAAGCAATGGCAGCAAAAGCCAAAATTGACAAATGGGATCTAATTAAACTGAAGAGCTTCTGCACAGCAAAAGAAACTACAATCAGAGTGAACAGGCAACCTACAGAATGGGAGAAAATTTTTGCAATCTACCCATCTGACAAAGGGCTAATATCCAGAATCTACAATGAACTCAAACAAATTTACAAGAAAAAACAACCCCACCAAAAGGGGGCAAAGGATATGAACAGACACTTCTCAAAAGAAGACATCTATGCAGCCAACAGACACATGAAAAAATGCTCATCATCACTGGCCATCAGAGAAATGCAAATCAAAACCACAATGAGATACCATCTCACACCAGTTAGAATGGCAATCGTTAAAAAGTCAGGAAACAACAGATGCTGGAGAGGATGTGGAGAAAAAGGAATGCTTTTACACTGTTGGTGGGAGTGTAAATTCATTCAACCATTGTGGAAGACAGTGTGGCAATTCCTCAAGGATCTAGAACTAGAATTACTTTTTGACCTAGCAATCCCATTACTGGCTATATACCGAAAGGATTGTAAATCATGCTACTATAAAGACACATGCACACGTATGTTTATTGTGGCACTATTCACAATAGCAAAGACTTGGAACCAACCCAAATGTCCATCAATGATAGACTGGATTAACAAAATGTGGCACATATACACCATGGAATACTATGAAGCCATAAGAAAGGATGAGTTCATGTCCTTTGCAGGGACGTGGATGAAGCTGGAAACCATCATTCTCAGCAAACTATCACAAGGACAGAAAACCAAACACCACATTTTTTCACTCATCGTTGGGAATTGGACAATGAGATCACTTGGACAGTGTGGGGAACATCACAGACTGGGGCCTGTCGGGGGGGTGTGGCGCTGGGGGAGGGACAGCATTAGGAAAAATACCTAATGTAAATGATGAGTTGATGGGTGCAGCAAACCACCATGGCACATGTATACCTATGTATCAAACCTGCACGTTGTGCACGTGTACCCTAGAACTTAAAGTATAATAATAAAGAAAAATATAAAGCATTGATGGAAAGGCAGCTGCTAACTCCTCTAAAATGTAACTTCTGGAGTCCTGTCTGATTTGTTCTAATTTTGGTTACTAAATAATTGACAATGTTCTGGATCATAATCCTAAACCTTCATCCAAAACATACACAAATATTTCATTCTTTTAAAAGCAAGTCATGCTGGCTATATTTTAACCAGAAAAGGTGTAGCCACTTTAAATATTTTTTTGCTGTTCCTTTAAGTGTTTGAAAGGATGCATGTTTTTCTCTAATTTCCATGAATTCCTGTGGGATGGACTGTCTCAGCCATCAGGAGCTAGATCTTGGCTGCAGACTGCAGTCCATGACAAGATGTACCTCCTGGGATCATTGCTTTTGTTTGGGCAGGAAGGGTTCCTGCCTTATGAGAGTAACAGAGGCAGCAAACGTGAACCCACCTGTAAGGGAGAGGCTGCAGGAAGAGAGGATGGAATTGCCCATGCTGGGAGCAGATCCTGCCAGGGTTGGTCTCTCCTCAACTCTCTTAATGTCTCCAACCGTGTCTCTTTCAGATCACTGTGATTACAGAGCACAGACATTTCATGGGAACCTGATTGATGGATTTGAAATAGTGTAACATAAAAACACAAATTTTCATTTTAAGCACAAAATGTGAAGTAGTGTAGCTCCTCCAAAATGAAAACTGGAGCAACTAAAACCAAAATAGCCATCACAGACTGGAGGACCCAGCACATTGCAAATATTTTTGCTGCTGCCACATGGCGGCGCCACTTTAGCGGTCAAACTGGATCTCTATTGGTCTCTGTTGGGGTCAGCATTTTTTGTGACCCTTCTGTTGTTTTCAAAGGCGCTTGAACTTCTGTGAGTGAAATTTGGTAGTTGTTGTCCTGTTATTTTAACATTCATTTCTTATAATTTAACAAAGCCATCTAAGCATTTATTAGATGATAACGTTTGCACAAGTGACGAAAAACACTCCAGAAAAATCAATAACTTTGGAATGGAAGTTAGAGGTGATAAAATACTACAAGGGAGACCTAGCAACTGCCATGATATGCTATTAATGTAATAACAAGCCTTCTGCAAAATATTAGAGCTAATGCTAAGAAAATAAAAAGCAGCATTAGAGCACATTTTTCTACAATGTTTGTGGATTTATGTGCCCCTAGATTGCAGCTTCCATTTTACATTTATTTCTAAGAGCAATTAGTCTTGAATTATGAGAGGGCTTCAAGAACTCATCTCTGGCATAAACCTGACAACTTGTGTTTGTTTACTGCCCCTCCTCTCTCCTATTATGTGGTTTCCTAATAATAAGGGGCCTCAACTTCTTCATCCCTCATCCCAATCCCTAGCAAGGTCCTGAAATACTGCAGGGGTTTGGTCACGATTTCTGGAACAAATAAGTAATAACTAACATGGAGTATCTTTTTTGTATGCCCAGAAACAGGTTAATACTTTATATACATTAACTCTGTTAATGCTCATACAATCTTAAGGAGTAAGCATTATCATCTGCAGTTTTACAGATGAGGAAACTAGTCTCAAAGAAGTTAAATACTGTGGTCCATAGATACACAACTAGTGATTGGTAGAACCAGCTTTGGACCAGTCAGACTAACTAACCAGAGGGGGGACCTCATCATAATTAAAACTATAACTGTCTTTGAGAGCAGAAATGATTTCTGAATGCTATCAAGCATCCTTTAGGCCACTAACTGAATGGATGCATTTTTCTGATCAGCTGATGAGCAAAGGTAGACCTGGGACAAGTTTGAAATTAAAGGCTAGAGAGAAGTGGAATCTACACCAGTTGTTCTTAAAGTGTGGTCTTCAGAACAGTAGCATCAGCATCATCCAATAACTTGTTAGAAATACAACTTCTCAGGTCCCATCCTAGACCCTAAATAAAAAAAATACTGAGGTGGGACCCAGTGATCTGTGTTCAACAAGCTCATCAAGTGACCCTGATACATGGTCAAAGTTGAGAGCTACTGACCTATACAACAGAAGGAAAAGTGCTATGTTTGGACATGGAATTCTTAGGGGCAACTGGGAAGGAGAGCATGAGGAGGGGAAAATGTTGAAGGTGAGAGGGGAAAGAGAAAAATCTGGAGATATTCAGGTCTTATTATGGGATGGGGTGGCCATAATGGATGGCTGAAAGGAATAGGGATATCTGAAATCTAATATCTAGTTCTGTACTATAAATCACTTTAGTTTGCTCAAACATCCAGTAATGCCTGATTCTTAGACTAAGACTTGTGTGAATAGTCTTGCAAATATCAGAGAAAGAGGTTGACTTCTATTCTCTACCAGCACATGCTAGTCATAGAAATTACCCACTGATAGAACTAATTCAACAAAAACAGGAGCATGGAGCCAGAAAGGACTCTGAGAGGGCATGGGGGCCACTCTTATCTGGTTTTTAAGGGTTGGGTTAATCCCAACTAGCATGGGTCAGATAATGAATTCATGAACTGCGGTTCTGGCCCTTGGATTTCAGGGGCTGGAATGTGTTTTGGTGCCCGAGAACTGACTTCTAACTTTCAGGACTGGTTAGTGACTAACCAATTAGTATAGAAGTGTAGGGTGTCAACATTTATATAATCTCTAGCAGCTGATGGGTAAACTTTGTCTGGTTTTTTAATGTTGCAAAATAAACCACTTGAAAACTGAGTGGCTTAAAACAAGGACATTTATTTTGCTCATGAATTTGTAGTTGGAGCTGGGCTTGGCAGGGATTGCTCTTTTCTTCTCCACTTGGCATCTGTTGGGGCAACTTGAAGAAAGGGCTGGAATCATATCTTGCTTACTCACAAGTCTGGCTGTTGATGCTGGTAGTTGACATGGATCTTAGCTGGGCCTGTCAGCTGGAACACCTACACATGGCCTCTTCATGTAGCCTGGGCTTCCTTACAACATGGTGGCTGGATGCCAAGGTTGAGAATCCTGGAGAGCAACAGCTAGTAGGCAGCCATATAGCCTTTTATGACCTAGTCTTAGAAATCATGCAATGTCACTTTTATCAGGTTTTTTTTTTTTTGGTCAAGGCAATCACAAAGGCTTGCCTAATTTCAAAGAGAGGAAACGGCTGTATTTCTTGATAAGGGTGTGGTAAAGTTCAGGAAGAGCTTGTGAAACCAATGATATTGATGAAGCCATTTCTTCTTTTTTTTTTTTGGAAATAGAACCCCTTCATTTCAAGAGAGACTGGATTTCAAGGAAGCTTCTTGCAAATTGGAGGGGGGTAGGAGTGGGGCTTGGGGAAGATAGTGGCCTGAGCTTCAAATTTCTCAGTCTACATCTGAGAAATGTAAAAGAAATTGAAAAAGTTCAGGCTGGCTGAAATGCACGTTGGGATCAGCCTTCACTCCCATGGATAGTCAGGGTTAAAAAGGTGTGAGTGTCACACTGGGGCCTGTGGGGAGGGGGAGGGGGAGGCAGAGCATCAGGACTAATAGCTGATGCATGTGGGGCTTAATACCTAGCTGATGGGTTGATTGGTGCAGCAAACTACCATGACACATGTTTACCTATGTAACAAACCTGCATGTTCTGCACATGTATCCTGGAACCTACAAGAACAAAAGGGTATGAGTGTCCACTGTGAACCAGATAAGGGTGGCACATGAGAAACAGTTGGCAGGAGGTTGCTTAAGTGCTCTAGGATAGGCAGAATGTCAGCAGAGGCTGGAGATGGATAACCACATTATTGGGGGCTGCAGCCAGGTAAGTGATAACCCGGAAGACTGAAGGGCTCTGCTGCTCCCAGAAACTTTTTGTGGAACATATACATACACACAGTCACACACACACACACACACACACACACACACACACACACACACACACACACGTTTTTGTGGCAGATGAGGAAGGATCTAAGCTTTGTATCTGGTCTGAAGAGATACTGAGCAGATTCTACACGTGAGGGCATAAGAGCTCAGGAGGGAGGGGAGATCCTGAGATCATGAGCCCCTAGAATCCACTGAGGCCATAGGAAGTGCTTAGGACTTCCAAAGGCTGTGGCTTTGCAGGGTGGGGCTCAGGTTAATTTTACATAAATCTCAAAGAACAGGGAGGTCCCAGAGGACTCTGGGTTCCAAGAGAGAGTGTTAAATAGCTGTAATATGGTAGATTGGGGCACTTCTTCAATTCTCTGGTAGAGAATTTGTCTTAAAATATCTAGACTTTCTGTTTCCTCAGATTAATCTAACATTTGTTGGGTATCCATTGCATTCCATGTAATGTACAAGGTCTTTTATGTTATTTCACTTGATATTGATAATCACCATATGAAGAAGTTGCTGCAACTATCCTCTTTTTGTAGATGAGAGAATGGACTCTAGGAGGTAATTTAATTCACCTAAAGTCAAACAGCTGAGATGTGGTAGATTTAAAGTGAGGTCTTCAGACTTCCAGGCTAAAATCAATTCTTATAAATGTGTCTTTAACTGTCATATACCCATGAGAGGGAGAGTGGATGGGTGGATGCCCAGTGATAAAAATGAACACAGATTTAGAACACCTTAAAAAAGATAGGTTTGTGTAGAAACTCTGAAAAGGGAAAATTAGAAGGTTAAAAACAAGCTGAGGGAAGGGGCAGAGAGATAGGTTGGGTACTTGTTCTGCCATCATGTTTGTTCTTCATAATGTGGCAGTGTATATCAATATCCTGACTGGTGGCCTGCTCTATATCAGGGATATGGCCAACAGATTTCATGTGCTTCCCTAGTGAGTTGTGTTGAGAAGGCTTCTGAGGCTCAGCTCTGGCTCAGTGCTAAAGAGTGCTGTGATCAGTGAGTGATGTCTGCCACAGGCAAGAGAAACAAAAGTGGGGGCTTCAGTGCTGCCATGTGTCACTTTTGAATATATTTGAATATTACATTATTCAAATATATTATATATATATTCAAATATATAATAAAAAATTCGGCCGGGTGCGGTGGCTCACGCCTGTAATCCCAGCACTTTGGGAGGCCAAGGCAGGTGGATCATCTGAGGTCAGGGGTTTGAGACCAGCCTGACCAATATGGTGAAACCCTGTCTCTACTAAAAATACAAAAATTAGCCAGGCGTCATGGTGTGCACCTGTAATCCCAACTACTTGGGAGGCTGAGACAGGAGAATTGCTTGAACTCGGGAGGTGGAGGTTGCAGTGAGCCAAGATCGTGCCACTGCACTCCAGCCTGGGTGAAAGAGTGAGACTCCATCTCAAATAATAATAATAAATAATAATAATAATAATAATAATAATAATAATAATAATAATGCCTTGCTTTCTAGTTTTCCTTTCTCCAAACAAAATTAGCTCCATGTCCTTTTACCTTTCACCCACAAATCTTCATAGGCTTTTGGTTTTTTTCCTCTAAACATTCTATATGAACATCAAGATCTTCATCCTTATTTATAAGCAAGAATGACATTTTCACCTGTTTCTTGGGGGAAAGGGCTGCCCAAGTGAAGAAACAGGACACAGACTTGCCTTCCTCCTTGTACTCATTTTAACAGCCTCTCACCGTTGCTGGGCTTCACAACATAGCCTTCTCCCTGCCTTCTGAAAAGTCAAGTGCAGAGCCTCTTTATTTCTTAAAGTACATTGACACTAATTTGGTTTTGAGAATTTTTGAGAATCTTTCAAAATCCCTTACAGTGACTGAAAATACCCTGGGGTGTTGCAAATTCAGAGTTGAGGATTGTTGTGGAGAAGCTAAAGCCATGACTGTGTCCATAACAACCAGTGGAAAGTGCCTCTTTGGTTGTTTTGTCTGTTGAATAGCTGATGGTGCTTGTTTTTGCATCAGATAGAGTAAGTGGATCAGACAGATAGCACGTACACAGACAGATGGTGCTTGTGTTTGCATGACACCAAAATATTTGTCTTAAAGACAACATTCTGGAATGACAGAATTGAGCTTGACTGCTTTTATTTTCCTAATTTAACTGTTTTGCTCAGCCTCAGGCAGGCAGCCTAGAGTGGTAGGGAGAGCGTGGGTTTAGGAGGCAGACAATACAGGATTAGGCTCTTGGTTCTGCTCCTTGAGAGCCCTGTAACTTTGTGTACTAATTTGGAAGATGGGATCAGTGATGTAATGATACTGATTCTCACTTTGAATATGTAATTGTGTATATGAGAGTTCAGAGGGAAAATGTATATGAAACTAAGCACTGGATGCTCAGTAAATGCTAGTTCTCCTTCTGCTTTCTTTTCTCCCTGTGCACAAAATGAGAATTGTGATGGGAGCTGTGGCCACCTTGATGACAGATGTAGGGAACAGAGTTCCTAAAAGCTCAGACACCAGCGGAGGATGGGGAATGTCCTGGCAGCAGGGCAATCCCTAAAAATGCAGCAAGTTACCTGAGTCTTGGCTCCCAATACAGAGAATCTGGCATCCAGGTAAGGCACGGGAAGCAGTATAGCAAGAAAAATAAATAGGTCAAGGTTGTAAGTCTGCTCATCAAAAGAGAGAAGGCTGCCTTTCTCCTCATAGCAGCAGAAGAAGAATAAATAAGAGGAATCAGATTGTGTGGACCAAGATGAAGAAAGAAAGAATGGCACAGGGGAACCTGGGGGAGGAAGAAAAGCCATATTTCAGTTTCTCCACCTTCTATGGCAAGAAGAAACCAGCTCCGAAAGAAGTTCCTTCCTTGGGTCCAGAAGTCCAGAAAGAATGTGTCTCTTGCTAGAGGCTGAATGGGATAGACAACCTGAAGTTCCCAGAGAAAGAGCTTTGACTAGGAAAGAAGCCATTTTTCGGGTTCAAGAGAGGAAGAAATTCAAGTGGAGGCATAGCGGTTTCACGTTGACAGTGACAACTGTGAACCTTGGTCTCCAAACCATCAATGACTTCTTATATTATTATGATTTTTTTGGGGGACAGAGTCTCGCTCTGTCACCTAGGCTGGAGTGCAATGGTGCGATCTCGGCTCACTGCAGCCTCTGCCTCCTGGGTTCAAGCGATTCTCCTGCCTCAGCCTCCTGAGTAGCTGGGATTACAGGTGTGTGCCACCACACCTGGCTACTTTTTTTGTATTTTTAGTAGAGGTGGGGTTTCACCATGTTGGCCAGGCTGGTCTCGAACTCCTGACCTCAGGTGATCCACCTGCCTCGGCCTCCCAAAGTGCTGGGATTACAGGTGTGAGCCACCACACGCTTATATTCTTATAAGACTCCTTATATTTTTATGATAATTCTTAAAAGTGTGTGTCTGTGTGTGTGTGTGTGTGTGTGTGTGTGTGTGTGTATGTTTTAGATTCTGTTTTAGTTTCATAGGGCACCTGTAATAATGTACTACAGATTTTGTGGCTTTAAAGAACAGAAATTTATTGTCTCGCAGTTCTGGAGGCCAGAAGCCTGAGGTCACGGTGCTGTAGGGCCATGCTCTCTCTGAAACCTGTAAGGGAGAATTCTTGCCTCTTCATATCTTCTGGCAATTTGCTGGCAGTCACCAGAATTGGTGTTCCTTGGCTTGCAGCTGTATCAAACTCATCCACCCTTACCACATGCCATTCTCTCTATATGTCTGTGTCGAAAATTTCCCCCTTTATTATGACAAGAGTCATATTGGACTAATGCTCACCTCAATGACCTCATTTTAACCTTAATTTGGGTCTTTGTATCTGCAAAGATCAAAATAAGGATCTGTTTTCAAGTAATGTCACATTCATAGACACTGGGGGTTAGGACTTCAACACAACTTTTTGAGGGGATGCAATTTAACCCATAACTGACCCCTTATGGGAATCTAATGAAAACTATGGTCCCTCTCTACAGAAAAATGGATATGTGTATAGAATACAACATTTTGTGCATGATTTTAGTGGGGTCACACAGCTTTAAAGCCTGTCATGGACTCTCTAGAGACTTGCTCCTCCAACTGTGATCCAGCAGCAACAGCATCACCTGGGAGCTTTTCAGAAATGTGAAATCTCAGGCCCTAACCTAAACCTGTTGCATCAGAATCTACATTCTGATAAGATTCCTAATAAACCCTGCTCTAGGGATCTGCAGCCCCTGGATGAAGAAGATCCGCTTCTCTCTCTCTCTGTTGTTCCATCTCTGGTTTCTAGCTGGTAGAATCAGGCTTACCTGTCCAAGTCTTGTTCCCTACTGTTCAACATACCTGCTTCTACTGCAGCCAGGCCAGTGTTCTCTCTGTGCCGTAGGCAGAGCACACCCATTCCCTCCTTTCCTTCCCCTGTGTGGAACACCTCTGTTACCATTCATTTATTCAATAAACTTATATTGAGCAATTCCTTTGTGCTGGGCCTTGTATAAGAAAGCATAAGCTGGAGTTCTATTTCTCAAAGAGCTCCTTATCTGGCTTCCCTTTCTCTTTGCTTATGTGAACCTGCTTGTTTTTCAGTGTCCACACTAAGGACTACCCCAACTCTTCCTGAGCACCTCATCAGTGACTTGGAATGCTCACTGGCATTTCATGGGTGCAGTTGGGTGCTGGTGTAGCACAATTCACCTTTTTTTCCCTTAGTAAGAGAAATGCCTTTAGAAGTTGCAGGCAATTTTGTTCTAGAGGTAGAGTCGTTGGCTCCTTCTTTGAGTTCATTTGGGAAAAATCTCCAGAATGGGTCATTCTATTACACAAATGCAAAAAGGGCCAGTTTGTTGAATCTACCAAATATATTGATTTGTCTTTTAAACTTATTTTGGGAATTATTTTTCTTCAATTTTTTTAATGAATGTGATTTTTTTCCCTGAATATTGTCAATGAAAAATTTCAATGTTTTTGTTGAATACCTTCAGTCAATATAGTCCTCCTGAATTTTCCATCTAATTGCCATTTCTCCTCCTGCATTTCTGATTCCCTCATCCTGCTATACATTTCTGTTTTCCTGTTGCACTCTTTGTCTTTTGACATGCAATAGCACTGATATGCTTATTATTCTATGGAGGCAAAAATCTTTATTTTGTTCACTGATGTTGCCTAAGTGCCTAGAATAGGGCTTGGCTCATAAGAGATATACAGTGATATTGTTGAATAAATGCATAGTTTTTTTGAACATAACTACATTTTTTGAGTTTTCTATAAATTTTTCTTAGGTTACACTTAAATATTATTCTATTATATAAGTCATTTTCCCTATTGACAACATTTTAACATTTATAGATTTGCAAATTTCATCAAATGACCAGTTCACTAAATTTACCAAGTGATAAATATACTGATTTACAAGGACTTTTTACTATAAAGTTTACAATAATTTGAGATGGTTTTAATAACTTTGGAAAAATTCTGTAGTTTTAACTTGCAGGTTTTTATTTTTTATTTTGGAGAGATACGGTCTTGCTTTGTTGCCCAGGCTATAGTGCAGTGGCATGATCATAGCTCTTTGCAGTCTCTAACTCCTGGACTCAAGTGATCCCCTGGCCTTAGCCTCCTGCGTAGCTGGGACTCCAGCTGTGTGCCACCATGCTCAGCTAATTTTTAGTTTCTTTGTAGAGATAGAGTCTTGCTATGTTTCCCAGGCTGGTCTTGAACTCCTGGCTCCAAGTAATCCTTCTACCTTGGCCTCCCGAAGTGCTGAGATTGCAGGCATGAGCCACTGCACCTAGCCCCATTTTGTCCTCTTAACAGTGTTTTAAGCAATGTTTCCTCCATTTGTGTCCGTCCCAGTTCTGTGCTGCTACAGCTGGAGGCAGTTGGGGCAGAAGGAGGGGCTCTGTTTTTGGAGAGAGTTAGCAGGGGTGAATCAGTGCCCAGCCTAGCACAGGCTGCTGATCCTGAGAGCGCAGAGGCTACAGGACAGGATGGGTGGGTGAGGGTGGTAAGAGATAAGGCAGAGAGCTAGAAAGCTGAGGGCAGGTTGTAGAGTCTGAAGACATTGGGTCATGGCTCCCAATAGCCTCCTGGGTCCTGCTAATCCCTTCAGCACAAATTTTCAAATTTACTTTCAGTGGCTTCATCTAGAGCAGGCATTGCTTTGGAGGATAACTGGCTTGTCTGGGCTATGTGTGTGCCTTCTCCTTAAGGGAACAGCTGGTCCTCCACTGGGATTTTGTCAAGAGCTTGGATTGGGAAAGGGAGATCATGGTCTGTCTTGGGGATAGGGAGAGTGGGGTGCTCAATTCAGAGGTAAGGAGAGGCCGAGACCCCTCTGGGTGACTGTTGTAGTGCCTGATGTGTGAGATGTGGTCAGGACCCCTGAGGCAGATTTGTCCTAGTGAGCTCTTCCAATAGTAGTGGAGAAGCTTGTGTCATTTCTTGAATGGAACTGGGGCAAGGGGAGTTGAGATGGCTGTAGAAGCCACCAAATAGACATTGCAATGAACTAGCAGAGTTGAAGAAAACCAGTGGTTTAGAGTAATGTCATCTGCCAGAGGCAACAGACAAGCACAGAGACAGATCTAGGGAACATGTGAGTCCTTCTTGGGGATCCCTGAAAATACTTGGGGCTTGGGGCAGCCTAGTTAAAATTTGAATGTCCAACACTCTGCAGGATGGGCTCTCAGAGTCATTGTAACGTGAAGACCTTATTTTCGTGTCCCAGGCTGGGGATGTTTGAGGACTTATCCGTGATCCCCTCATCTTCCCTAAGCATCCAGCTCTACCCTGGGTTCCTGAGGCACATGTGGCAGCCCAGAGCATTCATGATTTTCTTTTGTAGACCTTGCTTTTTGCCAGTTCTGCCAAGCACCTAGGACAGTGTCCTAAAAAGGATGGGAATAATCTGCCTTGATTGTGTCTTTCATGCTTACTTCCTAGGGTCTTGTAAGAGAATGTGTAGGAACCTCATGCACATCAGACCACATCAGGTCAGGCTGACCAGAAGGTCCAGCCTTTCACAGGGCAGTGAGGGGGCTCCAGGAGTGGCTAGAACAGACTGCCCAGGGCTCTTCTGAGAGAGTAAAAACTTCTGCTTCTCAGGCTAGGTCTGTTTCCTGACAAGGAGAAAGAACTTGGGAATGTGCTGGCTCTTTCTCCTCTAGGGGGACAATTGAAGTGCTGTGCATCTCAAAAGTGTTGGCTCCCAAACGTGTCACATTGGGTGAATTTAAAGAAGGTCTGTGGAAAGTGGGTAAAACCTCTGAGCAGACAGGGCCTCTCCTTTAGTAAGTGGCTGCTGATCCTGGCAAAGTGGGTGGCCAAGTGGGAAGGACAAAGACAGGATTATATGCTCCCATGAACTTGAAATAAAATCTTCCAGGTGCATACCGTGTTAAAGAGAAGCTGGGTCATTTGAGGAATATACCTGAAATGACTTCATTATTTTTCCTGCAATGCAGCATATAGAGTGTGGAATGACCATGTGGATTACTTAAACAAAGGATTGTTTCTTCTTTCTGAAGCACACATGATAACATGAGCCTCATTAAAGAGGGTTTTCATGATAACAGATAGTAGAGAGGTTCTTTAATACTAGAATGAGGAATTCCTTTATTGTAATTTCCTCCTTCATCTTTTCTTTATTATAGGTAGTCACGAGAATTATCCTAGAAGGATGTTATATTACCATTTTACAAATTAAAGTACTGAGGATATGTGAGATTGATTAACTTCACACATTCAGTAAGTCAACTAACACATACTAACAGACTCTTACTCTGGGCTAAATTATGTATTCAGCTGTGGGTATACACCTGTGGGCAAATGCACAACCCCAGCCTTTAAAAGTGTATAATCCAGGGTACTTTATAGTCAGGTAAGCACTGAATTGGGTGCACATCAGAATCCCCTGGGAGCTTTTTAAAGATCCAGTGTTCTGGGTCACTGTTAGCATCTTTTGAATTACAGTCTCTAGGGTGGGTTTGAGAGACAATATTGAAGACTGTCTAGGTGGTTCTGAGGTTCTCCTAATTAGTAAGTGCAGGACCATGGGATGAGACTCACAGGCAGTTACACCTAACATGTGAAAAATGATAAATGCTAACCTGGGCACGAGGGCAGGGTCCTCCAGGCATCCAAGCAAGGAGCCTACCCGGTGTTGAGGGGTCAGGGAGGGCTTCCTGGAGGGAAGAGATATCCAAGAGTGAGAAGCTATGATTGGGTGGGGCAGGGTGGTGATGGTTGTGGGGAAGGGATTCTGTTTGGGAGAAGAAACAACCTGCATAGGTTTGGATATCAAGCAGGGCCAGATGATTAGGGAAACTGTGAGTGGCTCAGGGGGGCTTGGATTTCATGACCTGAGATGGGCAGTGGTGGCAGCTGAGACTGTAGAGACAATTTGGAGGTCACAGCTTAGTCAGTGATGTGGCTGGGAGGAGGACTCATGAATGACTCCAAGGCTCATGTTATTTATCTATGTGCCCTTCCTCTTTAGCTACACTGGACGGTTTCCTTAAAGAAAATAAATATACAGAGATGAGGCAATGATAAGTAGGGTGAGACCTGGGATGGCATACTTGCACTTAGCTGTGCAGTCCCAGAAAGATAATGTATGATGGGGCATACCAGAACCTTGGATTCAAATCCTAACTCTATCACTTGTGAAAGTCACTTTGCTCATCTAGTCATCTTAGTGTTGCCATAAGGATTACATGTGTCAGGACAAGTGAAGTTCTTAAAACCATGCCTGGCATCAGGAAAACCTCAGTGCATGTTATTGCTATTACTATTCTTTCTTGTTTTTCCTTGTGGCAAACAGCAGGAGTTTTGCAAACAGACTACATCAACAATGTATATTTCATTAACTCTTCATGGAAGCCTATGGATTAGGATGAATAAAATGAGAGATCCACTCAAGTTCACTTCAGCAACCCCATCCCCATTCCCTGGTGGTGTTAACAATACCTCCCTGGACCCATGAGGAACCTGTGAATCCTAGGTCACATTTAGGGACATCTTCCTCATAAACATTCACTTCCCTGCCAGGCTGGAGCTATCTGGGGACTTTAGAGGGCCTGGGCCAGGTCTTGTTAATTTTATATTATCCCCAGCATCTACCCCAAGTTTCATCATATTTATTTTGTGAATACATGAATAAGCAGACTTTTTAACTCTTATCCCTGATTAAGATCATATCATAGCAGACAGAGGAGAAAAATTAACGAAGCTTTTTCAATCTCATCCAAAGTCTTATCTGTTCTCTCTGAATTGTAGCTGTATCTTCTTTACAAAGGTATACCCTGTACCGTTCCTCTAGTTTTAAAGACGTGCTCTCTCAGAGGCTGACTTGGAAGGCCCAAGCTGATTCCCCAACCTGTAATAAAGTGTATGTATAAAGATAGCAGTGTTGTTATACAATTTAATTAGTACATCATTCAGACATTTGGACCAATGCCTGGCTCTTTTTTGCATGTTCATTAAGCTTTTAGTCTGACTCCCATGTGAAATAAACAAAAAGGCTAATTGCTTTTGGATTTTAGTACTGGGTGAAATACCTGGATTCATTATATGAATCATATTTTATAGGTAGATTAAAGGTTCTACTGGTAAATGAAAAATTCAAAGATGACAGCTGTAATACTTAAAGCAAGGCAATTGAAAGGTTTGGGTTCCCAAAGGCAGCATATGAATCCATCTGACATGTTCCTAGTTTTCAAAGTAGTGTAAAATGTTTGCACACTGATGAGAGCATTGTCTCAGAATGGTAAGAGTTTATATCTTCAAAACAGTGGCATGCTGGTAAATGTGTAAGAATCACCTCTCCAGGGGAAAAGGAAAAGCCCTGATTTGTAATGTTCACCAATTCCCTTGGTGTAAATATTCCCATATGGCTAGTTTTGAGCCACTCATTAAGAGTTGAGAAGAGATGTACACAATCAACTCTCATCAGCCCATTTGAGCTGGCTCTTGCACGCCATGGCTTTCTTGCCCATGATGCAAAATGGAGTTAGGCCTGACCTCAGAGCCTAGAGTGGGTTTTCCAGTAGTTTCTGCAGGATGTCAGGGTGGGGCTGGATGTGGGGGACAGTGGCTCCCTTATCCTGAGCACTTGAGGGGCCAGAAAAAGGAGGTGTATACCTTCCAACTTCCTTGAGAATGAAGGAGGCAGATGAGGGGACTTGCTTGCATCTTGCATTTTCAAGCATGCTTGAGGCAGCATAGGGTGGGATGTACGTGTGGTCTCTGCTGTCAGGTAAGACTTTGTTTGCTGCCACCTACTTTCCAGATCCATTTGATGGAGGATCGTCTGGGGAACTGAAAGACTGCAACTGGCTTAAAAAATTTCTGTAACTTGTTTTGAAAACATTTGGCACAGTGCCACACAGTAAATGGCACTTGTTATCTGTGGCCTGAGGCAGCGCCCAAAGTATGGGAGAAGATGGGACTTACCCATGTCAAATGCTTATTGCACCTTTGTATGCTGAGTGCTCTGCTTGGTGTTGGATTATAGAGCAAATTCAGACCTGGACCCTGCATGTGGGGGCTGGCAACCTACAGGAGATCTTTTGGAGTGTGATTTGGATTAGTCACAAGACTTGCTTCTCCCTCTCATTTTCCGTGACAGTAGCTGTGATTGTTATATACCAATTAGAGTTTTGGGTCCAGCTGCCTGGTAGCAGGTGTGGAGACTACCTGGGGCAAACAAAAGTTTCTCTAGTGGTCTTCCAGGCGTGACGGGTCCTCCGAAAAGCTGGAAATTTAATCTCTCAGTCATGGAACCAGCACTGTCATCTGGCAGCTCCCCTAACTAATTATTGCAACATATTAACAGTGCGAAGTTGGTGCCTCACCCAAGCCTAAAAGAAAATTTGTGACAACGACAATTACTAATGTGATATAATACTGCCAAGTCAGCGCTGGGATGCAAATCCAGATGATTTGACTCCAAAATCCAAACTGTTTACTCTTATATCATCTCATCTCTCCCTAAGCCTGGAAAATGAACAAGGAACATTGCACAGGGGCAAACCCCTCATGTCCTCAAGCCCTTCATGCAGCTTTCCTATGTACTGCTCCCAGAAGGCTTGGTCCTGCTCAAGGAGGGAATTTAGATAATTCCTCCTCCACCAGTCCATCTGACTATGTCCTGCCAAGACAGTTAAGTTCCATAATCCTACTCCCATTTATTATATGCTAGTGGAACATGCCTTCCATTAGTTTCCCAAAGGGATCTATGAATTTAGAGTCCAAAAGCTTACAGAGACTAACACTGCCCACAGTTGAACTGGCTTAAGGTTAAAGTAGATGATTTTCTTGCCAAATACCCAATTGAATTAGTGAAATGTTACAAAAATCACTGTGATTGAGAAAAAGCCTAAAGCTTCTATGGGAGAGAACAATACATTTAAACAACTGCTAAGTTTCTATTCTGGACATGGGTTGGCCTTGGCAGAGAGCAGGGAACAGGCTGGAGGACAAAGAGGTGGCTGCTGTGGAGATGAATCCAGTATCAAGCAGAGAACTAGATACATGGTTTCTGAGAGCTCTATCAAGTCTCAAGTTCCAAGTCATCTGTGCCTCCCTTGAGGCCAACAAAGCTTGGCAAGGAAATTCCAGGCTCATGAAACTATCAGTCACTCAGTCAAGAAAATAAATATATCCATCACCTCCAAAAGTGTCTTGGAACCCTACTGTAATCCTTTCCTGCCATCATTCCCCTTCCTTTCCCACTGTCACCAAGCAACTATTCATCAGCTTTATGTCACTATAAATTTGTTTGCATTTTCTATATTATATGTAAGTGGAATCATATAATGTGTATTCTTTTTTTGCCTTGCTTTCTTCGTTCAGCCTAATTATTTTAAGATTCTTGCCTATTGTATGTGTATCAATAGCGCTTTTCTTATTGTTTAGTAGTATTCCACTGTGTGGATATACCACCAATTGTTTATCCATTCGCCTGTTGATGGGTATTTGGGTTGTTCACACTTTTTGTTATTAAAATAAAGTTTCTGTAAACATTTGTGTAAAAGTCTTTCCGTGGATATATGCTTTCATTTCTCTTGGGTAAATATCTAGGAATTTTGCAATGGCTAAATCTTATGATAGGTGTATGTTTAACGGTTTGAGAAACTGCCAGACCTTTACTTTTTCCAAAGTGGTTGAACCATTTCCCACCATCATTTTATGCTTCACGTTCTCACCAACACTTGCTATACTCAGCCATTTTAATTTTAGACATTTTAATATGTGGGTAGTAGCATCCCAGTGTTTTAATTTGTACTTACCTAATAAGTAATAATGGTTAGCTTTTTCCATGTGTTTATTTGTCGTCTGTATATCTTCTTTGGTGAAGTATCTTCACATTTTTTGTCCATTTTTAAATTGGTTTTTTATTATTGAGAATTGAGATTTCTTTATATATTCTGGCTGCAAGTCCTTTATCAGATGTATGATTTCAAATATTTCCTCTCTGCTTGTGGCTTATATTCTTTCTCTTAACTGTATCATTCAAAGAGCAGGGTTCTTGATTTTGATGAAGCCCAGTGAAATTCACGATGGTTAACAAAGTTTTTGAGTGAACTAATCAGCATAACACTGCCAGCTTATAATGAAAAGGATAGATCGGTACAAAAGGAAAAGAGGTTGTGGGACCCTCAAACTTCTACTGGAAGGAGCCAAGCTGAGAAAACTACTCAGCTGCAAAGGCATGCTACCATTCATGAAAAAGGAAGGGTAACTCAGAGAGCACAATCAAGAGCCTAAAGGACAGAGCCAAGAACCATGGACAATTATTTAAGGAACTTCCAGCATTTGGTTGGCTAGATTTTATAACTGCTACAGACTAGTCACTTTTTTGTGCTTTCCGTATTCCTCCTTCTTGAACAGAAATGTCCATAAAAGTGAGGCTATGCCAGTCCCATCTGCCAGAGAGCAGACAGCGGTAGATAGCCTCTAAAATGGCCTCCAATGACTTCTGCATCCTGATATTTTTTGCCTTTGTATAATCCTCTCTCCTTGTGTGTTAGCTAGACTTAGTGACTTGCTCCAACCAATATAATCCAGCAGAAGTGATGGGATATCACTTCTGAGATTAGGTTACAAAAAGATTTCTGGCTTTCTGGTTCTCTTGCTTTCTCTCAGAGCTCCCACTTTGGTGGAAGCAAGTTGTCATGTTTCAAGTAGTCCTATGGAGAGGCCTATGTGTCAAGGCCTGTGAATAGCCACAGGAGTGAATTTTGAAGCACCATCCTCCCCCAGTTAAGCCTTGATATGACTGTAGACCCAGCCAACACCTTAACTGTAGGCAGAATACTCACAGCATGGAGCATCCTCAGGCTCCAACTCTCTAGGATTGAACAAGCAGGAGAGTGAGTCTGGCTTAGGTTTCCATAGGACTGAGTAAAAAGAGAAAAAAGCCAAGGAAAGAACACCTGATTAGAAGGTAGTTTCAGGATGAACTCTCATGGCCTTCAGAAAGAACAGAATCTGGCATTTTATTTTAGGACAATTGACTGTTTCTGACTCTTATACACATAAGTGCCCGAGGGAGCCTTTTCCAGAAGGCCTTGTTCAGCACGTTGAGAACCTTCTGCAAGGACTGGGCTGCCTGACTGACCACCAAAAAAATCTTCTCCCTCATTCAAACTGGGCTTATAATGATAGTGACACAGATATGTGGCACTTGTTGGATAAAAACCACAGAATTTCTGTCCCTGAAAATTGCAAACTGTTACTCGAAAGTTAAGGACTTTTTTCTGTAATGAGTAACAATTTCAAATAAAAAATTCAAAGTACCTTTAACTGTACTAAGCAATTGGGGCTGGGTGTAGCTTATAATGGGTATGTCCTTATAGCTAAGATTTTAGTGGGTACAGAAACTCAGGAAGCACTACAATTAAACTTCTTTAAGCACATTCTAGAATCCAGATTTGTCATAGAGTCTGCCTGGCTTTATGACTAATTAATCAAATTATCAAAATTTCACTGAGTTCAGTTTTGCAATAACAATTCCTTCCAGATTATTTTTGTTGCTCTTCATTAAGGCTAATATTAAATGCTATTTCTAAACATTTCACACCCGCTGCCTGATGGACCACCTGACATTTGCTCTGTGTTGTTGGCGAGAGTAGGTCTGGAAGTGGTATGTGTGTGTGGCAGGTGAGCTGGGATAGGAAGAACATTTGTGTACAGGTCTTTATGTGGATATACACTTACATTTCTCTTGGATAAATACCTGGGAGTACAGTGGCTGGATCCGATGATAGATGTATGTTTAATTTTTTGAGAAATTACCAAACATTTTTCAAAATGGTTAAACCATTTTACATTCCTACCATTATTGTGCGGGAATGCCAGTTGCTCCACATCCTCACCAACATATGCTAGGGTGTTAATAAGACAACTGAGAAATTTAGTCTTGGAGTAAAAGAGAAGCAATACTAAAAGTTTCCTGCAGAAAGAGAGAATTGCAGTTGAACTCTTGTAACCCTCTCCTGGCCATTGAAATATTATTTTCTGTTCCTTGTGAAAAAGGGATTTCATGAATAATTTGTTTATACAGTATGGAAGTTGCCTTCCCTGATGCTGCAGTGGAGCTCCAATGGCTATCACCAGGGAGTTTTTGTGGATGTGTGTTTCAGAGAAGGAGTGGCCAACATGGGATTAAAATGTGGGATTAAAGGAACCCCTGCATGAGAGAACATGGGGAAGGAGTTGGGAAAGTCAAGGAGTGCCATGAGACCACAATGTAAGTTCATCCTGAGTACAAGAGAGAGGGAAGGAAAGGTGGAAGTATTGTAGACTGCTATGCAGTGTAAGTTTGGCTAGGCCAGCAATGAGTCCTGGAGCTAAAGTTAGCTATGAGATCTCCAGTGTATGGGCCTGCCTTAGTAGCTCTACCACACTCAGTCATTGGTTGGAAGCTCATGATAAGTGTGGCCTCAGCCCTGCACTTAGAAGTCTTAGAGGCATCCTCATAGCTTTGGCAATGGACTTAATAAGGCCAGTGCTGAGTGAGACAATGCACCTGATCCCAGGTACCTGTTATGTACAGAGCATTTTCCCAGGGTACTTAATTGATGCTGTCAATATCCAGCCCATGACCACAGGAACATGCCTAGTCTGCTGCAGGGCAGGACAGAGGTGCTGGGGAGTTAACATCTGTGGAAACAGTCTTCAGCCAATGATGAATGAGAATTGGTGATAAATAGTTCGGTTCCTTGATCATAGGACAAGACATCTTTGAGGTGTGCTGTACATTGTTTACACAGATGACCCTGTGGAATTCAACTCCACTTACTCACCTTCACATAAATAAACCCTATATTGGCTGCTTTCCCCTCCTAGTCTCACTTTTCCACATCTCTACACTGGGATCACTTCCCAAATAAACTATCAGAACTCAAATCCTTTTGTTCCTACCTCTGGGGACCCCAACCTAAGGCAATATTTAATGTTGCCCATGGTCCTGACTCTCAGTAGTAATGTTTGGGAGCTTACTATGTATTACTGCCTTAGAATGAGGGTGGCCTGGAGCCTCCACCCCAGCTTCCAGCCACAGGGCCGACCCTGATCTTTCCTATGGAGAATGAACAGCTCTGGAAGCCTACAGTGCACCTGCGAGGATGCAGTGTAAAGGCAATGGCTTGACACTTGGAAACGAGAGATGTGTCTTGTGATCCTGGCCCCAGTATTGATGAGCTATGGGTTGACCAGGTCATTAAAACTCTATGAGAATTGCTTTATTCATTTATAAAAGGAACTAGGCTAGGTCAGCTTTTCTCATAGTATATTCTTCAGAAATAATGGCTTTTCTAGATGTTTTCTCAAATAGAATCCTTTGCTTAAACAAATGTGGGAAATTTCATGTTTTTTTCTTAAGGCTGAATAGAATTTCATTTTGTGTATATACTACATTTTAAAAATTCATTCTTCCATTGATGGAGAGTCAGGTTGTTTACATATCTTGTCTATTATGAATAATGCTGCAATGAACATGGGAGTGCAGACATCCCTTCAGCTGATTTTCTTTTCTTTAAATATATATCCAGTAGTGGGATTGCTGGATCTTGTGGTAATTCCACTTTTAGTTTTTGGAGAAACCTCCATAACATGTCCCAAAATGGTCATACTAATTTACCTTACCACCAACAGTGCATAAGGGTTCCTTTTGCTCCACATCTTTGCCAACATTTGTTATGATTCCTTGTTTTGAATATAGCCAATCTAACAGGTGTGAGGTGATAGTTCATTGTGGTTTTAATTTGCATTTCTTTGATAGTTAGAGATGTTGAACATTGTTGTCGTATGTCTGTTGGTCATTTGTATGTCTTGTTTTGAGAAATGTCCATTCAAGTTCTTTGCCCATAGAACATTATATTAAATGAAATAAGCCAGGCACAGAGAGGCAAAGACCATATATGTGGTCTCAGTTATATATGGAATCTAAAAAAAGCTGAATTCAAAGAAACAGAGAGTAGAATGGTGGTTACCAGAGGCAGATGAGGGAAGTGGGGGTGGATGGGAAAAGGGGAGACATTGGTCAACAAGTATGGAACTTCAGTTAGACAAGAGGAATAAGTTCTGGTGTTCTGTTGCACAGTTAATAATAATGTATTATGTATTTCAAAATGGCTAAAGGAGGATTTTCAATGTTTTCATCACAAAGAAATGACAAATATTTGAGGTGATGAATATGTAATTATTCTGATTTGATCATGCCACAATGTATACATGTATTGAAATATCCCTTTGAACCCCATACATATATACAATTGTTATCTGCCAATTTAAAATAAACAAAAAATGTGGAAAATGCTCCTTATCAAAGCCTCTTCTTATAGATTTACAACACACACATGCATACTAAAGACTAGGAGAAATCTTGTACTAAAGAAAGCTTAACATTTTTTAACCCTGTGTTGCCCAGGTTTTTTTTGATCACAGAATTCCTTTTAGTCAAAATACCTATTAATATCCTGCAGAATTTCTGTTCAGAAGAAGGGTATTACTGTACTGATTACCAAAGATCTTCCCAGGATTGGCATTTGAGTGAATAGAATGCTTGTAAATAGAGGTCTGAGCAGAATTCATGGGAAGTCACAAAGGAGGGATTCGTTCGAACTGGGGATTCAGGGAAGAGGTGGCATTTGAGCCGCGTCTTGAGGGATAGGAAGGCTTTCAACAAATTAAGAAAAGGAAATAGAAAATTCCAGGAAGAGGTAACATGTATGCCATGTTAAGGAAAGTTTAGTGTGCTAGAATGTGAATTTGTTGGAGAATAGTTGTGAAACAAGACTGAGAACAAAGCTTGAGGCCAGATGTCATGGGTGTACTTTGTCATTCTGTCTTTCTCAGCACTGTTCTTCTCCTGATACCATCAAGGAGGCTTTGGTCACTTTGTATAAATGATGGGGCAGGGAGATAAAATGTCAGGAAGAAGCATCGCAAGAGCAGTGGTTCTCAGTGGAGATGGGAGGATCTATGCTCTCCTTCTCCACTTTAACCAGTATAGATAGAGGTGTGGTGTCTGCCTGTTTTTTGGGTTCTGCTTTTACTAGTGTTTCAAGTTGCTATGGTTTGAATGTTTGTGTCTCTCAAAAATTCATACATAGAAACCCCAATCTCCAATGTGATGGTGTTTGGAGATGAGGGCTTTAGAAGACAGGATGGAGACCTCATAATGGGATTAGTGCCCTTATAACAAGAGAGTCCAGGGAACTAGCTTTCCCTCTCTTTCTGCTCTCTACCATGTGAGGACACAAGAGAAGATGGCCATCTGCAAACTAGGAAGAGGGCCTTCACCAGAAGTCAACTATGCTGGCACTCTGACCTTGGACTTTTCAGCTTCCAAACTATAAGAAATACATTTCTGATGTGTAAGTCATGCAGTCTATGGTATTTTATTATAGCATCCCAGGCCGACTGAGACACAAACCTTGAGTTTTCAGAAACTTAGCGCACATCTCGTGTCTTTGCCTGCCTCTAATCCACTCCCTCCTATCCTAACAATAACCTTTCCATTTTCCTTGGGGACACCTGTTACCCAACCCTCAAACCATGTGATTTACTCCATTCTTCAACTGCTGGGTGGTCATATGATCCAGTCCTGGCCTATCAGCATGTTTTATTTAGGGATGAGAATATAAACCAAGTTAGCCTAAAGGGGCTCAGTTATGGGACCTTAACTGATTTTTAAATGATTGGGGACAACAAGCTCCTTGTCAGTCCCCAGAATGTGAAGGTGAGGCTAGAGATGCTGTAGCTTCTATCTGGAGACAACAGCCAAAAAGAGAAGTCAGCACACAGTTGAGAAGCAAGGGGAGCAGAGGAGAGGCTGAGTCCTGTACCTGGACCAATCAAATATACCTAAGCTAATTAAACATTTATTTTTTACCTGAAAACTCCATGGCTAATAAAAGAGGTGCGTGAATATTAAAATTTTTGCTTCCTTTTGGTTTGTTTGTTTTGTTTTGTTTAGAGACAGGGTCTTGCTTTGTCACCCAAGCTGTACTTCAGTGGCATAATTACAGCTCCCTGTAACTTCAAATGCCTGGGCTCAAGGGATCCTCCCACCTCAGCCTCCCAAGTAGCTAGGACTACAGGCGCATGCCACCACACCCAGACAATTTTTAAAAGTTTTTGTAGAGAAGGTCTCCCTAGGTTTCCCAGGCTGGTCTTGAACTCTTGGGTTCAAGCAATCCTCCTGTCTTGGCCTCCCAAAGCATTGGGATAACAGGCGTGAGCCATCACTCTGGGCTTGAATTTTGCTCTTGATGAAGACTGATCTCTGTTTTAATGAGGTGTAAACATGAAGCAACTTCTCAGAGTTCTTCAAGTAACTAGGGAGTTGTTGTAACTCCAATCAGAGTTCAGCGAGGATCTCAAAGTTAAAAGAGAGACAAATAAAAAGATAAAATGGGGGTGGCATGGAGAAAGAGAGGAAGGTGGGTGGGGGAAGAGAGGGAAGGAAAAGAGAGGAACATTTCTGATAGGACAGCTTTTCACTGTGTAGGATATTAAGTCCTAAAAATCAGTACTTTCACCCTTTTTGATCATTCTCTGCTTGGCTGTTAAAGCAAGATCATTCCATCTGATTTACAAAACTGTAGCTCTGTTAAAAGGCCAGGAAAAAATGAAGACCCGATATCTTCTCCTGAGATGATTTCTTCTCTTTGTTCTTCATTAAGCCTCTCTCCTTTATTCACTCTTCTTCCCTTGTTTTTTTATTGATATTGTTTACTGTGTGACTCACACCTTCAACCTTTATCACAAATCAAATCTATTAGGAGTTTGGAAGGCATCCCCACCAATGGAGAGGCCCTGGCTATTTTTTTTTTAACTTAGCAGTATTCTACTGGATTTTACAGCTATTGATTTCATAGTCCACTCTGGATTTTACTACAACAGCACACTAATTTTCCATCCTGTCGAAAGAGAATTTGACGCTTTACCCTGGATCATTTCACATTTCTTACCTGGGAGACATTGGAACACAAGAAGATTCAGCCTTGATTGTAGCAAGTGTGTGTGCACATGCCTGTGAGTTTGCATGCTTGTACTCACACGTGCCTACACAGACCTTGTGTTTGTGTGATCATTTAATTTTCTCTCAGTATAAACAAAGGTGACTGAACTATTTCAGCCATAAGATTTATCTCTTGATAGAGTCTGGCAAGACCCTTCACAACACTTTTTAAAGGAGTTGTTCCATAACATTATTAGGTGATTGAAATGCAACTGACTACATTAAAAAATACAGTTCTCCACCACATAATGATGTTTTGGTCAATGGCGAACCACATATATGATGTTGGCCTCATAAGACTATAATACTGTAATTTTACTGTACTTTTTCTATGTTTAGCTATGTTTAGATACACAAATACTTAACATTGTATTCATTTCACATTTCACATTTCTTATCTGGGAGACATTGGAACATAAGAAAATTCAACCTTGATTGTAGCAAGAGTGTGTGCACATGCCTGTGAGTTTGCATGCTTGTACTCACACGTGCCTACACAGACCTTGTGTTTGTGTGATCATTTAATTTTCTCTCAGTATAAACAAAGGTGACTGAACTGTTTCAGCCATAAGATTTATCTCTTGAAAGAGTCTGGCAAGACCCTTCACAACACTTTTTAAAGGAGTTGTTCCATAACATTATTAGGTGATTGAAATGCAACTGACTACATTAAAAAATACAGTTCTCCACCACATAACGATGTTTTGGTCAACGGCAAACCACATATATGATGCTGGCCTTGTAAGAGTATAATACTATAATTTTACTGTACTTTTTCTATGTTTAGCTATGTTTAGATACACAAATACTTACCATTGTGTTACAATTGCCTGCAGTATTTAGTACAGTAACGTGCTGTACAGGTTTGTAGCCTAGGGGCAATAGGCTTTACCATAGAGCTTAAGTGTGTAGTAGGCTAAACCATCTAGGTTTGCATAAGTGCACTTTATGATGTTCACACAGTGACAAAAATTGCTTAATGATGCATTGCTCAGAATGCATCACTGTTGGCAAGTGATACATGACTGTATCATGTTAGAATCTAAGGTTTCCCAGCTCAGACTTCTTCAGTTCTCTTAAGTCCACAATGCTCTCTGGTAATGTGAGTTGAGGAGCAGCTGGAGGCCGGACTTCTCCAGGGCTCCTTTCCTGTTTCTGACAATGCATGGAAGACACGTTCTGGCTGGCAGCTAGCTAATCATCCATGACCTTCAGCATCTAACTGCCTGGATTATGGATTAAAATTTTTATAATTTAACATCTGATCCCAAAATGTTTGTCTTTCCTTCTCCAGAGCCTCCATGATGGTCCCTCTCTTTATCTCTCTCAAGGTCCAAATGGAGTAGATTTTATCAGAGCACCTTGGCTCACATGTCTGGCAGGTCCCTCTTCAGCTTCCTATCACTTTCTGGATTATAACTTAACTCCTTAGCAGGACACTTGAGGCCTTCTTGTACCTGGCCCTTACTGTGTCTCCAACCTCTTCTCACCCCCCTCATCCTGGAACTCAGCCATGCCAGACTCTGTGCAAGGTCATACATTTCAGGCTGCTTCATACTCTAGTCTCCAGTCACCTGGGGACTTCCTTCTCATCTTTCAGAATACCTGGCATGAAGCCCTTTTTGACCCCACTCAGGTGTATTGGCTAACCTCTCCTCTGTGTGAACAGATTTTCACAGCAACTGTGACTATCTAGTTTAATTAATTAAACAACTAATTAAAGTACAGGGATCTCTTTCTCTAAACAGTCAGCTCCCATGAAGGGCTATATCTCGTTTACCTCTCTATCTCCAACACTTAGCACAATACCTGAACCATAGAGGAGCTCGGAACATATTTGTTGAATAAAAGAATGGAGCAGAGAAATAATACTCTTGATAGTTCATGTTAGAAAGAAATCACCATGATAATGTTCTATGTCTCAACAGGGATTTTCCTTTTACAGGCATGTATATTTGCTAAAACTCATTGAATAGTACACTTAAAATTCATGCAATCCACTCTATGTGAATTTTGCCTAGGGAAAAAATACTATAATCGAACCCTGAACTCTAATTAATGACAAGCAGGATGATATGCTTAAGAGTAAAGTATACTGAGGTCTGCAACTTACCTTAAAATGTACTAAAAAATAAGATGGCTTGATGAAAGGATAGAAGGATAGATAAATGGATAGCAAATATAGCAAACTGTTAGTTGTAGAATCTGCATGGTGGGTGTATGGGTGTACACTCCACAATTCTTGCAACTTGTCTATATGTTTGAAAAAGTTCATAATAAAATGTTGGAAATAAGAAGTCACCAAAGGATGTATTTATTGCCTATAGAATTGAGACACTCAGGGATCAGTTCTGGAGCAACTCAAACCCTTACAGATTGGTCCATGGCAATTCCTCTAAAATTCTCCATGTACAGCGCTTCCTTACCACCTGAGATTCCCAGCAGCCACTCAGTCTCCTATCCTCAAAGCTTGCTCTCTGTCATTCTCGGCTTCTGATCCTGCCTTCTTGGTCCCTCCCTTATTCCTGCTTTCTTTGTAGGGAGCAGCCGCACAGAAAGGACTATGGACACATCTTGTTCCTCTGCTGAGACAGCTTCTTAGTTCTTTGCTTTTTTTTTAAATTGAAAATCTATTCAGGCGGCTCTTGTCCTTTTTCTTCTCAGAGAGTTGAGGAGGGAGACGGAGCTAAGTACAAAACATTCAAAGCTCTGTACTGAAATTACAAAGGGGAAAACTGGGATACTCCCACATGAAAATGTTTACCAAAGGGAATGAATTACTTCTTTCCCTTCAAATACAGAAGAGAAGAAACTGAAGACGACAAATGTTTTCTTTGGAAAAGGAATATGGTTTCTTTTACTGTGATTTTCTCTTCCTCATATTTTATTATTGGCAGAAAATACTATTATAAAAAAAGAGTACCCGCACCCCCTCCCCTAAAACACATGAAATACATGAATTCAGCTGTCTTTGGGCAAGAATATTTAGAAAACAAAATTAGGTAGCAACAGAATGCATCCTTTCCATGCCTATAAACCTCAAGTAAGCACTCTTTTAGCTTCCAGTTGGTATTTAATCAGCATACCATAACTTTTATGGGGCTGAAATGAAATGCTTCTGAGACACTAAATTTCAAGTGCTGCTGTAAACTTTGGTCATCTGAGTTTGATTTACATATGATGGCCCCATCCGCTGTGATGATGGGGATAATGACTATTGTTGGAGTTGATCATCTGGGAAAATACACACACATAGACATACACGCCACTGTAGTCTTCATCTGCTTGGTATCTTTAGCATATTAGACAGACAGGAAGTAGCAAAGATGAATCACAACTTCAATCTATCAAAAATAAGCATAAGTTACATGAATTTTAAGGTGACAACAGTGTATCAGTTAGGAAGCTTCTATTGGAAAGTAACACATGAGCTTAAATAACAAAGAAAATTTATTAATTCATGTAACTAAAAAGTCTAGGCTTAGGTAAAGCCTAATCCAACAGTTCATGAATCATCAGGATCCTGGCTTAATTTCTTTGTAATTCTCTAGGTTTTGGCTTCATTCTCAAGCTGATTTTCCTCATCGTAGTAAAATGTCTGGAGGAGTATTAGAGTTCCTATTTCCAGAGCAGGAGAGAGAGCCCTTGACCCAGCAATTCCGACAAAAGTCTTGAGATTTATTTTGATTGGGCTTCTTGAGGTTGTATAATGCACCAGGTAATGAATCACTGTGGTCCTGTGGCCAGGTGGGTGGAATGTGCTGATTTGTGTAGCCTAAGTCATGAACCCTGGGGCCAGAGAGTGAAGTGAGCTTCCTTGGAACCACATAGATCCCCATATGGACTCCCATATGCAAATGGGGCTTGTAGAGAAGACAGAGGTGCTGGGGAAGTTTGCACTACATATATAGTGATATATATATGCCTACTAAAAATCATCAACTTCCTTCCTGTGACTTCACTGAAGTCAAGTTTCTACAATGAAAATCAAATAATAAATAACAGACATTATTTTCTCTTCTATGCAAAGACAAAAATCAAATACGTTGAAGATATGAAAAGACTTATTAGAAACAGGCAGTGTTTTTTTATTCCAATTGAACAGACTGGTACCTTCTTTATTTCTATTTATCTTACTAAAATGACATTATGTGTATCTATTCTATCTCCGTTGATTCATTTGTCATTAACAACTTCCCAGGTCAGTGTGTACAGAAAGGAGTAATATAGGAATGATGGGGGGTAGCATATATGGTGAGGGAGGAGCATTTAATATGTTCCAAAGTGTAGGGGAAGGGAACTAACATTTACTGAGTACACACAGCAGCAGGTCAGCTAGACCGTTATAACTATTGTTGCTTTTTTTTTTTTTAACGAGAAAATACTAAAAGTGAAGAATTGAAGCTGGAAGAGAAAGAAATGTGCTGCAAAAGGTAAAAATGTTCAGGGAAAAGATAAGGGAAGAGAAAATCCTCTACCCAGAAGAAGATGGAGATAGGATTAGAACAGGATTCAAAAAATATGTGGTTAGTTTGGACTCTTCCTTTATTTGTGGGGTTTCCATACTGTAAACTCCATAAAAAGCAGAGCAATGTTGTGAAAACATCATTGAGTTGGAAACTAGGACACCTGAGTCAACCATGCCCCGGCCACTGCTACATGTGTGACCTTGAACAGGATGCTTAACCTCTTCTCTTTGCAAGACAATATTTCTTTGTGATTTTGAGTTCCTGAAGGTGAAAACATAATCCAGAGAATGAGGATGAGAACTGAAGAAATTAAGAGTTACTACTCAGAAGGGGTGGACACTCAGTAACAAAATTTGGCTGAATAAATGACCAATGAGTTGGACGTTTCTTTTGATCTATTAATATTTATCAATCATCTATTTATTGATTTATTTGTGTATCTACCTATGTATCATCTATATTCTTTATTGAATTTTGCAACAGTTGAGGATGCATGTAGAAACCTGTATAATAAAATAATGAAATATAAATGTAAAAATTTGGAGCTCTTAGAAACTTGATATAGGTTTGTGAGCCAAAAGACCAAACTCAGTTCCCATAATTGAGCTGTAAGTTTGGCTCTGAGCTTTCCAGAAGGTGAAGGAAAAAAGGAAAAAATAACTTGCTTAAAAATTTTTAATAACCATAAGCATTACAAATACTAGTTCCTTAGAAGGGGAAACCAAACTTTTTATAGAAATTAGTTCTAAAAGGAAATTTCTCACATGGGGTGAGGGAAGCATGTTAAATGAAGGGACTGCAGCCCAACGCAATGAAAGACAATAGCCAAAGAACAGTGTAAATGCTGTATTTTTTACAAAATTTAGCTCAGGTTAGTACAGAAACTAAGAGCACATTAAAGATACAGTAACATGAAGTGACAATGGGCTGACATTGACAGAAAATAAGTCTTTCTAGAGAGAATTCCCAAGTTGGAGAAATGGTTAGAGTTTTGGAGGCACTTGTGATGAAGTAATTTGTGAAATGAGGAGTGCTGCTGGCTGCTGATAAGCACAACTGGGTATCCATCCTGTCTCAAAGGCCAAGGCTAGGAAGATACATCTTCAGCCCACCTCTCTCCTCTCTACTTACAACCACATTTGCTGCAAGCAGTCCCATGTACCAGGCCTGGGTGAGCCTCAGGTTAGCCTCTTGGCAGCCTAATCACAGCTAGACTGGATCCAGACAGTGGCATACAGGGAGGTATCTGGCCTAGAGTTGACCTTGGTATTGGCATGTTTTCTAGATTGGGCAAGATAAATTGGTTCCTTGAGGAGCTTGTTGCCTTGAGGGGAGCTGAGAAGCAGCTGTGGTAACAAGAGTAGAAAATCATCCTCACAGACTTCTCTCTAAATGGGCCCACACTGTCCCCACTGAGAGTGAGTGAGAAGACTTCCTCAAGGGGTGCTTTGGTGACCCAAGTGAAGGACCCTGAGTCATGTTTTGGGCCATGGCATTGAAGAAGCAGTACTTCTAGGCAAGAGTAGTGACTGCAGTGGTGGTTAGTGCCATCTCTAATGGGAAGGCCAATCTCAGCAGACATATGGGAAGGGCTGTGAGGTGCAGCCACATTACCCCTGAGATCTTTCCTCCATTATCAACCCTGGACAAATGAAAGTTGGGCTTGTTAAGGGAGTTGGCAGAATCTCCCATAACATAAGTGAAGCCGACTCTCAAGTTGGTGGTACATATGGAAGAGAGATTACAACATATGTTGCATTCAAGGAATGGAAACCTGTACAAATGTTAGAATGCATAAGGAATGTCCTGGGCTCTGACTGATAAATTAGCAACTTCACTCTCTTGGGAAAGTCCTAAGAAGGAGGTAAAAAGAGGTACTCTAACATTGAAAGAGGAAAATGAACGTTTTCCTCTTCCTACAGAAGTGTCTACAACTTGATCAGGTATTTATTCAGATGCATTAAGTTATGAAGAAATAACCACACTCTGACACATCCACAAGTATGTTCTTTGTGTGTGTGGAGTATTGGAGTGAGCAAAAAGAGTGGACTCTTGATAAAAATTAGGAAGTAGCCTAACAGTTATATAATATTCTGCAATTTCATGTAGCAGTAGAACTGGAAGTGGAATGATTCTGCTGTATAATCATATGTGATTTCAATTGTCATTAGATTTTTCATATGTATTTAATTTTCTCAGATTGAAAGTGTGTGGAGGACAGGAACTGTGTATTTGGTAGAGTAAGTATTCAAAGGAAGTTAGATTTCAATATTTCCTTATGTTTTCCCTAGACTGGTGTTATGTAAAATTGAACCTCGATGACTATATTTTTAAAATGGATTTTCAATAATATTACCATCTTTTGGTTAACTTCGTGTTAGTGTTAATTTTCCTTTTTTTTGTTCATCTGGTAACTTTACATTTTTTCTTTTCTTTTAAATTGATACATTATAATTGTATGTATTTATGGGGTACAATTTGGTGTTTTCATACATATATGTGCTATATAATAATCAAATCAGGGTAGAGTATCCATCACCTCATGTAGGTATTATTTCTTTGTGGTGAGAACATTAAAAAACCCCTCTTCCAGCTGTTTTGTAATATACAGTGCCTTACTGTTAACCATAGTTACCCTATTGTGCAATAGAAAACTAGAATTTATTTCTCCTATGTAATTGTAACTTTGTACCCATTGACCAATCTGTCTCTGTCATCCTCTTACCTCCCTCCTCCTCATCTCTGGTAACTGCTGTTCTACTCTCTGCTTCTATGACACCAACGTTTTCTTTCTGAAGATTCTACATATGAGTGAGATCATGTGGTATTTGTCTTTCTGTGTCTGGCTTATTTCACTTAACATGATTTCCTCCAGTTTCATCCATGTGATTGCAAATGACAAGATTTTATTATTTTTATGGCTGAATAATATTCCATTGTGTGTGTGTGTGTATATATATATATATAGAGAGAGAGAGAGAGAAAGAGAGAGAGAGATAGTATGTGTATAGACACACACACACACACACACACTACTTTTTTTCTGTCCATTTATCTATTTTTGGATGTGTACGAGGATTCAATATCATATATATCCAGTAGTGGGATTGCTGCATAATATGGTAGATCTACTTTTATTTTTTTGAGGAACCTCCATATTGTTTTCCATAGTTGCTGTACTAATTTACATTCCCATCAACAGTGTACAACTGGTCTCCCCAGGGAGGTGGGGCTGCTGCTGGGACTAGCTATTTGGCCAGGTGTGGATGTGTATAGGCTTGGCAGGCTGGCTGGCTTCCTTCCAGTACCTTCCTCACTGTGCTGGTCCACCTATTCCTTGGTTGGGGTGGAGGAGTGCCACATGAGTCACATGGGTTTGGACTCTGAGATCTTGGTTGTTCATCAGGCCTAAGCTCCAGGCAGCTGGGGTAGTGGTACTGCAGACATTCGCATTAAAGGGGTGGAATGATGGCAGAGCCTCACGGATATAAAGAGTCAGTGGTTACTGGCCCCAAGAGCAGTACACATTCTAGGAGTGGGTCTGGTTTCAAGATGTCACTGTGCTATAGAAGCTTAAGTCATGGGAATAAGGGTGAAAGGGTAAGGGTTCTACTCTGAGGCCACGCACCTAAATGAACCCTTGGCAATTCTCCAAACTAAATTTGGGGCCGGAGAAAACTAGGAAACTCTCCTGTAGCAAGGACTGCTTTTGTCTGTGGAGGTGATAGGAACTGCTGGTGGTCTCCAGCTTGCCTTTGCCCCCATAAGAGGAAGAATGCCAGACCCCAAGGTGATCCCAGTAAGGGAGAAAATGTGGCAGAGGCAGGATAACTTGCTCTTTTTTCTATGGTGCTATCCTGGGCTTCCATGTTCCACAGGAATTTCACTACCCCCCTGTGCTCTCCAGCATACTTTCTCAGTCACTGTAGTTGAAATATGGTTGTTTATTTGTTATTTTGATCCCTCTTCATTGGGTGGGGGATGAGCACTGGGCAACTCTAGTAAGTCATCTTGCTGATGTCACTTTTAATGTTAATTTGTGGTGTTTAGCTTTTTCAATCATGATAACCATTGGCTTTTCATGTAGAAATATATCAATGCATTAATGTTATATAGTGTATATTTGTTACTATTTGGTAGAGGGAAAACTTAAGTTATCATAATCTTTTGTTCATTGGTATAAAGAACAAACTCAAAATAAAAAAGGTAGAGCCATACATTGGTTGACAAACACAATAGGACTTGGGAATCTTTATAAAAATAGGTAATGTAGAAAAATTTTCATAATAATTAGTTTCATTTTTTCTAAGTGGCTGGCACTCTATATGCACTACTTTATTTAACACAATAACTCTTTATAGAACATAGCATAATTCTTATTCTAAAATATGAAAATAGAGAGTGACATCAGCAAGATGGTAGAAATAGGAGGTCACCCACTCATATCCCCTACAACAAAAAAAGTTTTGCACCTGTTCACAGATAAAAAGCTCTTTGTGGGAGTCTCAGATTCAGGAAAGAGGTTATGAAACCTGAGTGGAGCCCAAACTTAGGAGGGTAATTTTGAGAGTGCAGACAGGCATCCAGGTGGCTGATCAACTGATTGTACTCCCAGGTTTATGCACAGAAATGGCCCTGTTCCTGGAGGGGCTTGGCTACAGCCCCATTTGGCCTTGAGTCTGCAACCAAAACCATCTACCAAGAAGTCTAGGAAGAATTGTGCATATTAGTGCCATGGCAGAGAGGCTGGTCTGCTTGCTGACATCAGTCTCAGCTGTGGACCTGAAAATTTCCCTGTGGTTTGGCTTCAGCACCCCTCAGCTGAAGTCTCAGCTCAGAACTGCTCACACAAGTCCCTAGATGGAGACTTACCCAAATCTTATAGCCTGGGATTCTGAGCCTCTGTGATGGGCTCATCAATGTCCATCCCACAGCAGATTCTCATGAGGCTCAGTCTCAGGTTTGGCCTTTCCTATTACAACAGTTGGGATACTATCCCATGTGCAGTGACCTGGTGGGAGGTGTGTACCCATTTGAGCCAGCAAGACAGGCTTACCAGCCACCATCCACAGCAGATCCTGAGGGGTCCAGTCTCAGCTCTAGCTCCACTTGCTGCAGTAAGGAACCTATCCTACCTGTGCAGAAACCTGCTGGGAGGTGTGCCTATCTGGGCAACCATGACAGTCTCCCAGGCTTGAGTCCTTGGCCAGCTTTCCTTGGCCAGCTTTCCCATACAGTATGGGTACTTTTCTTGAGTCTTTCCCACGTACATCTGTGCTGGAGAGCCATGCCAACATCAGAGACCTCATGAGACTCATGGAAAACCTGGGCTTAGAATAACCACCAGTGCTGAGATGGCTGCAGGAGCCATTGACGCAGGGAACACAACAGTGTACTTAGAATTTGTAGAAGGTCTTTTGAAGAAAGATGGGCACAAAGAAATCCAGACTGTAAAGACTGGAATAAATACTGAATCCTTCAATACAGAGACATTACCATACACCCACAAGCACTAAGAACATTTGGGGAAATATCACCTCACCAAATGGACCAAATAAGTCACCAGAGACCAACCCTAAAGTGATGGAGATGTATGACCTCTCAGGCAAAAAACTCAGAATAGCTGTTTTAAAGGAGTTTAATAAACTTCAAGAGAACACTTTGAAATAATTCAGAAATGTATTAGAGAAATTTAACAGAGACATTGAGATAATAAAAATTCAAACAGAAATCCTGCAACTAAAAAATTTAATGACTAAAATAAAAAATGCAACAAAGCATCAACAGCAGAATTGCTCAAGCAGAAGAAAGAATCAATGCACTCAAAGACAAACTATAGTATTGTAAAAAATACAAAGTCAGAGGAGAAAAAAGAATAAAAGGATGGAAGAAAGTTTATGGGATCTATAGGACAACATCAAAAGAGAGAATACTTGGGTCGTTGTAGTTAAAAGGGGAAGTGGGAAGGACAAAGGGTTAGAGAGCTAATTCAAAGAAATAATAGCAGAATACTTTCCAAACCTGGAGAAAGATATAAATTTTCAAGTGTAGGAAGGTCAAACATCACCAATCACATTCAAGTTTAAAACCTAAGAATCAATATCGTGAAAATGGCCATACTGCCCAAGGTAACTCATAGATTCAATGCCATCCCCATCAAGCTACTAATGACTTTCTTCACAGAATTGGAAAAAACTACTTTAAAGTTCATATGGAACCAAAAAAGAGCCCACATTGCCAAGTCAATCCTAAGCCAAAAGAACAAAGCTGGAGGCATCACGCTACCTGACTTCAAACTATACTACAAGGCTACAGTAACCAAAACAGCATGGTACTGTTACCAAAACAGAGACGTAGACCAATGGAACAGAACAGAGCCCTCAGAAATAACGCCACATATCTACAACTATCTGAGCTTTGACAAACCTGACAAAAACAAGCAATGGGGAAAGGATTCCCTATTTAATAAATGGTGCTGGGAAAACTGGCTAGCCATATATAGAAAGCTGAAACTGGATCCCTTCCTTACACCTTATACAAAAATTAGTTCAAGATGGATTAAAGACTTAAATGTTAGACTTAAAACCATAAAAACCCTAGAAGAAAACCTAGGCCATACCATTCAGGACATAGGCATGGGCAAGGACTTCATGTCTAAAACACCAAAAGCAATGGCAACAAAAGCCAAAATTGACAAATGGGATCCAATTAAACTGAAGAGCTTCTGCACAGCAAAAGAAACTACCATCAGAGTGAACAGGCAACCTACAGAATGGGAGAAAATTTTTGCAATCTACTCATCTGACAAAGGGCTAATATCCAGAATCTACAATGAACACAAACAAATTTACAAGAAAAAAACAAACAACCCCATCAAAAAGTGGGTGAAGGATATGAACAGACACTTCTCAAAAGAAGACATTTATGCAGCCAAAAAACACATGAAAAAATGCTCATCATCACTGGCCATCAGAGAAATGCAAATCAAAACCACAATGAGATACCATCTCACACAAGTTAGAATGGCAATCATTAAGAAGTCAGGAAACAACAGGTGCTGGAGAGGATGTGGAGAAATAGGAACGCTTTTACACTGTTGGTGGGACTGTAAACTAGTTCAACCATTGTGGAAGTCAGTGTGGCGATTCCTCAGGGATGTAGAACTAGAAATACCATTTGACCCAGCCATCCCATTACTGGATATATACCCAAAGGACTATAAATCATGCGGCTATAAAGACACATGCACACGTATGTTTATTGCGGCAGTATTCACAATAGCAAAGACTCGGAACCAACCCATATGTCCAACAGTGATAGACTGGATTAAGAAAATGTGGCACATATACACCATGGAATACTATGCAGCCATAAAAAATGATGAGTTCATGTCCTTTGTAGGGACATGAATGAAATTAGAAATCCTCATTCTCAGTAAACTATCACAAGAACAAAAAACCAAACACCGCATATTCTCACTCATAGGTGGCAATTGAACAATGAGAACACATGGACACAGGAAAGGGAACATCACACTCTGGGGACTGTTGTGGGGTGGAGGTAGGCGGGAGGGATAGCTTTAGGAGATATACCTAATGCTAAATGACGAGTTAATGTGTGCAGCACACCAGCATGGCACATGTATACATATGTAACTAACCTGCACATTGTGCACATGTATACATATGTAACTAACCTGCACATTGTGCACATGTACCGTAAAACTTAAAGTATAATAAAAAAAATTTACAAACTGCTTAACACAAACTTTTTTTTGAGAAAAATAAAACATACTGTGTATTTCCTTGCTGTTTTAAAAAAAATGTGGCACATATACACCACGGAATACTCTGCAGCCATAAAAAAGGATGAGTTCATGTCCTTTGTAGGGACATGGATGAAACTTGAAACCATCATTCTCAGCAAACTATCACAAGGACAAAAAACCAAACACTGCATGTTCTCACTCATAGGTGGGAATTGAACAATGAGAACACACAGACACAGGAAGGGGAACATCACACACCGGGGGCCTGTTGTGGGGTTGGGGGAGGGGGGAGGGATAGCATTAGCAGATATACCTAATGTTAAATGACGAATTAATGGGTGCAGCACACCAACATGGCACATGTATACATATGTAACAAACCTGCACGTTGTGCACATGTACCCTAAAATTTAAAGTATAAAAAAAAGAACACCTCGACATGTTATAATCAAACTCTCAAAATTCAAAGACAGAGAGGATCCTGAAAGCAGTGAGAGAGAAGAAGCAAATGGCATACAAGGGAGATCCAATACACCTTGCAGCAGACTTCTCAGCAGAAACTTTGCAGCCAGGAGGAAGTGGGACAATATATTTACAGTGCCGAGGAAAAAAAGCCCTGCTAACAAAGAATACTGTACCTCACATATATATGCTTCAGAAATGAAGGAGAGACAAGAATTTTCCAGGCAAACAAAAGCAGAGGAAATTCATTGCTACAAGACATGTACTAGGAATTCTAGCTAGAACTTTTAGGTAAGGGAAAGAAATAAAGGGCTTTCAGATTAGAAAGGAGAAAGTAAAATTGTTTGTGTTTGCAGACGACGTGATTTTATATACAGAAAACCCTACAGACTCCACCAAAAACATTTTAGGACTAACAAACAAATTCAGTGAAGTTGCAAGACACAAAATCAACATACAAGAGTCAGTAGTATTTCAATGCATCAATGATGAACTATTTGAAAACACAACCAAGAAAGCAATTCTATTTACAATAGCTATGAAAACAAAATACCTAAAAATAAATTTTGCCAGGGACTTGAAAGATCTCTACAATGAAAACTCAAAATTAAAAAAATCTGATGAAAAAACTGAAGAAGACACTAATAAATTGAAAGATATTCATGTTCCTAGATTGAAAGAATTAATACTGGTAAAATGTTCTTACTACCCAAAGCCATATACAGGTTCGGTGCAATCCCTATCAAAATGCCAATCACATTTTACAGAAATATAAAATAAAACAATTCTAAAATTCATATGAAACCACAAAAGACCCCAAATAGCCAAAGCAATCTTAAGGAAAGAGCACAAAGCCTGAGGTATCACACTTCCTGGCTTTAAAATATACTACAGAGCAATAGAAACCAAAACAGCATGGTAATGGCATAAAAACAGACACACGGACCAACGGAATGGAATAGATAACCCAGAAATAAATATATATATTACAATCAACTTCTTTTTGACCCAGGTGCCAAGAGCACATATTGGGTAAAGGATAGTCTTTTTAATAAATTGTGCAGGGAAAACTGGATATTCACACGCAAAAGAATGAAACTAGACCCCTATCTCTCACCATTTACAAAAATCAACTCGAGTTGATTAAAAACTTAAATGTAAGACCCCAAACTATGAAATTACTAGAAGAAAACATAGAGGAAACACTTCTAACATCAGTCTGGGCAAGGATTTTTTTGAATAAGGTCTAAAAGACAAAGGCAACAAAACTAAAAATAGACAAATAGAATTATGTCAAACTAAACAGCTTTTGTACCACAAAGGAAGCCATCAACAGAATGCAAAGATAGCCTACAGAATGGGAGAAAATATTTGTGAACTATGCATCTGAGAAGGGGCTAATATCCGGAATATATAAGGAACTCAAACAACTCAATAGCGACAAACAAACAAACAAACAAGCAAACAAAACCCCCCAAATAATCTGATTTTAAAATGAACAAAAAATCTGAATAGACACTTCTCAAAAGAAGACCAACAGGTATATGTAAAAATGCTCAACATCACTAGTCATCGTGGAAGTGCAAATCAAAACCACAATGAGATGTTATCTTTCTCCAGTTGGAATGGCTGTTATCAAAAAGACAAAAAATAATAATAAATGCTGGCAAGGATGGGGAACTCTTATACACTGTTTCTAGGAATGTAAATTAATCCAGCCATTATGGACAACAGGATGGAAGATCCTAAAAAAATAAAAAATAGAACTACCATAAGATCCAGCATCCCACTACTTGATACATATCTAAAGGAAATGAAATCAGTATGTCAAAAAGTTTTCTGTACTCTCATGTTTATTACAGCATTAGTGACAGTAGCCAAGGTATGGAATCATTCTAAGTGTCCAAAAATGGATGAATGCATAAAAATGTGGTACATACTTAATGGAATACTATTCAGTCGTAAACAAGTTAGATAGGAGGAGTAATTTCTGGTGTTCTATTGTACAGCAGGGTGACTATAGTTAACAATAATATATTGTATATTACAAACTTGTTAGGAGAGAGGCTTTTGGATGTTCTCACCACAAACAGATGACAAGTATTTGAGGTGCTAGATATGCTAATTACCCTGATTTGATCATTACACAAGGTATACATGTATTAAAATATCACACCATACCACATAAATATGTACAGTTATTATGTATCAATTAAAAACAACACAAAACTTTACAAATATGAAAGTAAGTTTAACTAGGATAATGGCTTGCATTGAAATTCAGGTCTGGTTCTAAAACTCAACCTCTTCTGTAGTATCACATCACCTCCCACTCAAACTGTAAGAAATCATGTTGGAGTGTTCATGTCAGCTAGCCTTAATATTCAATTGGCCTGAATGATTTGGAATAGGACACGTTTCACTGTGGTATGTGGTGATGCCAGTCATCCTCCAAGTCTTAGTGGCTTAAAACAGCTCAGCACCACTTTTGCTCATGCTACATATAAATTCTGCTTCATGTTGTCCTTACTCCATGATCTAGGCTGACAGGGAAGCCTTTCTTTGGAGGACTGCCAATCTGTAGACAGAAGGGAAGGAAGAACATGGAGAGTGTGCACTGGTTCTTAAAGTTTCCACTTGGAAGTGACGTATCACCTCAGCTCAAATTTATTGGCCCAAGCAAGTCATTTGACCATGTCAGACTCTATGGTGCTAGGGAAGTGCAATTTTACCATATGCCTGGAAGCACAGAGGCCCAAAATATCTCTCCACCCTTCCCAAGTTGCCTTCTGGATGAAATATACATGCAAAATCAAATTCTTTACATGTATTGTGACCTTGGGCAGCACATACAGCTGTATGGCTTTGGGCAAATTATCTAATAATTCCACATAATAACACCACAGGGTTGTTGTGAAGATTAAATGAGAAAACTGTCTTTCTTTTTTCTAAGTACACTTTTAAAAAACAGAATTGAGGACACACCGTATACATAATTTCACATTCTACTTTTAAAGTCAATGTTATTTCATAAACATTTCCCCAAGTTATTATGAACTCCTTGTAGGTATTCTTATTATATTAGAATAATATTACAGGATACATTCTAAAATAAGGTATACATTTCTATATAAAAGGGCATTTTGCATTTGTAAGATGTTCCCAATTTTCAGTGGCTCCTTATCATCCAAATAGGTGCTACTTCATTAAAGGAAGAAGTGGAATCTCAGGCTGGAATTGCCCCCAACCATTCCCTGGTGAGATGAGTCAAACTTCCCACTGAGGACGACAGGCTCCGGCACACATGCTTCTCCACATAAAGGTTTGGGAGGACGTCTCCCCAAGGAACAGAGTGCTCAGCGTTGTTTTGTAGGTCAAGGAGAAAGCCCTAAGGTGGATTTAAAAAATTGCTTTTACTGAAGTAAATGGATAAACTGAAACTGCTGCACAGAAAACACTGGTCATTGCAGCTTGAATATTAGTGACCTAGTAAGGAAAGGAGAGAAGATAACAATCCTTAAACAAGTTCAGAGCATCATGGATATGAGAGAGGACATTAGCCATTAGCACGCTTCACTTTCCTGGGTGTGGCCTGTGCCCTGAGCCATCTATTTGGAAGCCTATAAGAGCTGGGACCTTAAAAAATATAACTTTTTAATCAATACTATTTTAAAAGTATTATTTTTCTGAACTTAACTGCCACATTTCACCCCCATCTCTGACTTAGAGAAGAATTTAAGAGCTAGAGGAAATGTAAATAATCTTCCATTTATTTATTCATTATTTTATTTACCCACTCATTCACTCATTTATTCACTTATTCACCACTCACATGCTTCAGAAGCATTTATTGACTGTTCTTATACGGAGGGAGACAGACAGTCTCTGGTCTTAGAGGTTCACTTTCTGTAGGTGATATCATGCAAGCAACTGACATTTAACACAGATTGAACTCATTACGGGGCATTTTGGGAACATAGAAAAGGGACATCTTTGCCAGCTTGGCAATCAGAGAAGGCTTCCAGAGCTGTGATGGTTAGGCTAAGACTTGAAGAGCAAGAAGAGGTTATGAGCAGTCCTTTTAACAGGCACCTGGCTAGCTGTTAACCTAAAGGGTACCCCTGGTTTCCTGGCTCACTTATGGGGAGAAGATCTCATATCTGGGCTTAAATGAGGTGAACTGAGCATTGTAGAGTTCCTTGAGCTGGCATGGGGATGGGGGAGCAGGTGGTTTTAACCTTTAGGCTCTATTGACACTGTGCTTAGGGCTGATAGGGTTTTCAAGAACCTTCCAGAATGTTTGAGATGTTCCCAATTTGAAATGAAGACAAAACTGCCTAATTGAAGTTAATTTATGTTTAATTTATATACATAACTATATACACAATTTATAAAAAACGACACATTTATGCATGATTTATACAGTTTCTCATTATGCTCTCCAGTCTAGTCCATGTGTTGAGCAGAGTGAGGTAGCTGTGCTGTGGACCACAGACCTGCCCTTCCAGAACTAGAGGCAGCAGTCACCCACCAAGGCAAGACCAGGGTTTGAGCCCGGCTCTCCAATGGTAACTATGAGACTTTGGACAACTTACCTCTCTGAAGACTTAGCTTTCTTTTTTGACCAGCAGGGATAATGCTGTCCACTCTGCCTGCCTCGTAGAGTGGTGTGAAGCAAACCAGGTAATAGATGTCGATGTGCTTTGTAAACTGCAAAGCCCTATATAAACGCGAGCCATCTTGCCTGGCTCTGACTCCAGCCCTGACAGGGCAGGCAGGTGGTTCTGCTCACAGCAGACCTCTGATGGATTCCCCACTTCCCTGTCGACAGCTTCATCTCCCCTAATGTGGAGGAGGCAACATGGGGGACAGTTATTCTGGACTCAATTCTGACTGACTAGGGAGAATGGGTTGGTGTTGTGGAATAGATACATAGGGCTCTTCAGCTCACAAAGCATTTCACATGCATCATTTCACTTGGTTCTCCCAATAGCCCAAGGAGGAAATTGAGGTTTGCTTGTAATCATGCGTCTATGAGCTAAGGAGCCACGACTTGAACCCAGGCTTCTTGATCCCACATCTTGTGCTTATTCCCATGTGCTCCCTGGGAGTTCATAAAAGAGAAGGAAATATCCAGACAAGGTCATGAATTGAATAAAACGGCATGTCTGTCAACTACAAGTCCCAGAAACTGACAGATTGGTTTCTTTTTCTTTTTGAAGGGAAGATGGAAGCAGGGCGGTGCGTGATGACGACAAGTCTAAGGAAGGAAAATCTCAGGCTTTCTTCCTTTCTGGGAAAGGGGGCTCCTCTGGGGAATGAGAGGACAGGCCCAAACACTAGAACAGGGGATGTTCCCTTCAGCCAGGTGGACAGGGAGCCGCCAGCCTTTGTGGCCAGACTTTCCTGAGTTCAAGTCTTGATGTGTCCTTGGGCAAGTCACTTAAATTCTTGCAGCCTCAGTTTTATCATCTATAAAATAGAAGTAAAAATAGTTCTGAAATAGAAATGAATTAGATAATGCATGCCAAGCTGCTAACTTCATGCCTGGCACATAATAGATATTCAGTAAGAGGAAATTATTACTCTTTAAATATTACCTGAATTAAGTCCAGCAGAGACTGTCTGCCATAGATGGCATGCTTATGTCCCCCCCACAACCCCACCCCCCAATTCTTACGCTAAAATCCTAACCTCCAATGCGATGGTCTTTAGAGTTGGGGCCTTTGGTAGGTGATTAGGTCATGAGGACAGAATGCTCATGAATGGGATTAGTGCCCTTATAAAAGAGCCAGAGAGCTCCCTCGCTCCCTTTTGCCACGTGAGGACCCAGTGAGAAGACCACCATCCACAAATCGGGAGGCAGGTCCTCACTGGACACTGAATCTGCCGTCACCTTGATCTTAGACTTCCCAGCCTCCAGAACTGTGAGAAGTAAATTTGTGTTGTTTAAGCCATCCAGTCTATGGTATTCTTAGCAGCCTGAAAAGACTAAGAGGCCTTGCCTAGGTCTCTGCCTAGAATAATAAACGACTCTGTTGAGTCACAGAAGAGCAGCTGTGCTGCTGGAACGTGTGATGATTGCAGTTTGCAACACCATACATTTCTTACCTCCTAGTTCCTGGCTTTGCCATCTCTGAAAATTTTCTGAGAAGCAGTCGGCATTCTTTTCCCCTCCCCTCTATGCCCTGCTCTCCTTGTGCACCAGAACACAAACTGTGTGCATGGTGACTAATGCATGCTCTTGTTTTTCATGACAGTAATTGCCTCCACAGTCAAGGCCCTCACCTTTATGGCAGATTAGCAGTGTAGGGCTAAGCACTCAGGTTTGAATCCTTGTCCTACTGCTTACTAGCTGTGTGGCTTTAGGTAAGTAACCTAACTTTTCTGGTTCTCAGTTCCTCACCTATAAAATGGCATAATGATACAACATGGATCTGGGCTAGTTTTTAAATGAGTTAATACATGTGAGACACTTAACACAGTGTCTGACACACAATAAATGCCTAGTAAATATTAGCTATGAGGGTTGCCACATTTGTGGCTGATTTTCCTGCTCCTCATCCTCTCCTCCACAATTTATCAAGCCACAGTTACTGAAACAATCTTCAAACACTGGCTTCCACACAATATCCTCTTGCCGGAGACTATACAGCAGTGTCTCACTTGTTGCCTTTAGGCCTGTTGCCAGACTGCTCATCTGGCAGGCAACGGCTCCCTCTGCCTCCCATCCCACCGTCTTACTCTGGTCATTCCCCACCATCCAGACTTCCTGCTCACTCCCCCTCAGGCTCTCTCCGGAGGCCTCACATCACTGAGTATTCCTAGGACTCCATCTTTGGCTCACTTTTGTTTTCCCTCCTCCCAATCCTGGTAGGTAAGTTTAGCTAAGCCCATGGCTTCAATACCTTTTCTTTCCCGTTGACTTCATGCAAATTTCTCTCTCTTTCTCTGATTTGATTTTTTGGTTGTTTGTTTTTGTGATTTCCACCATTGCGGAGTCTTTTTTATTTTTATTTTTATTTATTTTATTTTATTTTATTTTTTTTGCATTAAGCATTTTTTTTTTTCTTTAGGACCCTCCTTTAAAGTGCAAGTAATCATGGAAGTCATACTGATTAAGTCGTTAAGACTCTGGGAGGTAGGACTTAAGAAATTAACATCTTATATTCTTGGGCACTGGAGGTCTCTGGAAAAAAGGCATTAAAGAGGGACTGGGAGGAGAACACATGAAGAAAGGGGAGATAGGCATATATTACCCCATTTTGCTCAGGAATGGTCTGAGCTGGGCACAGGTAGGGAATAGACAAAGGGGGAAACTCAAAAAGCTGTTGTCTGTGGAAGATGAAGGTGAAGTGGTTGTCAAGCCTGTTTGATTGAAAATGATGCTTCAGGGATTCACAACATGTCAGGTTTAAGGGGGAGGCCCTCTAAAAAATACTGGGTCTCCCTGAGCCTAAGCGAAAATCTTACAGAAATCTACAGGTATCATTCCTAGGTGTTTGTCCTAAAGAAATAACCAGAGATATGGCCAAAGATACGCATGCCCTTTGAATAATGTTGTGTTGTTCCATGTTACTTCATTAAAACATTGATGAGAAAAAAATGGATTCCCAGACGCAGCCACTGTCTGTATGGAGTTTGCACATTCTCCCTATGTCTGTGTGGGTTTTCTCCAGGTACTTTGGTTTCCTCCCATATCTCAAAGATGTGCATGTTAGGTTAATTGCTGTTTTTAAGTTGTCCCAGTCTGAGTGAGTGTGTGTGTGTGTGCCCTCTGATGTAAAGGCATTCTGGCCATGATTGGTTTCTGCCTCAGGTTCTGTGCTGCTAGAATAGACTCCAGCCTCTTGAGACCCTGACTTAGAATAAGTGGATTGAAAAGGGATGAATGAATGAATACAAATGATCATGAAATAAAAATTTATAAAATATGTGATAATCATACAATTGCATGACAATAAAAAGTATGGGACAAAATCTTTCAGAGGGCCTACCATATTGGTTAGTATTTGGTTTTGAACTGTGTGGTTGTAGGAGGTACTCCTTACAATTTTTGCTTGCAAACATTTATTCCTTGATTTAATCCACTACCATTACAACCATTCATGGATCCACCAAAAATTGGGTAAATAATTATCATATTTGTTTTTATTAATATTTCTTAAATGTATGCATAGCTCACATTTATTTCAATGTTTAACATTAGAAGTGTTTTAGGCCTTTACTTAGAAATTTGGTGATATGTTTGTGACCAGAAATATGCTGTAGGAACTTAACTCTTGTTTATATCAATTAGCCTATGATAAAATTGGTTTCATTATATGTCATTTCTCTTAAAGCTGCAGTTGCCAACAATGTTAGTGAGGACTTACTGTACAAGAGTATTTGCCATCCTAAATATATATTATTTTAAAAATCTGAAAATATCCTTGATGTTGAAGAGTGAGAAACTATTTCAGTGAAAAATTAAACAGATTATCCTTACATTGAAATATGTTGTGTTAATTAAAATCATATTTTAAATAATATTTAATGACATAGAGAAATGCTAATGGCATAATGTGAACTGAAAAACTAGGATATAATATTTAATACAAGTGTAACATTAGGTGACAGTGTGTGCCTGTTACTTCCTCCCAACTTTCCAGTGAAAAACTATTTTGTCTCTAAGAAATATGATAGAACTCTCAAAAGTACATAGAGTTAGCTTTGCAAACTGTATAATATACAGTAAGTTACAGTTTTACTTATTCTGTAAATGCAAAAGCAGAAAATATTTTATTAAGATATAATATAAAAATCAACTGTTGCCAAGTCCAAATTGTCACAACCCTTTGTATTAATGTGATGGAAAAAAAAGACTAGAAGGAAATACATTAGACTGCTAATGGTTCATCTCTGAAAGGTGAAGCTATAGATGATTTCAATTTTCACCTTGATGTTCTAAAATATTTTTAGCATTTTCCACAATAAACAAGAACTGCTTTTTCTAACTGGGTTATTATTTTATTAATCTGCAGAGTCAAAGCCGGTATAACATGGGGCTGCCTCCATTTTTGTTGCTGGCATGGGCTCAGTTTAATAATCTCTTATAAAAACAAGAGACATTTTGTTCTCTGATGTCTCATTCAAAGTAGTGACTTTCTTTCTGATATTCATGGCAGGTTTGCAGAGGTAATGGGTGATTAGCAAGTCCTCTTGCTTTCCCAGACAGTGAAACTTCATCTGTGTCTGGGTGATGCTGGGCAACCGTTGTGTCTTTTGGAATATTCTATAGGCATATGTATTCTATGTTTAATATTGGATTTAGGATGAAAAATCCTATCTGCTGTCTCTGGCTCACACAACCCTAGAGCCATGTATCTGTCATATCATCATATTAGAAGGCTTAAAAGGTTTTGCAGTTATGATCAGGAGTAAATACACAGGTCACTCCCCAAATCAGTAAGACCCTGCCAAGATATGTCTCCTCTCATAAGGGCAAATAAAGGTTCTTAAATCTAGAGAGGGAATAGTAAATCTTTGAGGACTCTTTGGCTCAAGTTTTTGCCTATCTAATAAACATTCCAGCAAAAATTCTCTTAAGTGTGTGTTTTTAAAGAAAATCTGGATATCAATGTCCTGAATTATAATCAAATTAATTTGTAGAAAATGCATCTTTCACCATCCCCACCGCCACCCTGTCACATTCTCCAGAGGCTCCTATGGCCATGGGCACAAATTTCAGTCTCCTTATCTCAGCCCATGAGTTCTCCTCCATGGCCAGTCTGGTTCCCACCAACCTCTTTAGCTTCCTCACCTGCCAATCCCAGAAAAACAACAATTTCTTATAGTCCTTCAAATGTGCCAGGCCATTTCACACCTTGGGGCTTTTACACGTTATGTTTCCTTTGCATCACATTCTTCTATTTCATTTTATTAATCTAGTTAACTCCTGTTTGACTTTAAAACTTGGTTCAGATATTACCATCTCAGGAAGGCTTCACTCTACTGCCATTCCCACCCTCCATATTCCTAAGGACGCCAGGCTTATCCTCCAGTCCTTGATGTTTCCTGAAGGTGAGTTACTTGACAGCAAAGGTGGTGCCTTCCTCATCTCTGAACCCAGGCCCCCAACACAGAGCCTGGCACATAGCAGACCCAGTAGATACTTGTTGAATAAAGGGATAATTAAAAGGACAGCAATGCCAGCCATTCTTTGGACAAGGAAAGCAGAGAGCTGAGCCAAGTTCCCATCATTTGGTCAATGCAAATGGTTCATTGTCACGTGCTTAATGCACCACACTGCCTTTATCCTTAGCGGCACAATCAGGGCAGCTGAAACCCCATCCAGATTCAGCAGGCAATTGTAGAGTCCCAGACTCCAGCATCTGCTCTCAGGAAGGTGAATATCTAAATTACTGAAACCAATGCTTGCCTGCTTTCTTTCTAGAGATTTTAAGAGACTAGGATAGTAAAGTCTCCCTCAAATGGCTGCCTCATAAGGCACTTCCCTACACCTAAGTTGGAGGGGAGGGCTCCTTTCACTTCCCAGATGAATTCTGGGCTTTGTGGAGACCTAGTCTGGGGATTGTCCTCTCTCCTTTCTCATGTAACTTTTGTAGACACTGCAGGTACTCCTGGGAAAGGCTGGGTTTGCACCAATCCTTCCATCAATCTGGGGTGCCAAGGAACCCTACAAGGTCAACAAAGTAGGGTCAGGGCTGGTCTCAGCTTGTCCGGCTTCCTCTACAAGGGTCTGTAGAGGCTTGTCTGGCCTCTACAAGTTGTGGGCCAGAGCAGTCTGGGGCCTTGCCTACCTGGGCAGAAACTCCTGCCACAGCAGGGGTGGGAGGGAGGGAGGGAGAGGCGGAATAACAGAGATATGTTCTACATGGCCCACTTTCCACAGATGCTGGGCACAGCAGCCGTTTCAAATCAGGGCCTGCCCTTGGCCATGCTCCAAGCAGGCTCCGGGCTCAACGAGTGTGCAGCCCAGATGATGCCAAAAACTCCCTGAGTGAGCTCTTAGCACAGAGTTCTCACCCAGGCTGTCTCCCCACACCCCCAGCCTCCACCCAGCCTCCTGCTCCCCGTGGTTGCATAGCAGCAAATCCTCCTCATGCGGGCTTGATTCTAATTGCATGAACATCTGTTTCCATAATGGCTAGCAAGCGCATTGTTGTCCTGTGTGTTATTCAGGCCACTACAAGCACCTCTTATCACAACGCCTTGCCAGAACATGACACAGAATCTGTCAAATTTCATTTCTTAGTCCCTCAAATCCCTATGTAAGTATTTATTCCCGCAGTAAGCTCCGAGCTCCAGTTGCTTGGCCCTCCTCCCTTGCCTGGGCTTTCTCTCCCTCTGTCTCAGGCTCTCTCCCTGCCATTCCCCCTGCTCTGCCTCTCCCTCTCTCTCGCTCTCTCTTTTTCTCCTTTTATTCTCCCCCTTTCTGTTTGCTAAACGTTTTGACAGAAGTGCCCGATGCTGGCAGCTATTGACTGAAAGGGGTAGCTGCCAGGCGCTCTTGATGGATGGGCTCATTTTCCAGCCTGCAGCTAGTCTCACTGAAGCATCCGTGTCATTTGTAATGTCAGCCAACAAAATGTAATCAAACATTCCAGCAGTTTAATCACTGAGGGCTGCTCAAGAGATGATTGTAGTGTCAATATAATGCTATTTCATTATCTGTTTGTATTTTATATTGACAGTGTCAGATAAACAGTGTGGAAAATTAAGATTAAAAATATGGTAATTTCATTTCAATCACCCAGCTACAGTTGCTGGCCCATTATGCGATTGATTACTTGTGAATTAAATTTTGGGCTGAATGTAAAGTTTAATCTTCTTTCTTCTCTGCAATTCAGTTCCCCAAAGGCCTCTTAGTAAGTAAGTACCCATTCCATTTGATCTTTAATGAAAACTAATGGCCCGAATGGATTGTGTAAATCAGCCAGCCTGTGTGTGGAGCTGACAGTGTTTTCTTCCACCTCTCAAAACCTGCTTTTAATTCTCTCTTCAAATAAGAAAGAGGGGGGAGAACTGTTTTAATAGCTGTAATCCACACCTCAGTCAAAATTTTTACTTGCAAACTTTATTATCTTTCTATGGGGATCAGGTGGCTCGATCCATCTTTCCCTTCTTTCTCCTCCTCCTCCTCTTGTGACAGCCCTGGATGGTAATCCTAATAGTTTCCATGATTATCATTGTTGCTGGAATATGTAACTCCCATTGACATCACTTGGACAAGCTTGCTTTGCTAGTTTTGGTTGGGGACCAGGGGCTGCCCCAAACATGGAATCCTGATTGGCAGCTCTGGGGTATGCCCATGAAGGCTCCCACCCACCTGGAATTGCCCATTCCTGAGTTTCTAAGTGCTTGAAAAGGAAAGGGGCAGGCCTGGAAGCTTTCTGCTTCACTGACATATCAATTCTCCAGGTTCTAGGAGATAGTGACACCCCTTTCCCACATCCACTGAAGTGACAATGCTTTAAAGCCTGGCAGGAAATAGAGCATGAGGCTGGGGTGTCACGGTACTGTGGGAGGATTTACCTGAAGAAAGTGAAGCCCTCTTTCATCACAAGTAAAGTTATGATCCCAGTTGATTCCATTTCATTCCTGTACAAACATGCATTAAGTACTACGCAGTCCCTCCTTGAGGTAATCCCTCAGAAAGACCACATGTTCCTATGAGATACCCCATTGTAAGAGTACATGAAACACAGGCTAATTTGTTACAACTTGGTGTGAGCTGTCTGCATCAGAAGTTCCTCTGGTAACCCTGTGATTCCTACGGCTGTAGGGAGAAAGATACAAAGTAGATATGAAGGAGAACTCCCTGATGGTGAATGCAAATAAACCATAAACCCTTTACTGAGGAGAGTGGTACATGAAAGGAAACCTATATCCCCCAATTTGGAAATTGTTGGATTTTTTAAACAAAGCCATTTAAAGATCTTCAGGAGACTGAAACAAAACAAAACACACCATAGGCAAAGCAGCACCGGCTCCTGGAATGTTTCACATGGGAACAACCTAAGTTGAAAAATGCCTGCCCAGGTCAAGGGGGAGAACAAAGGGACACAGAAACACTTGATAGTTGAATGCATTATCCTGAAAGACTTTGGAGCTACCCAGCAAATATTAATATATGGAATAGAAAGAATAACTATCAGGGTCTTGATTAAAGGGAGGAGGAAAAGGAAGAACAAAAATCATCATGTTGGGTATAAATCTCTGAGGCAATAGGAAAGCTGACACACATACACCCATTAAAATCAAATGAGGAGCCAACTGGATAGACAAGTTCATTATGCAAAGGTGGTGAGGAAAAAGTTAAAAAAAAAAGGTAAAAGCCAAAGTTCTATGGTACACAGCCTGGCATAGAATGAACTTATTGAATGAGTGAATGAATGAATGGATGAGTTTAGAAGAATCTTCTCTATGATTGAGTACTTATGGGAATATCATTTTGGCTTGTTTGATGTTACGAAAGGACTAGTAAAAATATATAGCTTGTAAACATGGTTTACAATGAAAGCAAACTGATGGCTCCTCCTACCCTGAAAGAAGATGTTAAAAACCAGCCATCTTTTGAAGGAAGATGGGACAGTTCCCGTGTTTGGAAGAAAATGGCTGCTTTCAAAGTCATATTTCACAGAGAACTCAGGGCTTGGCTTTGAATTAAACTTAAACCCAACATGAGCTCGTGTCATTATCAAGAATAGCACACTGCAGTGTTTGGAATCTGCCATCTCCAGGATTTCTTTCTGCTTCTCAGTGAGCCACATGTTCGGAAGATCTATCAGTCCAGTTTTCTCTTATTTACATTTATCTTCAATGTTATTCCCTGAGAGATAGTTAAATATTAACAAACCAGAGATATCCTTCTATAAATTGCTTTAAATCTATAAACCATTTTGCTAGCATCAAGATACTTCCCCATCGATGGCATGGTTTTGGTTTGTGTTGCCAAGATCAGGAACAAATCTCATTTTCACAATATGCCTCTATCCCTTTTGTGCTCAATGTCTCAGCTTACAGATCACTTTGGTGAAGTTAAAGATGCCTCTGATGATTTTTCTCTGTGATCCTAAACTCCTTCCATGAGATCTTCTATTATAGAACCAATTCCAGAGATAACCTGTAAACACATGAAGGAAAGAGCAGAATCCCTTGATTGTGAAGCTGAAAAACAGGACACTACATCTGTTATACTGAGGCTTTAGGCATCTTGGTGTTAGTTGCCCTCAATATTTCATATTGAGAAGCAAATTTCTTTCTTCAAGAGCTTTATTTTTCAGATATGAAGGAGCATAAATAGTTATTGTGTTGTTGATGTGGGCTCCTGGGAGAAACATGACTTTCAGACACATACAATAACATCAAGATCATAGATGGCTCCTTGAGGCTCCTCCATACTTCACAAGGCTAAATGCATGATTTAGGGCACTTTTGGAAATAAAAAAGTAATGAAGTTGTGCATATATGTTACTAAAACAAATCCACTGAAATTTGTTGGGTTGCTTGCTGTAGCATACTGGTTTGCTGTGCATTAGAATCACCTGGTCACATTTTAAATCTATCAGTATCAAGTGGCCTACCTTAGACTAATTATATCAGAATTTTCGATGGTAAGATATACCAAAGGTATTTTTAAAAAAGTTTTTCAGGTGATTCTAATGAGGAACAAGGGTTAAACAATGCCATTGGAAACAATAACATAAGTAAATAATGCCTACGAAGAGAGGAAAGACCAAATGTTAAACAATGCTCCCCTGATAGCGCACACTCTCCTCCAGAATGGCCAACCAGTGGCATCACTGGTGTTCTCTCCTCTCCACTCCCTTCCAGTTTGAGATGCCAAAGACACGGGCAAAACAGACACCCAGCATAGATTTGTTGACAGATCTATGGCTGGCTGGCTTGATGGGGGTTAAATGGCCTAAGGGTGGGTCAAGCTAAGGGAGAATGGGGCAAACGGAATAAAATGGGGTAAAGAGTCTCTAAATTCTCATGAGTTAAAAAGTAGAATATAATTCTATCTTGGTAAAATGTATTATTAAGTTTCTGATAAACTTAACGTCAGATTATATTCTTAGATTGAACTTTCTTCATACAATTAAAGCAGATGATAAGTTCAATGTCAGCAATAGCTTCCCAACGATGTGTTAGTCATGGCATCCCAAAGTCATTCAGTTTAACATTTATCGGGTGTCTATTGTCTGCCAGAGAATGTTCTATTAGGAATACAGAAAAGACATTAAACTAGAAGAAGACAGACCAGAAGTCATAATTAAGGTGTTTGTACTTTTCTGGTGTCCGGAAGTCCAAGCCATTTTCCAATGACTACAGAGTAGTGAGAGAATGCCAGGTGATAAGATGACCACTGCATGAGAATGGGAGGCCACTGATTTGATGATCTTCACATATTCATACAATGCTTTATTCTTGTTGCAGTGCAAAGGACTTTGCAAATTTGGTGGTCTCATCATTTCTCCCAACATTCTTCTGAATAAGGACATTTAAAAAATCATATATATACATAGTCATATATACTGAAATATTTGAATGGCATGACCCCTCCTCAAACTTTAAAAAATAAGTATCTAGAGGTGCTTTGGACATTTTATGTTTATATTCAGCAGTTTATTTTTCTTGTTAAAATATATAGCAGTTTTACCGTCTAATTTACTTATAAATATATATGGATCAGATTGTGTCTATATTTTCTAGCCCATTTGTCATTGTTTGAGAGTTCACTATCTAGGATGCAGGTTGTCCAGGGCTAGCACCTCCTCCTCCTTTCTCTGGGTGATAATTCTGGGGCCTCACCTATCCAGCACTAGTGATATGAGCAGGCAGACTGAGCCTTTAAAATGCAAATCTATTCTCTGTTAGGTAACCATGTTGGCTAATAAACTTTGAATTACTTGTGAATTTCTATTGTCTATGCTAGCCTCTCTCATTTCTTCAGAGGAGTAATCACTGACCCCTTCATTCTCTCTCTTTTTTATTCCCAGGAGGCCTAAAACGTCTAATCTTGGCCTTATTTGGAGGTTTTGTTGCTAGATAAACCACTATGATCCTGCGCCCAGCTCCCTGGTCCCTGGCTGGCCTGGCCTGCTGCGTGCCAAACTCTCCTGAGGTTGCTGGAGTAAGGTCTAGGGCTGGAGGAGATCCTTTCTTCATCTCCCTGATCATGGTAGCACCACACCTAGCAGGTTCTTACTTGAAGATGAACAAACAAAGAGGGTGGCAAATATGGGAGAGACACCATTCAGGAAGTTCTCTCTCTCTTTTCCTCCACTGCAGTTAGTGCTGTGAAAACCAGTCTTGAGAGGAATCCAAATCCTCTGAGATGAAAACTCACATCATTCTGCAGGCCCTGGTGGTGGTGATGGGGGTGGAGGGAGGCAGGGAATTAATATTTTGGATGGGCCAGTGCCTTGCCTGCCCAGGTGTCTTTGGAAACCACCTCTTGTCAAAAGAAAGGAACAAATGAAAAAGGGAGAAAATAGGGGGTGGGGGATGGAGAAACAGAAACAGAGAAAGGCCTTTGCTGAGCCTGTGCCTTTGTGCACCACATTCAAACTGATTTGTACCCTTTGTAGTCTTAATTATTTGTGAGAGCGGGATAACAGGAGTACCCAGCTCACCCATTATTTCCTGCATAAAAAAAGGCACACAGAAGCCGCTGATCATTTCTGAATTAGCAAACATGATACTAAATAAAAAAAGCATAAAAAAATTCATTAATACCATCAGGGATTAGGAGGCTGATTAAAGTGTAGCTGTTAGCGTATGCAAATGAGCGATAGGCATTTATCGGGGCCTGTGCAAGCTGTCTTGGAGCTGTAAAGCCCACGTATGTTTTTCAGCTGATTAAAATAGTTTTAAGTTCTGCAGAATTTTTTTTGGTAGGGAATTAAAAAAAGAGACCATCTCCACTTTCCCTTTTGGCGAAATTTCTCTAAAGCATACTCCAACCATTCCACTTGACTGCGCTCTCTCGTTCAGCCTCTTCTGAGAATGAGGAGGTTGCTGCATTTCAGTTTTAGTGAGATGAGCTCTTTTCCATGGTTTTTTTTTTTTCCCCCTCTGGAGTTTACCAGAACTCCTGTGGCAAGGCAGATGGGTCCCTTCGCATTGGCCCAAGGGGCTATCAGGATTCCAGATTCTCCCCCAAGTTGAATACTCGCTTCTGGTCCCATTCCCCAACCCAGACTAAAGGGAAATGAAAAGGTATTTGTTGCCCAAGCACAAGGTATCAAGTGCTCCCTTATATGAGAGGAGGCTGCATTCACTCCAAGAGCCTTGGTTTTGTGAGGAAGGAAGGGTAGAGTGAATGAGAATATCAGGGCTGGGAGATCAGGACAGATCCATGCTGACATAGGCACAATACGAGTTGGGTGGTTGTGGCTATCCTTGGTCTTGAAGCAAAGACATTGTGGGGAAAAGGACCCACTTTGAGTTCAGATTCAAATCCCATTTTCAAGACTTTCTATTAGCATATGAGAATGTTATTTTCACTTCTAGGATTATGGAGGGCCATTGACAAATGGCCTACGAAGAATAATAATAATAATAATAATAATAATAATAATGTTGTTCATTAAGCAATTGCTATGTGTCAGACACTATTATAAACTCTTTACATGTTTAATTTTATTTGGTCTCTATCACAAGTGTAAGAGATTAGGCTACTCTTATCCTCAATATGCAACAAAATAAATCCAGAATCTGATCCCATCCTAGCATTAACACTGCTAACATGCTGGTTCAAGCTGCTCCCTTCTCTCATTTGGATCCTGCAGTATTTTACCTAACAGGTTCCCTGCTTCCACTCTTTCTTCTGTCCTCTGCCTGCTGGTCTGAGAATAGACTGAGAATAGATAAAAGCATATCATATCATTCCTCTGGTCAAAACCCTCAGTTGCTCCCCTTTTCAGCTGGAGTAAAGGCTAAGGTCCTTTCAATGGCCCCACGGCTATACAATCTGAATTATTACTTCTTTCAACTTCTCTCACTTTATCTCTGCTCCCTCTCACTTACTCTGTTCCTGCCACACTGGATTCCTTGGGTTTCCTCAAAAGCTCCAGACACACATTCCTGTCTTGCCTTACTTTTTCTTCCTTCCATATACTTATTTCTTCTAATATAGATTATACAGTACTTATTTATTTTGTTTGTTGTCACACCTAGCTAGACTATAAACTCTCTGAAAGTAGGGATCTTTGTCTATTTTACTCACCAAGGTATTTTTTTTTTTTTTTTTTTTTTTTTTGAGACGGAGTCTCGCTCTGTCGCCCAGGCTGGAGTGCAGTGGCACAATCTCGTAGTAGAGACAGGGTTTCACCGTGTTAGCCAGGATGGTCTCGATATCCTGACCTCGTGGTCTGCCTGCCTCGGCCTCCCAAAGTGCTGGGATTACAGGCGTGAGCCACTGTGCCTGGCCTCACCAATGTATCTTAACCATCTACACTAGGCACTAATTATGAGCTCAGTTATTATTTGTTGATTTAAAGAGCTCCAAAGTAATTTATGAAATTCTCATAAATGATAAACAATGTATGATAAAAGCTCCAAGAGGCTAGTAACCATGTCTGTCTTGTTCATCACTCTATTCTTTGTACTTAGCCCACAGTAGGCAATAAAAAATATTCATTGAGTGAACAAATAAAAAGGTTAAACTTGGCAACCAATATTTTTGTACAAAAATATCAATTTCCAGTTCTGGTCACACATTTTGAAATAAATGACCTTAGCAACATACTTAAATGATGATTGTTTTTAGACACCCAAATATTTATTTGTTGTATTAAAACTTTTTTTTTTCTAGTCGACAAAGTCAGGTCTCCCTTGAGGAGTGTTTTCTTTCTCTATACTGATCTGAAACCCAGAGCCGTCTGAGCTCTCTTTGGGGTGAGAGGTGTCTAAGAGTCAAGGTTATATGACAGGCAAAACCAGAATAACTTCCAGTCCCATAGCTGCTCCACCACTCTCTGTGGGGCCCTGAGGGTGTTGCCCCCCTGGTTTTACCACCTCCAAAGCCCATCTTCCTATCCACTATGGGGCCTCTATGAGAACCCAGGAGGAGGACTTCCCTGGCTCACTTGCCCATGTCACTGCCTCTGCTTGCCATGCATATGAAATAAGCTGGTTAGCAGGTGGGAATAAACTGGAGTTTGTTGAAACATCAAACAAAGAATTGATTTATTGGGCATTAACTCGGTTATCTAATAGGAGGTTTGTGTGTGTGTGTGGCGGGGTGGCGAGGAGTGGAAGAGAGGATGGAAGGAACAATAATTTTTAAAAAGTCCTTGGTCTTAAGAAGTGTAAAACTTACTTCTGAAGTTAGTGAGTTTAGGCTGGCCTACATGGCCTGGGCCAATGTGGAGGCAGGGTAGGATCTGAGCACAAGGACAGGGAGCCAGTCAAAGGTTCAGGAGGTGTCTTTTGAGGGAGGGAGTGGATCAAAGCTTTCTGTGTTGGGTGAAGTGGAGAGAAAAGGGACAGTGAGTGAGACAATTAGTTTGTTGGAGTGGAGCCTAAAGATCAAGTTAGAATGGTAAATGGAAGTCATTTTGTGGAGGCCTTGAGCATCATGTGAAGTGTTTCAGGCTTTGCTCTGCAATCAAGAGCTCCTGAACAGGGTCACCTCTAGGGTGAGGGAAGAAAGGCATCTGTCTCAGATGCAAAATGTAAGGAGGTGCCAAAAACCTCAGAAATCAAGAAAATAATACTTTAATGAAATATCATAAAAAATCAAATCGACAAACTACAGTCAGTGCTTTTGTAAATAGAGTTTTACCTGAAAGGCTTGATTTGGGGAACAATATGCTCAAAGGACCATGTGGAAGACTGATCTGGCAGTGGAGAGGCTCATCTGGTTTGAAACCAGATCCTACCTCAGCCTCAGCAGAATAAAAGTGGGAGGCCCGGAGCTGGGGTAGCAGGTGGACCAGGAAGCACATCTTGCTACTTTTTTCCCTTTCATAATGCTGCCTTTCTGATTTCTGCTTTCTGCTGTTTACTGTTTTCAGGGACATTGAGAATATCAGAATTGAGTGGATATGTAAACAATTATCCAAGTCAAAACAAAATAATGGCTGTAAGAGAAGCACCAAGTGGTGTGAAAGAGTTAGCTGATTCCAGCTGGGAAGACCTGAAGGTGGTGGCATTTAAACTGGGCTTTGCAGCATGGTCTGATTTGACCAAACATAGATAGTGGGAAGACTGACTGGGTTCAAATTTTAACTCTGCCATTTACTAGCTATGTTACCTTGGGTAGGTCTTTTGACTTTTCTGAGCCTCATTTTCCATATCTGTAAAATAGGGATAATAATTACCTTTTCCTTACAGGGTTGTCATGAGGTTCAGGTGAGATATATGTAAAACCCTAAGATGGTGTTGTTAAGGATCGTTATTGTTAATAATGTTTCACAGGGCAGAGTCACAGCATAGTTCATTCATCAAATAAAAGGTAGTTCTATGAATGAAGACAGCATTGGCAACTTAAGTTTTCTGGAATGAAGTGTAGCCATTGTCTAGTTAGTAGAAGGGATTTGAGTAAATGCCAGAATGATTTCTAATGTTAGATTTCCCAATTTGGCTAAATTAATCAATTAATTAACCATCACATGCTTATTGAATACCAGTTTTTTTTTTTTAATAAACTAGGCATTCTCTGGGTGACCCAAAGCAATACAAGACACACACTCTGTTTCCATTGAGTCTAGACTGTGATAGATAAGACCTGATATAATGGGCATTCATTGTTTGCAGCTGGACATCCATTTATCCTTCTTCTAGTAATGTTACTTAGATTTTTCTTTAGGGAACCACCTGTTCCCCACTCTCAAGGTGTTTTGCATAGTGTTGGAACCAATCGTACTCTAGGTCCTGGGTGTATTTATGGCTCAGCCTCAGCTAGCAGAGCATTGACTTTTCCTGGCTGCAGACGGGTTCAGGACTGGGCACATGACCCTAGCAAAGCCAGTGAGACTCAGTGACTTTTGCTGGGCCTGCAGCTTTTCCCACTAGACTTTAACCCAAAAGGAGGTAAGACTAAAGTTGTAGTTAACATATTGCCACCACAAATGACATTCTGAAAAGGTAGCCCAATTACAGAGCTGAAGCGGGGGGGAGGGGGTGGAGGAAGCGAGAGCGAGAGCCAGAGCCAGAGAGGGGGAGAGGGGGAGAGAGAGAGAGAGAGAGAGAGAGAGAGAGAGAGGGAGAGAGAGAGGGAGAGAGAGACAGAGACAGAGACATGTCCTATTGACTATTTGAGCCACAGAATCAAACCATATTTGAACTCAGATATTTCAGTTATTGCACCAACAAATCCCCTAGTTGCTTAAGTAAATTTGGGTTGAGTTTTCTGTTTCTTGTGACACCAAAAGAATCTTAACTCATGCACTTAATATTTATTCATGAAAAGGCAAACCAAACCAAACCAAATGACAATAATAACGAAACCACCACCACCACCACCAAAAAAGCAAGACCTCAAAACCTTGATAAATAACAAATAGAAATCTTTCATGGTTGGCCAATGAGCAGACAAAATAGGAGGTCTCTAATCCAGGAACTGGTGGTTGTAGGAGCAGCTCCTCTTTTTTTTTTTTTTTTTTTTTTTTTTTTGAGACTGAGTCTTGCTCTGTCACCCAGGCTGGAGTGCAGTGGCGCGATCTTGGCTCACTGCAACCTCCGCCTCCCCAGTTCAAGCAATTCTCCTGCCTCAGCCTACTGAGTAGCTGGAATTACAGGCGCATGCCACCATGTCTGGCTAATTTTTGTGTTTTTAGTAGAGATGGGGTTTCACCATGTTGGTCAGGCTGGTCTCAAACTCCTGACTTGTGATCCTCCCACCTTGGACTTCCAAAGTGCTGGGATTACAGGCGTGAGCCACCGTATCCCACCAGAGCAACTCCTCTTACTCTGTCTTCCTTTGCAGCTGCCATGGGCTCTTGTAGTTGGTTTTGGGTGCTTTGGGAGCCAGGTGGTTGGTGACATAAAGCTCATTCCAGCTCTCAGATACCCTTCCTTACCAATGAGAGGGATGTTGGTTCAGGCAGCCAGAGTGATGGACAATCCAAATACAAATTAGTGTTGGCGTAAAACGCAGTCTTACAAAGTGCTGAAACTTTACGGTAAGTTTTGCCCAGCCAGCCTTCAACACATTCTGACTTATTTTCTCTGAATGTGTCCTATTCTGTACTCCTATCAGCCTATGTTTTTTAACCTCAGCTTTGCGCATAACTCTGCTAGTGTTCTTTGGCAGACTACATAGGAAGAGCAAAAGACCTCGCAGAGCACATACTCCACTTTTTTCACTTGTTCCCAATGAGAGGACTTATGGTTCTATTCAGCACAAATACCTAAATTTTTAATTCATACTGAGGACAAAATACAGCCATTGGCCCATAAAGATATTAAAGTGTACAAGATATCAATTTACAAGATAAATCACCTCAAGAAGCCTATGAAGTAGAATCAGTGCCTCATCTTCATTTTAAGATCCCTCCTATGAGTTTGTATTAGTTTTCTCCTCTCAAAGATCACAATGGTGGGTTTAATTAGTCAGTCTCCCTTTTCTGTTTACATGCCTGGATGCTGTCTGTTAGGCACAATTGGGAGAACTAAATACCAGAGACACACGTTTCGCTATCATTTTTCCCATGTACTATATCTTGTTAGTGCCACCGATTAGCTGTTTTTGGTCAGAACTGCCAAGTCTCTTACTCACATTCTTATTTGTTTTCTTTTATAAATTACTGGTGTTATACAAATTGCATGTCTATTTAGTAAGCACATAGTAAGTGAAGAAATAAAATTATTGGCTCAAGGAAGGGAATTGATAGCAAATACCTTTTCTGACATAGTAGGGTTCATTGTGACAAGCCAACATGTTAGTACAACTGAAGTTAGCACCACAACAGAGCTCCCCACTTGCAAATTAAATAAAAATGTTATGGTAAGTCCTTGCTTTTTGGGTTAGTACTCAGTCACCTATTGCGGAGAAATTTGAACCTGATTTTGATCTTAAAATTTTTAGAGAAATTACAATGAACATTTCGTCAAGATATTTGGCATCAATTTCCTTTCCTGAGCCAATGCTTTCATTTCTGCGACTGCTATATGCTTGCTAAAAAGGCATGCTATTTATATGATAAAGACAATCTCCAAAAGGAAAAAAATAAGAATGCGAATAAGAGATTTGGCCATCTGAACCAACACAACTAATGATGCCTGCTTTGCCTGAGGTGAAGGCTGAGGCTTCCACATTCATAGGCCATGACAAATTGGAATGAGAGGACCTGTCCTTTGTGTCCAATTCTGTGGCATAGATTAAGACCTAGCCATAAACCAGCACTGGTTTCTGCTCCTGATGAGACCATTATCATTTTTAAACTTATCATTTATTCATTAAAGCAATCCCAGAGCCTATGGGGTTGTTGACAGAACATAAATACGAACATAAAAATAAATCACACAATGAAAGTCTTCTGGAGCTTCCTGAGATGTCAAGATCAACTGGTCCACTCCCCTGTTGCAGTGATACAGTTATCACATTCTTTAGCTCTGTTCCTATGTCTTCATTTCTAAAATCTCCTTTAAGATGAAAGACCTCTCTGAGGGGTTCACTAGGTCTCATTCTTTCATCTGGCCTGTATGATAATGTGCCCTGTGGCTTGCTGTAACTTTGGTATACCTCAGCTGGGACCTCTCTGTTTCAGGGCATGGGGCATGTCTACTTACAGATCTCACACCCTTTGGTCTTCTCAGGCCCAGGCTGAATATGGTGAGTTCTCCTCAGCTTTGTTCCTATGTTGGATTAGCTTATTCTCTGGCTATTGACATCACCTAACTGGGTACCTTTTTAAAAACATCCATGCTTACCTTTAATTGATATGTAGATCTGGACGCAATGATAGTGAATAAGTTTATTGAACAGCCAGATGAAAATCTTTTCACATATACACACATTGCTTCAAGTTATGTGACTTCACACAAGTAACAACTTCTCTGACTTTCAATTATTTTTTATAAAATGATGGGATAAAGTAGATGATCTCTATGATCCCCTTCATGGATCTGTCTTGATAGATGAAGACTGAATATTTACACTTTCAGAATGAATATAGGAAGCAATTATACTGAGATATTCCCTTTCACGTGCCAATAATTTCATTTCTGATAAATTAAAACATTTGAGTAGGATGGAAGAAAATAAAAGGTTATAAATCTCTTCCCTGAAGCAATTTACCTGTGCAAAATATGAACGTGACTCCCTCTCTTTTAAAAAACATTACCTGTAGTCTTTCAGCCTACTTAATTGGTAAAATAAAAGCTCTTGAGCTGAATAGCATGTTATAAAAATGGCTAGTGTAAGTATTTTGGAAATGGAAGTTTGATTTTAGTTCCTGTTGCCAACATTATTTTTAATAAAATTCCTTCCTTTTTGCCCCTGTTTTGCCACCAGTAAACAGATCCCATGCTACTTTACAGAAAGTTTATAAATCAAATGAGGTACTGGATGTGGGTCGTACCACGTATACTGCATAGAAAGCTTCATAGTTCACTGTTTTTTTATGCCTATGAAGATGTGCTGAGCTAGATTATGTCCTCTTTAGAGTAGCAGTCAAGTCTGGCATTCCCCTCTGACCCTAGGACACAATAACATTCAGTAAAGCGTAGTGAGTGATTGACAGCATGCCAGGAACCCCTGGGCTAAATCAAGGCATTCACCCTTTTCCACCTTGAAACAACAAGCAAACAAGTTTTCTGATAAGAAACTTGAGTTTTATCTTTTTGTTTTTCTTTTTTGCTAGCAAGTTATGGTGATCACATTTAGCATTCTACTGATGTTTGAAGGGAGAGGAAAAGGGGAACAAGAATGGACAACCTTCAGAGCACCATATGTGAAATGTAAATGCCCGAGTAGCACTTGTTCTTTCATTAAACTGTAAGATGCAGTTTTCTAGTGATTTATATTTTGTGACTATAAAAAAGCATAAAGTTTCAGATGAAAAATGAGTAATGAGGCTATGGAAGATGCTTACAACATTATTTTCATTGTTCAAAAAACCAAAACAAGCCTAAGCTAAAATGTCTTGCTGATGTCCCTAAAATATTCCATCTTTGGACAGAACCATTAACTATTTTTAAAAAGTCAATAATCAATAAGTCTTAATTTGTTGCACTGACATTTGTGCAGGTTTCATCTAGATGAAATTAATTAGAAAGAAAATGGTTTCTCAGTGATTGGTGAGAGGAAGAAAGTCCGTGGCAAGATAAGTTTGACCCTGTGTCGTGGAAACATTCTAATGAGGTTAAGCCTCAGCGCATTTGGACCTGGCTGCTTGTTGAGTGTGCACTGACATTTCTAATAGGCTACTAGAGGCTTCCAAAATGGGCCAATGACTTTGACAGCATTTTGTGGGTCATTGGAGTTCTAGGTGGATAGAGATACTGACAGGACTGAACAAAATATAATAGTATGTGAAGTGAACACCTGGGAGAGGAAGTTGTGAAGAACAATATTATAGCAGCCTTCTTTCCACATTTCTTAGCTGAGATACCCTAGTTTCTGAACACTATTAATTGAAGTGAGGTCAGATCCAATTTGCTGGCACCAAAGGGCGCTGTGCTTCTGTGAAGGTCTCTCTGCACAGCCCTGCTTGTGCTTATCACAGGGGATAACCAGGCTCTGAAAAGAGTAGGGAAGAGATATTTATTCCAGAGCCCTCAGGGGATAGCACTTGCTTTAATTGCTCTAGGAACCCTTCCTATCAATGAGACTAATGGGGTTAGACAAAGAAATACTGGCAAGACTTGATCAAATACATTGAATTTCCCCCTAGGCATATAATTAGGTTGAGAGGAGTGATTCAGAGTAAACCCAAGGTATGGGCTCATCATTAACTAGTCTCCAGGGAAGCCCTTAAGGGCCTGGACAAGGAGGTTTTCAGTATTGGGGTTGTGGTGTTGCTTGGAAGAGATGGTCAGTTTTGCTCTGGTCCAGGACCTATGGAGGGGCAGTCGAGGTTGAATGTGGTGGCACTTTTGGTCATAACAGGGCTGTTCTCTTTTGAATTGTCTTTTACAATTTGGACCCCCTTTCTCCTTCCCGTTCTACCTTACTTTCCCTCTTGCGCAGACTCAGAAAAACATCTTTTGTTGAGCAAGGGATCTCCCCCAGCAGGTTAGAAGATGATAGTAGCTAAGTGAACAGTAGGAGACAAGAAGAGTTAAAAAAAAAAAAAAAAAAAACCCTAAGAGTTGTGGTCAAAAAACACAGTTTTTCAAGAATATATCTAAGGTTTATGAAGAGCCTTGGAAAATGAGGGCAGCAAAATAATGTTTTTGGGAATTAGCAGGTTGCCTGCTACCTTTGTGTTCTGTTTAGGGTGATAATAGTAATAAGAATGAACATTTATTTTACAATCACTATGTGCCAGGTATTGTGCTAATCATTTTACATGCACTACTTTTTTTAATGCCCATAGCAACCCAAAAAACACTTTATAGAAAAGGGAACTGAGTTACAGAGTTTAAAGAACAAAGGTCACACAGGTGGCAAGTGGATGAAGCTAGTTTGAGTGCATTTTCCTCGCCAGTTACGTCTGCTATGAGCAGCCCAAGTTGGCCTCACTGAGCAAGAACAACTCTCTCTGTGGTGGAGTATTAAAGGTATAAATGATGGCTTCCCAGAGAGGATGGTAGATAAGATTGCATAAGAAAGTTAGAAAGAAACAGAGTCTGTAAGGATGAAGGGAAATCAATATCAATGATGATGACACATGACAGTGGAGAAAGGAGTTCTGCACCATTAGAGCTACACAGGTGTGAGACTCTTTGCAAGGAGAGTGAATTTAGCCCCTCTAATAACACCCCTCCAGAGGCACCTGGAACACTAGGCAGGCATTGGGGTGACAGGAATCTATATACTACCCCAGGAAAATAGTGTGTCTTGCAAGTTGAGGGAGATGTGAGGGCAGTGGCATGTGCACCTGGATGTGGTTCAGTTGGAGGTGGGCAGCCTTCTAAGATATAAACACACATGAGCTCCCAAGTCTTCTGATTTGCATGCCTTCATTCCCAAATAATAATTTACCCTCCACTGTGTGCCAGGAGCTGGGGAGACAAAAGCAAATAAGGCAGCAACTTTGCCTTCAAGGTGTTCAGGGTTAAAAAGACATAAAACCAAACATTGCAGAAGAAGGAAACCTGATAATGATGTTATAGTGGAGGTATAGGAATGTCACAGTTCAGTGCTAGAGGTCAGTTCCACTTGAGGTGGTGTTTGAAGTCCTTCAGAAAATGTGATAGCTAAGAATAAAGAGGAATACCAGGTGGAAGCTGGGAAGAGGGAAGGACATTTTGGGAAGAAGAAAGGGAAACAGCGTGTTCAAAAGGATTTGCAAATTCTGGGTAGGAAGTTGAAAGTCTTGAGAGCAGAGAGAGAATTTTCTTCTTCTATGTTGGTCTGTTAAAAGAAAGGAGGCCATGGTCAGTGAAGAATAGACTATAGATGATATCAAAGAGAAGAATTTGCTTTCCCAACCCATTTGAGAATTGATGGATAATGACCAAGGACACATTCTAAGGCTGTGTTTAATTAATGACCCATAGGTTTGCTATAGAGACTTTCAGCCCAAGTATTAGGAGAGAGAGAGAGAAAACACCTAGGCAAGCTTGGAATACTCAGAAGGACCATGTGTATGATCCCTAAGGAAAAAGCAACATGGTTCAATGGAAGGAGTATATCATGGGAAGTCAGATAATAGAGTTTTAACTCAGGTTTTACAATGAATTTTGTTAAGTAACCTTGTATAACTGATTTTCCCCCTCTGGGTCTTGGTTTCACTTCACTTCCTTAAAATGAAGGAGTAGGAGCAGATGACCAAAATGTTCCTTAGCTGTGATATATTCTTATTTTCTCTTATTCGGATTCTCTGGGAAATGGATTGGAAAAAACACAGTTTTTGTAGGACCTCGGCAAGAGAGGAAACACACACAAATTTAACACTAAAGAGTAAAGGCATTCCACTAGACATAGTTGAGACCTGTTGCTTAGTGCCACGGGATTGACAGAACCAGACGGCATTGAGAAAAGGAAGAGGTGGAGCCTTGCAGTTTCTTAAGAAAGGCTACTCCTACAAGAAATCTTGCGCAAACTGAAGAGGAGCTTTCAGGTAAGTTCCTTCCTCAGAAGAGAGGAGCAGAGCTTTTATAGTCAACACTGCAGCTCAGCCAGTGAAAGAGAGTCTGCAGGGCGAGGCTTGAAATATGGGACCTGAGGCCAGTAAGTGCAGGGTTGAGGGCTTCCCCACCTTTGCTGGAAACTGGATGTCTGTTAAATTCTTGGCATAATCTGCAATTTAAACCCTTAGGGAGTAGAGACGGCTGTGAGAGGATCTGCTCCTCTGAACTCAATTCTGGTCAAAAGGCCTAGGGAAAATATGCTCAAGGCAACAGGAAAAAATGTTCCTTAAAAAATAAACTTTGTGGAGTAAAAAGTTTAAGAAATGAGTAGCTCCATTACTGGGGAAAATTAGTGCAACAGTCTAAAAAAGAATAACTCTTATTCGTTTTCCATGTTGAGCCTCACCAAAACCCTACGGGATGGGTTGATTTTACATATGAAAAAGCAAGCGCAGAATGCAAAGCTCTGGGCAAGAACCTGGTCTTCTGATGCTCTATGCCCTACCCTTTCTGGGGCATCATCCTGCTGCCCTGATCATAGTTGGAGGAAATTGCATGGATAGACACATTTTTATCCAATATAAAACAAGGACTTTCTTATTACATAAATATTTGGAAAACATAGATAAGAATAAAGAAGAAAATTAAACACACTCTATCCAGAGATAACCAGCATTCGTTTTTTTAGATGTTTCCCCCCAACTTCTTATTTTGAAAAAATTCTAAGCTACAAATGTTGACAGGTAATGAACCCCTGTTAACTCTTCACCCAGATTCACCAGTTGTTAACATATTGTGGGGTTAGCCTTATCTATCTTTGCTTCACTATTTGGAAGTAATGGAAAGACCTGACATTTTGCCCCTTAATCTTTCAGCATGTGTATCATTAGAAGAAGTTCATATCTCTACTAAGCCACGGTAACATTATCACATCCCAAAATTTAATATTCATCTAGTAATTTTATCTAAGAACTAGTCTATTTTCAAATTCTCCAATGGTCCCCCAAATGTCCATTGTAACCTTTTAATTTTCATTGAAGAGCTAATTGAGTTTCGTGTATTACATTTATTATCATGTATCTAGTTTCCTTTAAATAGTCCTACCTTTTAATTCTTTCATAATGTTGACATTTTTGGAGCATTCAAAGCAGTCCTCTCTGAATAATTTTCAGATTTTGTTGTCATTATTAGATTAATGTTAAACAGTTTTGGCAAGAATACTACGTAGATGATGCTTTGTATAATACATTTTGGAGATTTAATTTTCTATACTAAACCTATATTGTTTCTCTAATCAGAAAACATAATAACACTTATTATTGTTTAAAAGAGCTTTAAAAAATATTTCAACAATAGCGTAACACTTAGTGTCTGGCACTATGCCGAATGTATTTAATAAATTTATAAATAAATTTGGGAACTGCCTTGACTGGTAGTGAGCCTCTTGTCTTTGGAAGTATTCAAATGGAGGTTGAATGACCCCTGAAGAAATGAGTTGAAGAGGGGATTTGGCATTGAAAGGAAGGCTTCCCCTTTGGTGGCTTTTCTGGAAAGATTTCCTCTCATATTTTAAATTAGAGCTTAATATGAACATCATTGTTCTGTGTTCTACTATTTTTCTCTCTCCCTCTGTTGCTGAGTCCCTGTTTTCTCTCTTTCAACATCATTTTCTTAGTTGCACTTCTCAGTGCTGTACAAGTCTTTTCAGCCTGTGACATCAAGAATGTCCTTTCATGATCTTTTGGAACAAAAGGGGAGTTAAACTGTCCCAAGGAAAATTATGCAATAAACTTAGCCTAGGGGAGAGCAGTTTGTTCCAGAAAACTACTTCAGGATGCCCAAGTGGGAATCTCTCAGCTGAAAGATGTGAAGAGTCCCAGAAGTGGTGGGGTGGTACCGGGAAGACACCTACACTAGGTTTCTTGTGAGGTTGTTTCTGCCACATTTCCTAGTTTTATCAACAAATTCTGGGCCCTGGGTTGACTTTAATTTCAAAGAGTCGTTTTGGAGTTTGTGCCTCTGCCTTTCCATAGTGCATGGAAAGAATAGCTTGCATCTGCCTGTGTGGGGCTGTTACCTTATTCCACTGGCTTTTTTTTTTTTTTTCCTGGGCTTGCCTGGGTAATGTTCTTCCCTTACAAATTTCATCTCACCGCACTGTGCATCGAAACGACGCAGTTATGGAGCGCACAGGGAAAAAAATTATAATGCCATTAAAAGTTATCATAAATTTCAGATCAGCATCACTTCTAATCCGATACACAATTTTACTGCCTCTATAAAGTAGGTGATTTGCAGTGGTCTGAGGCGTCTCCTGGAGCGTTTTACTTCTTTTTAAATTAAACACACCAACTTTGTGCTGAATTCAGAGTGTGGACATAAAAAAGGGGGTAAAAAGGAGAGGGAAAAATATAGTGCTGGTATATGTGTGAGGGGCTATGTGTATTGAACATATATATGTATATAAAAACTCCTAGGAAATTAAACAGAATATAAGGGGCTTGATTTTACTGGTTGGAAGGTTACATTGATTATTTCTTTGAGGTATACTAACTCTTCTTGGAAGTTTAGGACATCAGAAGTTGTCATTTACTAAATGGCTACCTAATATTCTAAAATGTAATGTCTCCAGCAAGGGCTGACCTGTTAGCCTATGTGCAAATGTGTATACTTGTGTATATAGAAAGAGGTGGTACACACCCAAGTGCTAGTACAAAAGAGAACGTTATTCATAAGGTTTCTGGTTGAAAGAATTTAATTGAATTGTGACATTTCTTCTCCCCCACGTCCATGCTCAGTCGGTTGTTCTTAGCTACTAAGAATGCTAAGTTTACTGAGTACCTACTTTATGCAATACTCTGTGCAATACTGAAGATACAAAGAAAAAAACAACCATAGGTCTACCTGCAAGAAAGTCACAGTCTAGAGTGGGAAGTTTACAGGAAGTAAACTCATGATGACAGTAGAGCTTGTTCAGTGCTATGATAGAGGAGAGCACTCACTTGGAGTGCACAGAGGAGTGGAAGACATACGCCTGTCATGTATTGTTGGGCCTGGTGGCCTGCACCTCTAAAAGCAGCTACTTGGGAGGCTGAAGTGGGAGGATTGCTTGAGGCCAGGAGTACAAGGCTGTATTGCACTATAATCACATCTATGAATAGCCACTGCACTGTAGCCTGGGCAACGTAGTGAGACCCTGTCTCTAAAAATAAAACTAAATAAAAATGTATTAAACTGTAGCTACTGTATGTCATTCATTCCCATGTCTTGCCTCTAGAGCTTGCACAGTTCCTAGAGCAGGCAAAAATGAACTTCGTATATTTTGAATGAATGAAGCTATTGATACAAAATGAATAACAGCATCCAGCGTGCAAGGCATTTTTACATTGGAAAGGTGTTCTTACTTAGGTTATGTCCTTTAATCCTTTACAATGAAGTAGGCATTATTTCAACTTTGCAGATGAGGAAACAGAGACTCTATGGGAGAAAGCAGTTTTCCCCAAAGTATTTATTGGACTGGACCAAATCCAGATCATATCTTGAGACGTATCCCCTGTAAATAAAAAAGGACTACTGTGCCTGTGCCTGTCAGCACATTATAATTTCTTTTAGTCTCACTGCAACCCTACAAGGTAGATACTATTATTTACCAAAGTGTCAGTCAACACTTGGCAAAGGAGCTTTGCCAAAGAAGCTCCTGATATAAAATGAAATCTATTGTGAACTCTAACCTATTAACTAATTAATGCATTTAATAAATTAATTTATCAAATATTTGTTAAATACCTACAAATGTACTAGATACTCTGCTATGTGTCCATTAGAGCACTATTTCTTTTAATCAAGTCATACTATCTTACCTGAAACATACAGATGTTTAACCTTTAAGTGAAAATAAATAACAAAGAGTTTGGCGATGGCTTTTCCCTCCTGTGAGTATTGGGTGATATTTAGTTTTGACATGTAGCTAAAATTCTGTTTGAATACACTGGAACGGATTACATTTGGAATAGATGGGAAGTCTTGCATCTTGCGCAGTTTAGGGGGACTTCTTGAAGAGAATGAAGCTTTGACCTGACCTTTAAGACTGAATTTAGCTGGCCTTGGGGGAAGAAGAGCAGTTTCAGCTGTGGGACTATGTCCTATGTCTGGCCAGTTGTTAATGCTCTTGACATATGTGCGTTTGCCATCTTACTGAGGGAGGCTGGGACTCATGACTGCCTGAGGTCATGAGCTTAAATAAAAGTACAATTGGCAGTGATAGAAGTAGGGCCGGAAAAAAAGTATTAATTAGTCTTTAATTAATGAATTTATTAATTCAACAATAATTCATTTCACTTTGTAAGGATTACTTTAAAACTAGTTTTAAATAGCTTTCAGATTCTTTGGTGAAATAATCCAACTGTGCTGAGGAAATATGGGTAGAATTTTTTAAAATGGCATTTTATTCTCCAATTCAAATTAATGAACAATTTCAGTTAGCAACAGATATTAGCATTGCTTCATAGAGAAGAACATAAATTTATTATACATGCAATTCTATATAACAGATTAGAACAGCTAGAAAGTGTTTAACTGCAAGTAACAGAAAAACTAACTTACAGTGTATCCTTATAAGTCCATCCATCTCTGGACATTTTTAAGCAAATCCTAGACATAAAACTTCAGTGAGTATACTGAAATGCTTGGCCGAAGGTAATGGCCTTGCTATCACAGGTCTTGGAGGAAAGATTCTAATCAATAGGCAAAGTCAGCAATTTGTTGTGTAGGAACAGTAGTTCTGAGTATGGAGGCCTGTATAAGAGTTCTGACTCTGCCATTTACCAGCTGCGTGATCTTGGGCTAACTTGCCAGCTCAGCCTCTCTGAGCCTCTATTTAGTCATAGATAGAAGGGATATAATAACACTCTAATCACAAATTTGTTGCAGAGTTCAGATAGACTTTTGTTATGCTTCATAATTATGAAAAGTTTAGCTAGTGATCTATTTTAGTTAACAACTTGGTTAAAAATGAGTACTATAGTTATACAACTGGGATTCTATAATGAAAAATTACTGAATAAAATGTTTTTCCCCTCTACTACCTTTTTAAAAAACAGGACAGCATAGATTTGTCATTTTCTTTGTCAGGGAACTTGCATGATGAACATGTCTACATCTTCAGGGCAAATTTTGATGATCTCAATGTCAGTTTTTTGTTAAATGGAAATAACTAAGAATCCACCACTCAGTGGGAAATATCAGACCTCTCTCTCTCTTTTAAAACTAGCTTTATTGAGGTCTAATTGGCATACAATAAACTGCACATATTTAAAGCTCACAATTTGATAAGTTTGACATATGTATATACCCATGAAACCATCACCACAGTGAAAATAATGACTATATCCCTCTCCTCCAAATGTTTCTTTCTGGCTATTTTAAATTTTTCCTTTTCATCCCTTCCTACCTCACCCTGCCCCCATCTCCAGTCAGATCTATTATCTAGAATTTTATATAAATGTAATTATATAGTATTTACTCTTTCGTTGTCTTGATTCTTTCACTTAGCATGATTATTTTGAGATTCATTCATGTGGTTGCATGTATCACTAGTTCATTTCTTTTTATTTATAAGCAATATTTCATTGTATAAATGTATCAGTGTGTATGTATCCATTCACCTGCCAATGGAAATTTGGGTTGTTTCTAGTTCTCAACTATTACAAATAAAGCTATTATGAACATTTATACACAAATATTTGTGTGTACATATGTGCTTTATTTCTTGTGTAGATTCATCTTTCCATGTGGTTTATTTTCTTTCTGTGTAAAGGATTTCTTTCACAATTTTATTTTTGGTAGTGCAGGTCTGTTGGCTATTAATTATTTCAGCCTTTGTTTCTCAACAATCTGTTTTTCCTATTTTCCCTTTTTCAAATCCATTTGTTTTGAAAGATATTCTTGCTTGATATAGCATTCTAAGTAGATTTGTTTTCCTTTAGTACTTTAAAGATTGATGCACTATCTTGTTGCTTATATTGCTTCCGTTAAGAAATCTGCTGTCATCCTTATTTTTATTCCTTTGTATGTGATTTTTTTTCCTCTGGCTTTTTTTTTTAAAAGCTTCCTCTTTATGATTAATTTTCAGCAATCTGATTATGAAGTGACTTGATGTAGTTTTCTTCATGTTTCTTGTGCTTGGATTTATTGAGTTTTTGTATGTGTGGGTTTATAGTTTTTATCAAATCTGGAAAATTTTCAGACACTATATCTTCAAATGTTTTTTCTTCTTTCACTCCTATCTTGATGGACTCCAGTTACACATATGAATAGACTCCTGAATGTGTCCTTCAGCTCACTGATGCCATTTTAAAAACTGTTATTATTTTATCTTTGTACTCATTTGGAATAGTTTCTACTGTTATGTTTTTAAGCCTACTAATCTTTTCTTCTGCTGTTAATCACCCCACCCCTGACCTCTCGCCCTCTTTCTGTAATCTTAGACATTGCAGTTACTATCTTAAGATATCTGACTTGGATCTTTTAAAAAATCCTCTATGTTTCTACTTAGGTTTTTGATGTGTTGAATAAAAACCATTTTAATGTATTTTACTACTGACTCCAGGGTCTATGATCAGTATAAGCTGGTGTTGATTGATTAACTTTTCTCCTCATTTGAGTTGTATTTTCCTGCATACATGATAATTTTTCCTTTTCATGAATGGTAATTTTTGATTTGATGACAGACATTATGTATTTTCTCTTGTTCAGTGCTAGACATATTCTTAAATTTTGTTTGGGATTCAGATAAGTTAAACAGTTTGATCTTTTGAGGTCTTGTTTTTAAGAATTGTTAGGTGGGACCAGAGCAATTTAGCTTATTTGTTTGAGTGTATTCCTGGACCTTTTAGTCAGTTCAGTTGAGCTATATGTTTATCTCTTTGCCACTACAGCACGGTCTTGACTTCTCTAGCTTTGTATCAAGTCTTAAAATTGGCTAGTATGAGTCCCTTCAGATTCATTAAAAAAAAATTTTAAATTTATTCTGAAATATTTGCCTTTTTAAATATATTTTAGAGTCAGCTTGTTTATATCTACAAAGATGACTACTGGGATTTTGATCATAATTGTGTTAAATCTATAGATCATTTTGGGGGTGGATTACCATCTTTTTTGTTTGAATCTTCCAATCCATTAATGTGGTGTGCCTCTTCACTTATTTGGTTTTTTTGATTCCTTTATTAACACTTCACTCTCCTCTCCTCTGCCACCTTTTATTATTGTCCCAAATCTCCTGAGGTTCTCTTTATTTTTTTAAATCTATTTTTCTCTTTGTTGTTCTGATTAGATAATTTCTATTGAACTGTCTTCAAGTTTGATGACCCTTTACTCTGTCATCTCCATTGTGCTACTGAACCCACCCAGTGAGTTTTTAATTTCAGTTATAATATTTTTAAATTCTAAAATTTTCATTTGGCTTTTCCTTGTATCTTGTTTCCTTGCTGAGACTTTTTATTTTTCCATTTGTTCCAAGGAAAACTATGATTAGTTTTTGGGGATTCTTTTTTAAAAAATATAAAGCAGCTGCTCTAAAGGTTTTGTCAGCTATTTCCAACATCTGTGTCATCTTAATGTCGGTGTCTTTGATTGTCTTTGAGATTTTCCTTGTTTATCATATGCTGAGTAATTTTGCATTGTATCCTAGATGTTTTGAATATAAGACTCTGTGAGTCTTCTTAAATCCTGTGGAGATTGCCAATATTTTGTTCTTGCAGGCAATGAACCTGGATAGGTTCAGGCTGTTAGTTCCAATCTACCTTCTGTAGGTTGTGCTTTCAATATTTGTTAAAATGTCAAAGCCTTTAGTGAATTTGACTTATGTGTGTGCCACCCAGAGGCTAATCTGAAGTCTAGGTGATGGTCTATCTGTCCAGTTCCCAAATTCTTTGTTATGCTGTTTAGAATTAGATCCAAGCATGCTTAGAGGTGAGCAACTATATGGGTTTGCTTTCCCAAGCTCCTCTGTCTTGGCCATCTTCCTGGTACTTTCTTGTTCTCTGGGGCTCCTTTTTTCAGTCCTACACCCAGAAAGCTGGGGCTTTAGTTACCCTGCCTGCTGCCTTCCTCTGATACTGCTCCTATGTCCAGAACCAGGTGACAAGGTGGGGGAGGGGTCCTTGGAGAGAGAGAGAGAGAGAGAGAGAGAGAGATTGGGAGTTTGCCCCATCCTCTTGGGAACACACCACCATTAGTAGGAGAAGATTATCATCCTCTTGGTTTTGGCTCGACTTCTGTTGCTGCCTTTGCTGCTGCCAACATGGGCTTACTTGGAGGCAGAGATGCTCAAGAATAGAGAAAGGAAAAATAAAGCAGGGATTTCCACACTCTATCTGAACATTGAAAATTCTCTTTTCCACTCCTGGAGCCAGAACTAGAGAGCTGCTCATGGAGGTTTCTCTGTACCTGAGTGTCCATTTCTAGGTTTTGGACTAAATTGAGATGAGACTGGGGGAAATCAGTGGAACAAAAATATAACTTCACTGCTTCTTCAGTGATACTTTGAATTCTGGTCAACCTGCTACTATTTAGTTTTTAAATGGCTTCTCCATGCAATTGTCCAGGTTTTAAAGCTGCATTCAATGGGAGAACAATGTAGAGAGTGCTTGCTTCATCTTACCTGAAACCAGATACTTCAACTCTATTTTTATATTAGTTGCTCCTATTATTCCTATAACACTTATAATTCTAATGTTGCTTATTCAATTTCTGGCTTCAAAGGAATAGTAATTTTCTATTTTATTTTTCATGTTTCCTCTACATTTTTAAAATTTTTAATTTTTGTGGGTACATAGGTATATATATTTATGGGGTACATGAGATGCTTTAACACAGGCATGCAATGTGTAATAATCACATCATGGATGATGGGGTATCCATCCCCTCAAGCATTTATCTTTTGTGTTGCAGACAATCCAATTATACTCTTTCAGTTATTTTTTATTTTTGAAATTTAAAATGTAAAATTTTTGTGTTTCCTCCACATTCTAAGAGAGCTTCTCAAGTTTTCCTTCTATATGAATAATTTAATATTTTAAAAGAAATAGTTCTTTTTATTGTGTCAAAGGAGAAAATGCTGCTAATTAATTTTTGATATCTTTTCAATAATTCCTCACCTCACCTATCTCCCTTTTTATCTCTTCTGGATTCATTTGTGCATCATGAGTTTCTGTTTCTCTTCCATTGAGGTCCAATCTTGTATCCAATAAGAATGTTGAACAAGTTTCTAGGAATATATTCTAGGTCCTACAGGAAGTCATTTTCATAGTCCTGTCTTGCTTTGGACCTTGAGGATGCCTTCTCTCCCTTTCTTTTTCTTTCTTTTCTTTCTTTCTTTCTTTTTCTTTCTTCTTTCTCTTTCTTTCTCTTTCTTTCTTTCTTTCCTTCCTTCCCTTCCTTCCTTCCCTTCCTTCCTTTCCTTCCTTCCTTCCTTTCCTTCCTTCCTTCCTTCCTTCCTTCCTTCCTTCCTTCCTTCCTTCCTTCCTTCCTTCCTTTCTTCTTTCTTAATTTCCTTTTGTAACAACAGTTTCTCCCTTTAGGAAAAAGAGATTGTTTTAAATGTAGTGTCTGCCAATAGGTCCAATACATAAGTTCCAACAGCCTCTGTCTCAACTCACTCTTAAGTTAAATTCCCTTTTTAATCTTCCTCAGAGGGTAAGTTGATATAGGTATCTCCTGAACAAATTCCCAGTGCCCAGTGGGCTTTTCTCCAAGGTGGGGTTGACAGATTTAGCAAGTAAAAATGCCGAACACCCAGTTAAATTTGAATTTCAGAAGTATAAAACATACTTCTATTAAAAATTATTTACTTTTATTTGAAGTTCAAATTTAACTGGATGACCTGTATTTTATTTGGCAGCTATAATCCAAAGTGATTGGGCCATTATTAAATAGGATCATCTCCCATTCTTTCTATTTATCACCCTAACAGGGGGATCAGAGAGAGTTCATGAAAAGTCACAATCACCACGAGGCATTGCCACTCATATCTTCCTGTCTCCTTCTCTATAAGAGAGAAAAATATTTGTGGTTTTTTTTTTCTGAGAAGTCACAGGTGGTTTAATTTAGGCTAATAAAGAAATGAATATTATTCATGAGCGTGATCATTCACATTGATCATTCTTACATTTTTGTAAGACTCTGATGCCAGTCTTAGAAGATCCTACTTTAAAATTGTAGATTACGCAAAAATCAGAGCCAAATTCCTAGAGATGAGTTTGAAAATCATGATCTCTGGTATGCAGGCTAGAGAGTGAACAGTGTGAAGACAAAAACAAACCAGAACAAAAACAAAAAGGACTGCTAAATAATAGAGATAGAAAGGAGATAGAGATGATTTGGACAGTTTATTATCTTCAACGAAGTTTTTAAGCAGTTTTGGAACAGTTGGTGTAGGATGGGGACAAGCTTAGAACAAATGAAACAATGAGCAAACTAAGATGCAAATAACTATATGCTCCAGAGTGTATGTGCAGGCTTGGAGAGCTATAGGAAAAACAGTCTGTGTGTGCTTCAGAGCCAAGGCACAGAGTGTGGCTGGCTTATTTAGGTTTGGGGAAGTCTGAGTTGAACTTTAAATAATAGAAACTAAGATATGTGTGAGCTACTGTTTAAGGCTTTGTCAGCTCCTCTGACAGACAAAGGGTTAATAGCCTTAATCTGTAAGGAACGCCTATCAATCAATAAGAAGAAGATAAGTCTAGCAATTGAAAAATGGGCAGAAGACATGAATAAATGACAAAAGAAAAAATACAAGTGGATAATAAATGTCTGAAAAATGCCTAACATCATCAGTATTCAGTGATAAGCAAATAAAAACAAGATACAATTTTCTGCCTACTTAATTGGGAAATACTTTTAAAGTGGTTTAAATGGAAATATCCAGTATTGGTGAGAAGCAGATGGGCACCCTTACACACTTCTGTGGGAGGCTAAATTGATTCCATATCTCTGAAGATACATTTAGAAATAGTATATGCCAAAAACTTTAAAATGGTTTTAAACTTTTGATGAGGTAATAATACCTTTGGGAATTTATCTTTAGGAAATAATTAAAGATGCAAATAAGGATCTATGTACAAAGAAATTCTTTGTGGTGTAATTTACAAACAAGCACAAAAAATAAACTACCTATATCTTCTACAGAGAAGAAATGGAATAGGCATATAGTGGGTGGGATGGTAGGGAGCTGTCAGAAGTTATGCTGTCAGAGAATGTTTAACCACACAGGAAAATGCTAAAGAGTCATTGTGAAGTCAGAAATGAGCAAAAACATCAAAAAGCCATATACATACATATTATAAATCTAATATTATGGGAAAATAGATAACTATATAGGAATATACTTAAAAGATTCTCTAAAATGTTTATAGATGACTTTAGGAAGTAGGATTATGAATAATTTAAATTTTCATGTATATGATAATATCTATTAACTGATACTAATTTTTCTATTCTTTTTTCAAAGAACAAACATTACCTTCACAATCAGAAAGAAAGGAATAAATGCTATCTTGAAAAAAATAGATATCATTTTGGCAAGAATAAGTAACAAAATAATTACTTAACAATTTGTGTTGATAAAATAACTGCTGAAGTTAATATCTGGTTTTTGAACTGGTTGATAAGGTGTTGTCTATACATGGTGCAGCAGGATTTTTGTCTTTGGAAGTTTTGAAGTTGCTGGTTACAGCCAGCTAAGAAATAACTTATGACATGTATATTCTATAAATCCTTTTTTCAACCCTCAAGTTTAGGTAGCATCTTATCTTTGCGAAGGTATTGTTTTTTCCTTTGTGAGGGAGTTCTTTTCTGCTCTGAGCTATTCTTGGGTCAGTGTGCTCTGTGTAGCTCTGAGCATTTTTCAGGGACCTTGACTAATTCATCTTGAGTTCAGTGGCCTAGCTGTGTTGATGACATACAGCAGGTGCCCAATGTTGATTGAATGGTGAGTGAATGAATAAATAAATACAGGGAAATAATTCTCACTATGTATTAGAAAATGAAATGTAGTACCCTTACAGGAATAGTAGTTTCAGAGAGTTTTAACTACCAACTCAGTAGAATTAAAGAGACACTAGACATTGGAATTGTTCAGATTTGGGGTTAAATGCAGGCTTTGTTACTTCATTGCTGTGTGATGCTGGGCAAATCATTTAACGTATTTGGGCTTAAGTTTCTTGATCTGTAAGATGAGGTTGATGTTTTCTCTCTTCCTGTGAGGATTAAAAGAGCTAATGAGTGCATTACAGAGGACTTCATACAGTTCCTGGTGTATAATTCTTGCTCAATTAATAGTAGCTAATAAGGATAATCATCACAAGTGATGTCATAACTGATAAAATAATTGCTATATAAAATCCTCAATCAACTGATTTAATGGATTTCTTCCTTAAACAGATTAGTTTCCTTTTCTTTTTGAATTCACTGTAATGATTTGGATATACATGCGACCCAAAAGACATCCACAGCAACAGAACCATCTTTCACTACCCCTTCCTCTAATTTTTTCCTCCAGCAAATTGCCCATTTCTAAAATTGTGAGCCTCAAGAACTGACTGATGTGTTGACTTGGTATCTTGACCTTATCTTACTTTACACTAATTATGCTTATTTATTTATTTATTTTTAATTGAATCAGGGTCTTGCTCTGTCACCCACGCTGGAGTGCAGTGACGCAATCACAGCTCACTGCAGCCTTAAACTCCTAAGCTCAAGGGATCCTCCTGCCTTAGCCTCCCAAAGTGCTGGGATTATAGGCATGAGCCACCATGCATGGCCTAGTGGCTTTCAAAGTAGCTAAAGAATGTGGCTGAAGCCCACCCTTTGTTCCGGTGCTTTTTCCTCTTTGGTTCTAGCACTGGAAAATGGTGGGCAGTGCCTTGCGTGGCTCTGTGTTTGGCATATTTTGGAAAGGGGCCAGACTCCCAAACACCTGGCTGGGAAGTGAATATCTGGGTCTCCTCCTGCAGGGCGCCCACCAGCTGTTTGTAAGGAGACACTTAGCTGAGATTTGGAAATCGTAACCCTGTATTTTGGTCTCCTGCGGTCTCAAAGAAATGAAATTCTGGAAGGGAGTCTGGCAGGGCCCACTGCAGTCTTTCTCTGAGACACTTATTTTCTTTGTTTGAATTTCAAGGTTAAAAAAGTCAGGATTCAAGGATAGCTCTGAAAGATCAACTGGTAAATGTGTTAACAGTGAAAGAAAAAGAAAGCCAAATGAATGCTAAAACCTTTTTTGAAGCAGAACAGAAACAAAGCTTTTGATCCTTTATCACGGAACAACAAAAACATTCTCATGATCTACATGTGTTCTGAGTGTTCCTATATCCGTCTATGTGCACACGGGTGTCCGTATGCCCATGCTCAGACACACATGGTCAGATTCACACACACTTCCATTTCTCTAAAAGCTGTATTTCCTCCCCCTGAAGATTTTTCCTTTTTATTTATTTCTTTTCTTTTTTCTTCTTCTCTCTATTTTTTTGATATTTCAAAGCTGGCAGTTCAGGAAATGGCTGGAACTGCCACATCTCTGTTCTTGTTAAAGAAATCAATGCTAATCCTATTACTGGCAGTTATCACCTATCCCAGAACTCACAGCTAAAAGAAAAAAACACACTGAGATGTCAGAGTAAGAAAAAAGGACTGAGAAGGAGGGGGGCGCCCTTCATTCACTTTCAAATAGTGATTGTTTTTTCTCTCTCTTCTTTTTTGATCATCTTTTTTTCTCATGTTAACAGAGAGACCAAACTACAAAACACCTGTGTTCACACAACATTATGGATCTGATTTAAAACTACATGAGTAAGAGAATAGCTCTAATTTAGATTTATCTTTCTCCAGCATGCTTTGACAAAGCACTGATAAATAATATTTATTATGGCTCAGTTTTACTAATAACAATAACAATAACACATACCATTTAATGGTCACTGCAGGCCCTGTGCTAGGGGCTTTCTGCAGACCATCTCACGTAATACAAAACACCTATGAGCTAGGAATGATAAGCCTTCCCATTTTAGAGATTTAGAGACTAAAACATGAGGTTTCTCATTCGCGCCAAGTCACATAGGTAAGGAGAGGTGGAATCTGGTTTGCATGGAGACCTGCTGTGTGCAGTATGGTACCCAAGCTCTTCATATGGTCTTCCTCCACCTCCAGCCTTCCTCAGCAGGGCAGTGTGGGAAGTGACAGGGAAACATTTAAAATAGGGAATTTGCTGAGATTTCAGGAAGTTTTTTGTCAAGTCAAACAAACTTGATACCTTTGCATTCCTCCCTTCTAACACTAAAGGCCATTCCCACATATGCAGCTCTCATTCCTGCCTTTGAGATCTAGCCAAATCATCAGATGGACCCAGGTATATATGACCTGGGAATCTTTACAAAATAACATGAGAGAGCTAATTCGACTGGATTAACAGGCACCAGAGTCCTTAAGTTGACAACTTGCACATCTCTTGGACCGAGGCTTAAAACTTTGAGTAGCAAAGTTAGAGGCAGTTAGAGCAGTGGGGATGTCACCTGGGAGCTTATTAGAACTGTAGAATCAAAATCTGCATTTTTCACAAGACTTCCAAGGTGACTTGTTTGCACATTTGAGAAGTACTGGTCTATGATAGTCTCTGTCCTGCTGAAGAAAACCCCTAAAGTTAGGACCCTGTCTTTTCCTCTGGGCACCCAGCACCATGTTTGTCATTCAATGGGGGCACAAAAAGTGTTCAACAAACGAACAAATGAACCACTTACTTTGCCAATTGATGAGGAAGGATGATTCATGAGAACTACTCACATTCAGAAACTGTGATATAGTTGGTCCAAGGGTAACTGAAGAGGAGCACACACTTTATTCTGTCCCTAGGAATACTCGTAGGCTCTTTGCTAGCTTGTTTGTATCTGGTGTTCCTGTGAATATTCATTGCTTCACTAGTCCATTAATCAATTCATTGATGTTTATTGAGTTGCCAGGAACCATGCTGAGCCATGTGACCACAAGAAAAGGCAGGAATATTTTGTGACATAGGGAGAAAATGGCATTTACTTCTCTGGGGGAGAGGATGAAGAAGTAACTTGTTTTCTGGGTTATTAAATGTCTTCTGCCAATAGGAAGGATTGTTCTGGGCTGAATTCCTGTTCCTTAGGGACTATTTTCCCCCAAGATAAGAATGAATAATTATAATAAAAGTTGCCAGGAACTATATTAAATGCTTTACATAAATTATCCAATTCAATCCTCGTATACTTTGTTGCCATTTTGCAAATGTGGATTCCCAGACCTAGGAGAGGAGTAAGTGGCAGAATCAGAATCTGAACACAGGTTTTTCTGATTCTGGAGCTCATGTTTCTAACCACTGCCTAATTCTGATGTCAACATTAATAATATATTTCATATTACTGTTGGTTTCTCCTATAAGAGAGACAAAAATATTAATGTATAACAGGGACAAAAATGATAACTGTATTGCTTCTTGCCATCTCCCCTTTTGCCTTTTGCTTCTGAGAAGAAAGAATTTTCTTCCTTGTTGCACAGAATCCAGGTAAAAAAATTAAGCAAGAGGTCTTTTTAAATTAAAGAAATCAGCGAAGCTAGAGGGAAAGCATAATAAGGACCTGAAAGAGACCATAATTTGAAAGAGAGAGAGGGAAGGATACACAGATTATAGATAATGGTCACTTGGTATCAGTGAGCATGTTGAAAGGTTGGATGTTGAGAGCAAAACTGAAAGAAATATTTGAGGACCAGCTGTGCCCTATGTGAAGGACACCTAGAGAGGCAGTCCTGCAGACAGAGAAGTTTAAAATTTTTATACTTTAATTAAATTGCACATCTCCCTTTGACATTTTTTGAGATACCTAGCAAAATTTAAAATAGTTCATATAGTACAAAGAATGAACTACATGGGGCCATGGGCTTTATTCAGGTTATAGTCCTAATTATTTATTATAAAATTTCTATCCATGGCTTAGATATTCTAATATTTAATAGGCATGTACTGTAGATGAGGCCTCTGTGAGCTCTGCTGGTGGTGCTAAAATATTTTATTCTTTTATGTTTTATTTGTGTTCTGTAATTGCTTTAGGGCAAATATTTCAATGTTTAATTTATATTACGAAATTGTCTTAAGAGTTTGAGTATTAGAAAACAAAAAATTTCCCCATAGGACATTTTACTTCAGCTTCTTCTGCCCAGCTGTACTGATTTTAGATGCCCACCACCTCACTTGTAACATGACAAAGTAGAGAGAACTTTGTACTGGGAGTCAGGGGCAGGAGAAAATGAGCCAGAGCCCACAAGGCCAAACATTATCACATTTCCTCACACAATCTAGAATTGCTGCCTTACTCGGTTCCCTTAATTTTAAAAACCAAATAAGAAGGAATTTATCATACCACTGTTAAACGCATATGATTGCCTTCATGGGGAAGATCTAATTCTCAGGACAGAGAGGTAAAAAATGCTGTTAAGTGTGACAAGCCCAAAGGCCATGCTGATCACTGTGATGCATTTGATTTAATCCTGGATGTTGGGGGACTTAGGAAGCTCAGCTCAGCTGATGGCCCAAGCTCTCCCAACAGCTTATGAAATGCTAATATAGTTAGTTGGATGATCTCATCTCAGTCAAGAGTGCAGAGAAGAACCAGGCTATTATATCTTAATCATCCCAACAATCATGCCAGCTAAGATTTACATAGTTTCAAAATTGGTTCATTCATTTAACTACCACCACCACCAAAACCAAAACAGCAATATTTCTTAAAGATTAGATACTATTCAGTTTCTCATCATCCTGTACTTTCGCTGCCCGAATAGCTTCCAAACTATTTTCTTGTCTCCAGTCTTCTGCTGCCTCATCTTTCCACTCCAAATTAACCTTTTATACTAATATCAGAGTGAAAATAGCATGTAAACAATAACAAATCCCATGTGCTATTCCTTTGTTTTAAACCTTCTATGGCTTCTTATTATCTATGTGATAAAAGCCATAATTCTTTGGATGGAATTAATGGCCCTTTTACTGTGGCCGCAACTTCTCTTCCATTAAGCAACGATAACAAACTCTTGCCTGTGCTCTCCTGTAGGCAATGGTTAGCCTTATACATTCTAAAGTAGGGGAATGCCATGATCAGGTCTGGGTTTGAGATGGAACAGTATGATGACCAGTAGGAGACAGATGCGGAGTGGGGAGTAGAAACAAGGAGAGTAATTAAGGAGAAACTGGTGAAATAGCCCAGTTGAGAGAGATCCAGGGCTCTCTTTTCTATTGCTGGAGCTGTTAGAGTGCTGGGAAGCTTACAGATCAATCTGGTTCATGAAATCTGAGAGATTCATATAATTTTTCTTGGCTAGATATCATGGGCAGTAAGGCATGAATATCTCCAGCCAAGCTTTGTAAAAGTAAGTCTAAACTAGTCTTATTTAAGAAAGCAAGACTCCGAGGTTTAACCCCTCCTCAACACCGTAACAACCCTTGAAATATGGAAGAAGATGAGGCACTATTATAAGAAATGACAGCAGAAATTGGTTCCCTGGTGAAACCTTCACCTTTAAACTTGGAAGAGCCCTCTTATCTTCTCCTTGTGTGATATTGGCATCTTATGACACTTCATTCACAAGTACCAAAGGATACAGGCTTTATTAGACATCTTGATTCCAGTAGGAAAACTTGTTTCTGCTCTCTTATTAATATGGCAGGTTCATAACAAAATTACCTAATCCTCTTATTCATCCAGGGGAAAGGAGGAAATCAAATAATTTTAAGGCAAAATGTATTAGAGGTTATCACAAGGTGGCTCTGTTTAATAGATAATGAAATTGATGAGGACTGAAGCATCTGGGAAAACAGAAGGAAGAAATAGTAACCAGAACAACTTGATCCTATACTCCCACTGCTTATTATCCTTAATTCCAATTGGTTTCTACTTTGACCACCTGGATCATGCCATTCCCTTTATATGAAATTCAGGAAGAAGAATGTCTTGGAAAAGGAATGATTAATTGTATTTTTTTTTTTTTTTTGAGACAGAGTCTCACCCTGTCGCCCAGGCTGGAAAGCAGTGGTGCGATCTTGGCTCACTGCAACCTCTGCCTCCCAGGTTCAAGCGATTGTCCTGCCCCAACCTCCCAAGTAGCTGGGATTACAGGCATGCGCCACCACGCCCAACTAATTTTTGTATTTTTAGTAGAGACGGGGTTTCACTATGTTGGTCAGGCTGGTCTCGAACTCTTGACCTCGTGATCCACCCATCTTGGCCTCCCAAAGTGCTGGGATTACAGGCATGAGCCACCTTGCCCAGCCGGTTAGTTTTTTACAGGTTGAACTGAAGTGCCTCTATGTCAGTGGTTTCAATGTGTGGTCCTCAACCAGAATCGTCATCATCTGGGAATGTTGTAGAAATTCAAATTCTTAGGCCCCACCTTAGATCTACTGAATCATAAACTATGGAAGTGGGGTCAGCGATCAGGGTTTTAACATGGCTTTCAGGTGATTTTGGTGAATGCTGAAAACTGAGAATCTCTGCTCTAGATCATTTAATTGGAGATGAACATTAGGTAGTGGGTGAATTCCCTACCTGTCATGGCTAGGAATTCAGTTTTTCAGGTTTCCTTCCAGGTTTCCTGGAGTTCCTTTGGCCAAGAGGCAGTCCATTCAGTTTGTGGGGGGATTTAAGATTTTATTTTTGGTTTACACATCTTAGACCAGCCATCAGACAAGTCAATTGCCTGATGACAGCAGCTACCTGAATGACTCCAGGTGAGGCCAGCATAACTGCTAAGCCAAACCAAAACTGTGACCCACAGAAATGTGTGCAAATAAGTAATTGTTTCAGTCACCAGATTTTTGAGGTGTTTTGTTAATAGCAATAGATATCTGATATAGGCCCACTTCTGTGGGGGCAGGTAGGGCTCAAGAAAGTGTACCTCAGTAAGACCTGTGGACTTTTGTTTCTTGGATACTCTTCCAGTAGGAGACCAACATGTGACTCTCAAAATAACCAACATACATTCTCAAGGGTTCCTCAAAATTCCTCAAGGTTTCTTCCTACTCAGCCTCCTAAGCTTTTCCAAATACAGATGAACATAATTCAATCATGACTCTTCTATATCCACTTTTCCTTACAAAGGAAAGACTCACTAAATTACAAAATATGCCCAGTAGATTCTGGTATTAATTACTGTACTTTATTAAAATAAAGAGAGTGAAAATAAATATTGCCTATGGGCAGACTTGAAATTCTGATAAATCCTTCCAACACAAAATACCTAAACTTTTTCAATTAAATATAATAAAAAGCCTTTCAAATGCACACTTGAGATTAAAATAAGGTAAAAGAAAATTGCATAGGCCAAAAATTAAAAAGAAAATAGAAAACAGAGAAGGAGATGGGAACTATGTGGGAGCAACTTTTTAGGTCCATGCAGGGTGGAGAGTGGCAGCTGAGAAGCTTGCAAAGAGGTAGGATCCTCCAAATGCCACCTGCTTGGTCAAAAAGAAAACTAGAAAAAAAGAAATCTTCCCACATCAAAGGGAGACAACCCACATCAAAGGGAAACTTGTTAATTTTGACTTATGCTCTAGGTAGCAAAAACAAGTAATTGTTGTTTTAAGCCACTAAGTTTTAGGATGCGTTTGGGTTTCAAATTTATACTTCTTGCACGATCCAGGAAACCCCAAGTTGATAAATTAGCTAAAGTATTTCTGGAATGGCATATTATTACACTAAAATTATAATAAATTATAATTGTATATAATTATGACTATGAAACCATCATGCAAATATACAAATAAATATAGTTTTCTTATCCCAGGAGATTTGAAATATAGAATTTAGATTTAATTTTTTTTGAATATGTCATTCAATTTGCTGTGTGATCCCAGGTGATAATTCATTCCTCTCTGGGTCTCCACTTTTTCACCAGGTAAAGGAGGGGTCATTTTTAGTCCTAGCTTCCCATTGTTCTATGATTTTATAAAATTATTAGTTCATGAATATATGATATAACACTGCAAGGTCTAGGGAATAGAAAATTAAGATTTTATCTTGGTCACTCTTTCTGATTAGCAAAGCCATTAGTGCTGGCTCATTTTCACCACTCTGAGGCTCTGACAACCTGAAATAGTTGGTGAGAAAGGGCTTTTCTCTTTCTTGTCTGATGTCTTTTGGTGTCTGGGCCACACAGGTCTGCCTGATACAGTTTCCCTGCAAATGGCTGTGCAGAAAACTCTCCTAGGCTTTGGAAACAGGAATACCTGAGCTGACTTAGGAAGCTACATCTCGTATACTTTTCTCCATGTGAACTCCATATGGACACCAGCTGGACACAGATTTAAGTTGACAGGCTGCCTTCTCTGGATGTGGAAGTTAGAGGGCAAGAATGGTGTTATAGGAAGAAATTTGTCCTTTTTTTTAAAAAAAAAAAGTAATAACAGAAATTCATTTTCCCACAGTTCTGGAGTCAAGGAATGACTGTTCTTAATGAAGGGATTGACCAGGTACCACAGAGTCATTTCTAACCTTCAAGTGATGCACAACATTGTGGGCAGTATCTAATATCTCTTAATTTTTGGTGAGATCCCTCACTCCTAGGTGTAAATAGGGCTTGATCCTTGTCTCTAGGACAGAATAAGTGATCCAGGCCCAAGTTAATCAGCACATCATGTTGCCCTGGACTCAATGATTGGTAGAGGTGTCAAGCCTATGATCTAGGCCTAAACCATTGGGGGCATCCCATCTTCCTGACCACAGCAATTGGCTCAAGGGTGGAACTAATCAGAAGCTTAATCTCCTTGTAGTACATAGCATGTTATAATATATGAATTATGAGAATGCTAGGGCAGAGACAAGTGTTCTGCCTCCATTGAATTGAAAAGGCATGAGTAGAACTGCTGTGGCTACTTTGCACCAGTGGGGAAGAACCATTCTGAGATCTGTGCCAACAGAGAGCTGACCTGAAAGGGAGAAACAAGGTCATAAAGATATCCTTTGAGCTCCTATCCAGCCACACATGCATCTTTAATTAATGAGATAATAAATCCCCCTTTTGTTCATGTTTTACAGTTGGTTTGGATTGTTCTGCCCCCTTGCAACCTAGACAGTCCTGAATAGCAGAGGAAGCTTCCTCTTGTGACTCCACTCCCCAGTTTCCACCCCTGACCTCATCCATGGTGCCCTGGTTTCTTAATTGCTAAAAGTGGCTCTGAGGAACCCTTGAGAATGTGTGGTGATTATTTTGAGAGTCACATGTAAATTGGTCTCCTACTGGAAGATATCCAAGAAACAAATTTATGAATTTATTTGCTACAGAGGAGTGTCTGTATCTGGTAAACTGTCAGAGAAGTGATGTAGCATGTCACAAAACTCAGTAAATTAGGTATTACTACAATTTACAACTGCTGGTCAAGGGTTCTTTTCATTACAGAACTTAATTTCTTGATGATGCAGGTTGAATAGAGACTAGGGGCAGAAGATAACCTAGTGCCCCAAATGCCATCAAGGCAACTGTTGTAGAAAGGAAGGAAAGCGGGAAACCATTATGGAAGATGGACTACAATCCACAAATGTGATTTCATTTAATAACCCTGATCACTTTGCCTTTATCTGTACTTTGCAAATGAAGCTCTGAGGAGGTAACTACCTTCTTCAAAGTAATAGAGACTATATTAATGCAGATATACTGGAGTCTTAAGCTCCTTGCTTTCTCACAGTGCCACCACCTATAAGTGAGATAAAGGGGAATGAGATTAGGCTGATGGTGGTTCTGAGACAGGTGATGGGAGGTGAAACATAAAAGCTGTTTCAAAGAAATGAAAGCATCTTCCCAAATTCTGAAGTCAATAGTGTAATCTTCCATGTTCATACAACATGGTTTGAGTGCCAATACTTCAGGCTTTAGAATGAAAAATGTCTGGATTTCAATCTTTGCCACTCCTTATAACAGTGACACTCTGGGGGATATTATCTAACTCTCTAAGTCTCAGTTTCCCTGTCTATCAATTTTCCAAATCTAAGTATCACAAGGATTTGAGATAATGTTTAGAAATCCCCCCAAACTGTGGACATCACACAGTAGGTATTTACCATGTAAAATTATATATATTTAATATATAGTTATGTGATTAATGCTTAAATATGATCCTTTTGAGTATATTTCAAAAGTTTCTCTATATTACTGCAAACTGCCTCAGATCATCAGCTCCATCTTGGTGGAGCTACTTATCTTTGTGCAATCAGAGAAAGTACCTTTAAAATGTTGACATGGGAAAGGTCAGAAAGAGCAAGTGAGGAATTTCAAGGATAATCCTATCCTTCCCTTCTGCCAGACTCTGTTTTCAGCTGGTTCAGAGTAATTTATACCTCTAGTTTAGTTAAAGTATGTGGCATCATTTAGATACTGCAAATGTAACACCAATTTTACTGCAACCTAATTGTAGAGTGACAAGGGATACATTTAGAAGATACATATAGTATGAAATGGCCAAGTGTGCTTCACTTCTGTAAGAACCACGCATAGAGAAACATTATGCTGAAAGAGAGGAATAGCTGAAGTTGTAACTCATGCAGATTCATATATAAATAATAGGACTTCTAGGATATCTGCAGCTTAATCAGTTGCCCATTAACATATTGTAGGATAAATGTATATCTGTGATTATTGTGTGCTGCTAAAACCACCTTTGATTTCACTTAAAATCTTGGTTAAATGAGCTGTGATCTATCTTTGGAGACTTTGTCAACCTTTTAAATTGAGGATATATATATAAGACATACTGATTCAGGTAAATAAATAAAAGAGCAATATTCCAAAACTGTTAATGGAGCTTGAAGAAACCCAGAAGATAACCACAGCTTAAAATCAAGGGACAATGACTACATTAAATATGAAATAAGGAAGCAAAAGGTCTCAATGAAACACAAGCTCCTATGCTTTAAAAGGTTTATTTAAAAATAGTCCCAAATTCCAAACCTGAAACACAGAAAATCATGATTGTCAACCAACATTTATTGAGTACTATAGTAGGCATGTTGAACTTTGAATAATTGAATTGCACATTAAAAAAATAATCTGTCTTTTATGACAGAAATCAGGCAGTTTCTGGCATAATTTGACAGCAATGTACTGCCTTCTGCCTTTTCCTGTCAGCACAGTATGAGGCAATGCAATTAAAATTTAGCAGTGATTTGTTTTGACTGGTGAGATTTTCTCTTTTATGTAAAATACATATTTATTCACACATTAAGTTTTGTTATTAAATAAATATATGCTTTTAAGTAATTTCATTTTATTAGTGCCAATGGAGATACCCTTTGAAGATAGGACCTTGACTTTGAGTACAATAATGCCTAACATTCTCCCTGCTTTTCTTTCTTGCTCTCAGAAGCTACTCTAATGTTTCCCCTCACTAAAGGCAGCAACCAAGCTGTCCCAGACTAACGATGCCCCCTCATGGCAGCAGCCTGGTCCTGTGGGTTTGCTTTCCACCTCTTCTTGTCTGTCCTGTAAGGCCAGCTGTAGATCACTGCTGACAGTTTAGCTCCAGGCATTGTCTTTCCTTCACATACTGACATATTTTCTATAATAATGAACTATACTCCTGCATCCCAGCTCCACACATAAGAACATATGTGTATTTATTCATTTCTTTTCAAATTATTTCACAGGAATAGAAATATTAAGACTTTCTTATCTAGTCCTTCTTCCTTTTCACAGTTGGTTCAAAATAACCCCCAAAAGAGAAACTTCCATCTAAGAAAAGAAAGTATAATTAGATACAAAAGTAAAATTTTACAGAAATAGGAATATTTAAGCTTTCAGAATTAGCCTACATTTACCTTTAGCATCTTCACCACCTATCTTAATATCCTCGTATAAAGTGTTCTTTCCTCTATGTCAGAATTCAAGACATAAATTCTTAATTATCTTTCAGTATGTTTTTGACAACAAATACATAGCTCTATACATGGTTAGAATTGCAAAAATTTGCTGTGTACTATTTTATTGTGTGTTTTCTCATAGGGTAAATAATGAGCTGGAGGAAAAAAAATAACAGATCATAATATTTTTACCCTTATGGGGAAGCAGTAATTTATTAATTACTGCAACTTAGTTATCATTTAAACACCAAGAACCTAACATCTTAAGGGAGAGAGCTATTCATTGTGGTCCATAGGAAGGCTTTCTTTTAAATATCCAGAGTATAAAGCAACCATGTATTTTTTCATCTTCAGGCAAAACTTTCTACTCTGTGCCTCACTACCCTCAGTCTATTCTCTTAAAAATATAATTTGAATTGATAATACATTTACCTTATACATATATATGTTTATATGTGTGTGTATACGCAACACAACACACACACACACACACACACACACAAATATCTCCCTTTCGTTATCTCCCATACACTCAGGTCTTTATCATCACCCCAAACATGTAACTATTCTTAGTTTTTTTTTGTATTTTCTTCTAGAATTTATTTTGTAAATAATTAAACAAAATAATATATATTCTCACTTCTCTTTTTAAAAATAAGAAGTTGCATGTCATATATGCTGTTCTACCCTAGATTTTTTCATTTAAAATAGATATACTAGAACTCTTCTTCAACTACCTCAGCATTTTATAGAATGCCTCCTCTTTATTTTTGAGAACTACACAGCATTCCATTGAATGCCATATTTATTTAACCAATTCCCTATTGATGGGCACTATGCAGTACACAATCTTTTGCTGTTACAAAACATGTTGCATAGAACAGCCTAGTACACTTTATGTTTGTGTACAAGCATATCCACAAGGTAGATCTCTAGATTTGGAATTGCTAGGTCAAAAGTTGTATGCATTTGTAAGTTTGATGAATATTGCCAAAATGCCTTCCATAGGATTCCAATGTATATTTTCACCAATTGTCTGTGAGACTGCCTATTTTCCCCATGGCTTTTCCAATAAAATGTGTTATTATCTTTTGGATTTTGCCAATCTAATAAATGAAACAGGATGTCTGAATGTAGTTTTCATTTGTATTATTATTATTGTGTGTAGGATCAAGCGTTTTTTACATAGTTAAGAGTCAATTGAATTCCTGTTTGGGAGACTGGTCTGTTCTTATCCTTTGCCTATTTCTATGTTGATAATCTTTTTCTTATTGATTTCCAGGAATACTTTATGTATTAGTAGTTTAGCTTCTTTATGTATCACAAATATTTTTGTAACATATTTTTCTGATTTTCCATTGTCTTTTGGCTTTATATATTTTTTATCTGAAGTCTCTTTTTATTTTTATGGAGTCAATTTTTCTCACTTTTAAAATGGCTTCTTGATTTTGAGTCTTAGGAAGTTATCCTCATTCCAAGATAATGAAGGAATTCCCCTGTATTTTATTCTAGTGCCCTTTTGTTTTTATTATTTAAATCATTTATATGTTTGGAATTTATCCTGATATACAGTGTGAGATATAGATAAACAAATTTTTCTCCAGGTGACCTCCCAGTTTGCCAAATATCTTCTGTTGAATAGCCCATCTTGCCAGGTGCAGTGGCTCATGCCTGTAATCCCAGCTGCTTGGGAGGCTGAGGTGGGAGGATCACTTGAGTCCAGGAGGCTGCAGTGAGCTATGATCATGCCACCATACTGCAGCCTGAGTGATGGAGTATGACCCTGTCTCTAAAATGAATGAATGAATGAATGAATGAATGAATAAATAAATAGTCCATCTTATTCCCATTGAGATGCCACCCTTGCCAGGTACTAAATTTTTCTGTATACTTCGGTCTATTTCTGTGGTCTCTCCTCAGTTCCATTGATTAGTCTGTTTATGCATGCACCATAGTTTTAATTATTGAGGCTTTATTATACGTTTTAATATTTGTTAAGGTCAGTATAACTTTTACTGTTTTCTTCTGATTTATCCTGGCTAATCTTTATTTCTTTTCCATATGAATTTTTGAATAAATTGACCTAGTTTAAAAATATTGGCCTATTTATTGACATGACATTAAATTTGTAAATCAAATTACAGAATTAATGTTTTTATGATGCCGAGCATTTCTGTCCAGTAATGATATATCTTTCAATTTGTTCAAGTCTTCCTTTGTATCCTTCGTAGTGTTTTCAAGTTTTCTCCCTATAGAACTCACATATTTCTATTTGTTTTTTGCTAGATACTTACATTTTTGTTGCTAATATAAATAGGTCATTGTCTTTCATTATATCTTATATCTGTTGTGGTTTTGTGGAAGCTATTTATTGCTATGTATTATTTGTACTCAACTATCTCAAAGAAGTTTCTTGTTGCCTGCAGTAGTATTTTAATTCAAGATGAGATTCTTGAATTTTTTTTTACCTCCCCAAATGTATAATCTGAAATAGTGATATGTTTATGTTTAACTTCTCCTTTCCAAATTTTATAATTATCTCCTATACAATTGCATTGACCTCCAATACAACATTAATTGTACAATTTTACCTCCACTATTATATTAAATAATGATGGTAACAGAAGGTATCCCTGACTTTGTTTCTGATTATAAAGGAAATAACTTTAGTGCAGTGGTTCTCAACCTCGGCTGCACATTGGAATAACTTGGGGGTTTTTAAAAATCCCAATGTTTAGGCCTCACCCTGGACTGACTAATCAAAACCTCTGGAAGCAGGACTCAAGTATTGGTATTGTTTAAAGCTTTCCAAGTGATTCCCTGTGCAGACAAGATTGCAAACTAACGCTTTAGTGTTTTTCTTTTGTAAGCATGCTGTTTTGCTGTTAAGATTAAATGGCTATATTGTATTGTGTTAAGAAATTAACAATGATATTAATATATTTCAATTTTATTGAGATTTTTAATAAAAATAGTTCCTAAATTTTGTCAAATATGAGGGTTATGTGATTTTTCTCCATAGAACTATTAATATAATGAATTATAATTCTATTACCTCTCTAGTAATATAATGACTTATATTAATGGATTCCTAATGTTGAACTATCCTTGCATTTCTTGAATAAAACTCAGTTGGTATTAAAGCATTCTTCTTTGAATATCCCATTTGATAAAATTACATGGAAGATGTTTACAACCTTGTGAGATTGCAATACTATTTATTTTATGTGTGGGAAATCATTCACAGGTTTGACATCAATGTTATACTCACATTATAAAAATAATTTGGAACTTTTCCTATCACTTAAAGTAACCTAGATTGGTATTGGTATGGACTTCTTTAAAATTTGACTGAATTCCCTTGAAGCTCCTGGGCTTGCTGTTTTCCTGTGTGTGTTGGAGTGGGGATGGGGTGTGGGAACATAGCTCTTTGACAACTTTTCTTTTTCTTCTCCAGAGGTCAGTTAGTTTAGATTTTCAATCTCTTATTGGGCACATTTTAGTAAATTATATTTTCCTAAAAGTTAGCTATTTAATCCAGCCAGGTTTTCTAATTGATTTTCAGAGTTGACTATTCTTTAAGATTCTTTTAATTTCCCTTATTTTCCTATTTGTTTTCATTTTATTATTTTAAACATTTCCACAATTGTACTTTTTATCTTAATTAGGTCAGCTAGCAATTTACTTAACTTAGAGATATTTTTATTTTATTTTATTTATTTTTTTTATTATTATACTTTAAGTTTTAGGGTACATGTGCACAATGTGCAGGTTAGTTACATATGTATACATGTGCCATGCTGGTGTGCTGCACCCATTAACTTGTCATTTAGCACTAGGTATATCTCCTAATGCTATCCCTCCCCCCTCCCCCCACCCCACAACAGTCCCCAGAGTGTGATGTTCCCCTTCCTGTGTCCATGTGTTCTCATTGTTCAATTCCCATCTATGAGTGAGAACGTGCGGTGTTTGGTTTTTTGTCCTTGCGATAGTTTACTGAGAATGATGATTTTCAATTTCATCCATGTCCCTACAAAGGACATGAACTCAACATTTTTTATGGCTGCATAGTATTCCATGGTGTATATGTGCCACATTTTCTTAATCCAGTCTATCATTGTTGGACATTTGGGTTGGTTCCAAGTCTTTGCTATTGTGAATAGTGCCACTATAAACATACGTGTGCATGTGTCTTTATAGCAGCATGATTTATAGTCCTTTGGGTATATACCCAGTAACGGGATGGCTGGGTCAAATGGTATTTCTAGTTCTACATCCCTGAGGAATCGCCACACTGACTTCCACAATGGTTGAACTAGTTTACAGTCCCACCAACAGTGTAAAAGTGTTCCTATTTCTCCACATCCTCTCCAGCACCTGTTCTTTCCTGACTTTTTAATGATTGCCATTCTAACTGGTGTGAGATGGTATCTCATTGTGGTTTTGATTTGCATTTCTCTGATGGCCAGTGATGGTGAGCATTTTTTCATGTGTCTTTTGGCTGCATAAATGTCTTCTTTTATGCGAAGTGTCTGTTCATATCCTTTGCCCACTTTTTGATGGGGTTGTTTGTTTTTTTCTTGTAAATTTGTTTGAGTTCATTGTAGATTCTGGATATTAGCCCTTTGTCAGATGAGTAGGTTGTGAAAATTTTCTCCCATTTTGTAGGTTGCCTGTTCACTCTGATGGTAGTTTCTTTTGCTGTGCAGAAGCTCTTTAGTTTAATTAGATCCCATTTGTCAATTTTGGCTTTGGTTGCCATTGCTTTTGGTGTTTTAGACATGAAGTCCTTGCCCATGCCTATGTCCTGAATGGTAATGCCTAGGTTTTCTTCTAGGGTTTTTATGGTTTGAGGTCTAACGTTTAAGTCTTTAATCCATCTTGAATTAATTTTTGTATAAGGTGTAAGGAAGGGATCCAGTTTCAGCTTTCTGTATATGGCTAGCCAGTTTTCCCAGCACCATTTATTAAATAGGGAATCCTTTCCCCATTGCTTGTTTTTCTCAGGTTTGTCAAAGATCATACAGTTGTAGATATGCAGCATTATTTCTGAGGGCTCTGTTGTGTTCCACTGATCTAAAACCCTTCATGCTAAAAACTCTCAATAAATTAGGTATTGATGGGACGTATCTCAAAATAATAAGAGCTATCTATGACAAACCCACAGCCAATATCATACTGAATGGGCAAAAACTGGAAGCATTCCCTTTGAAAACTGGCACAAGACAGGGATGCCCTCTCTCACCACTCCTATTCAACATAGTGTTGGAAGTTCTGGCCAGGGCAATTAGGCAGGAGAAGGAAATAAAGGGTATTCAATTAGGAAAAGAGGAAGTCAAATTGTCCCTGTTTGCAGATGACATGATTGTATATCTAGAAAACCCCATTGTCTCAGCCTAAAATCTCCTTAAGCTGATAAGCAACTTCAGCAAAGTCTCAGGATACAAAATCGATGTGCAAAAATCACAAGCACTCTTATACACCAATAACAGACAAACAGAGAGCCAAATCATGAGTGAACTCCCATTCACAATTGCTTCAAAGAGAACAAAATACTTAGGAATCCAGCTTACAAGGGACGTGAAGGACTTCTTCAAGGAGAACTACAAACCACTGCTCAATGAAATAAAAGAGGATACAAAGAAATGGAAGAACATTCCATGCTCATGGGTAGGAAGAATCAATATCGTGAAAATGGCCATACTGCCCAAGGTAATTTACAGATTCAATGCCATCCCCATCAAGCTACCAATGACTTTCTTCACAGAATTGGAAAAAACTACTTTAAAGTTCATATGGAACCAAAAAAGAGCCCACATCACCAAGTCAATCCTAAGCCAAAAGAACAAAGCTGGAGGCATCACACTACCTGACTTCAAACTATACTACAAGGCTACAGTAACCAAAACAGCATGGTACTCGTACCAAAACAGAGATATTTTAAAGTCAGTTTTTGTATTCATTAGTATTCCTTTTTTTTTGTTTTCAAACTCATTAATTTCTTCATTTAACTGCTTACTTCTCTCTTTTTGGTTTATTTTGTTATTACCTTTTTTTTCTAACAGTTTGAGTTAGACTCTAAATCCATTTATTTTTCATCTTTTTAATTAATGTATTAAAGGCTATCAATTTTCCTCTGGGCCCAATTTACCTGTTTATCATAGGTTCTCAAATACAGTGTTTTTATCATCATTGTTTTACAAAAATCCTCTGGTTTGGGTTTGTACTTCTTTTTTAACCCAAGAGTTGATTAACGCAGAGTTTAAAAATTTTTAGATAGAAATGTCTTTTTGTTTTCCACTTTTGTCGTTGAATTTCTAGTTTATTACATAGTGGTCAGAAGATTTTTCTATACTTTTCCTACTTTCTGGAGATTCTTAAAGTTTCCTTTTGGCTTAATGCATATTCATATATATGAGTATGTTCCATGGACACTTGAAAATAAGTGTAGTATACTTTCAAGGTGCAGCGTTCAATACAGATTAACTATATCTATCTTGTTAATTAAGTCTTTGATTTTTTCTTTTCTATCTCCATAATATGTCATGAACTCAGATAGCTGAATCAAAATCTACAACTACTAGTATATTTCTGAATATTTATGACTACTACTGCCTATATATTAAATAAATGTTTAATTTGCATTGTGAATTGCATTCTTTGGCATTATAAAATGCCTTTTTTTGGACATGTTTAGTGCTTTGTAGTCTGAATTCTGTCTTGCTTGATATTAACATCAAGTCTAATGTTCTTTTTTTGTTTACATTTGCCTAGTACACATTTACCCATTCTTTTGTTTTCAACCTGCTGGAATTGCTTTGTTTTAGGAGTGCTTCCTATATAAAGCTTGGAGTTAGTTTTTGTTTTGTGATCCAATCTAAAGATGTTTTTAAAAATAAATGACTAAAGTTTATTTACATTAATTGGTAAGATAGATGTTTTTAGTGTTACTTTTATCATTTTATTATATTATTTATATAGACAGTTTAAATTGTTCACTGGATCTTTTATTTGCTTTGCTCTCTCTCCTTATACACATGTGAGTGGGTGTGTGTGTCTCATGCTTTGAGTTCTTCTAGTATATAAAAAGTTGTAGTTTTGTTCTAATTATTATCTTCATAATTATGACTATTTATAATATCCTTAGTTCCAAAATTAAGTGCTTCTCAGCCTGGTTCACATCATGGCATATCTAAAAGATGGTATTTGCATGACACATTTTGGTTAATGGATGAGACATCTGAAGGTGGCTGGCCTGGGTGAGGGTGGGGTTTCTTCTGCGACCTCAAACTCTCCAGTGGCACTAGGGCCTAAGGATATCACTGTCTCAGCACACCTAGGCATTTCAGTGCAACTATTGATAAACTCCACCATTTCTTGATATTGGAAAGATAAAATTTGCTTTTTCCTCTTCCTTCCCCTCTGTGTTGTATTTAGTATCTTAGTGTTTACCTTTGTATTACCACATATGCTTATGTTTCTGTTACTGATCTACCAGCTCTAAACAATATCCTTTGACTTCCAGTCATTACAGATTCAGCAATCAAGATATTTATTACTATTATTTATTATAATACCTCCCACTTCCCCTTCACTGTTCCTTCCCATTTTTCAGGTTTTTTTTTTGGTATCTTTTCTACTTTATTGGGACACAGGTGTCCCATAAAATTAGGGTCCCAATTAGGTATTAGGGTCCCAATTTAGTGACTCTAATTCCCATATTTGTTTTAGTGTTTTCTTGGTTTTGTTATTTGTAAGTTGAATTTGTTTTGCTCGTCTGCTTCTATCATTTTATCTGTAATTTAAAAAACTCTTCCTTTATTTTGAAGTAATGTGGTTTCTTATTCCTTTCTTCTATATCCCACAAGCCCTTTCTACTTCAAAGTGTCATCCACTGATAAACGCCAGCTGGGAGCTTGTTAGAAATGTAGACTCTCAGGCCCTATCCCAGACCTACTGAATTTGAATCTGTGTTTTAACAAAACCCCCAGCTGAGTCACATACATTTTAGGTACGAGAAACATTGTTTTACAGTGTTTTTTGAAGACTCTAACCCTTGGGATCCACGATGGTTTTATTTTTGACTTCTACTTTTTTTTGGGGGAGAGTGGGGTTGTACCAGCTTACCTTTCCTATCCTCTTGTTGTCTGACCATCTTCTCCCTGATTCTTACATTTCTTTCTGTAGCATTCCTTCCTTCATAAAGGCTATTTATAGTTCATGGTGAAAGTCCTGATTACAGCAGTGGATTAAAGATAGCTGCAAATTCTGTGACTCTCCTCTCAATGAGGTGGGATCTATGTCCTCTTGTCTTGAATCTGGGTGACATCTGTGACCGCTTTGCTAAACAGAGTATAGCAGAGAAACTAGCTATGCTGGCTTCAGTACCCAGGCCTTAAGAAACTGTGAGCTTCTATTGTCTTTCTCTTGGAACGTTGAACTCCCATGTAAGAAGGCTGACTATCCTGAGACCACCATGCTGGAGAGATTATGTGAGGAGGCTTTGAGACTATAGAAAGTGAAAAAGCAGCTCAGATGAGCCCAGGCTTCCAGACATTACTGACAAGGTGCCAGGCATGTGAGTGAAGCCTACTTAGATCTCCAGACCAACCAAACCACCAGCTGAAAACTACCAAGTGACCCCAGTTGAAAAGATGTGCAGTGAAAGAATCGCCCAGCTGAGTCCTGTCTGAATTCCTGACCCATAAAAATATAAGATATAAGTAGTTGTTGTTTTAACCCATCAAGCTTTAGGTAATTTGTTAGACAGCAATAGATAATTGAAATATTTACAAATTTCCTCTGTTTTGGGGAACATTTTTTATTATGAGGATTCTTTGTATGTTGCTAAGTTTTGATTCTCTTTTCTGCATTTTTTCCTCCAATATCTGTCTTTTAATGCTGTATCAATTCCCTTTTTTGTTGCTCACCATTGAAATAGTTGAATTTTTCTGGGCCAGCTATCTTTATTATTATTATTTAAGTTCTGGGATACATGTGCAAAACGTGCAGGTTTGTTACATAGGTATCCATGTGCCATGGTGATTTGCTGCACCCATCAACCCATCATCTACTTTAGGTATTTCTCCTAATGCTATCCTTCCCGTAGCCCCCCACCCCTCAACAGGCCTCCCTGTGTGATGCTCCCCTCCCTGTGTCCATGTGTTCTCATTGTTCAACTCCCACTTATGAGTGAGAACATGCGGTGTTTGGTTTTCTATTCCTGTGTTAGTTTACTGAGAATGATGGTTTCCAGCTTCATCCATGTCCCTGCAAAGGACATGAACTCATTCTTTCTTACTGCTGCATAGTATTCCATGGCATATATGTACCACATTTTTTTAATCCAGTCTATCATTGATGGGCATTTGGGTTGGTTCCAAGTCTTTGCTATTGTGAATAGTGCTGCAATAAAGATACATGTGCATGTGTCTTTATAGTGGAATGATTTATAATCCTTTGTGTATATACCCACTAATGGGATTGCAGGGTCAAATGGTATTTCTGGTTCTAGATAGATGAGGAATTGCCACACTGTCTTCCACAATGATTGAACTAATTTACACTCCCAACAGTGTAAAAGCTTTCCTATTTCTCCACATCCTCTCCAGCATCTGTTGTTTCCTGACTTTTTAATGATCACCATTCTAACTGGTGTGAGATAGCTCATTGTGGTTTTGATTTGCATTTCTCTAATGACCAGTGATGATGAACTTTTTTTCATATGTTTTTTGGCCGCATAAATGTCTTCTTTTGAGAAGTGTCTGTTCGTATTCTTTGCCCACTTTTTGATGGGTTTTTTTTTCTTGTAAATTTGTTTAAGTTCCTTGTAGATTCTGGATATTAGCCCTTTGTCGGGTGGATAGATTGCAAAATTTTTCTCCCATTTTGTAGGATGCTTGTTCACTCTGAGGATAGTTTCTTTTGTGGTGAAGAAGCTCTTTAGTTTAATTACATCCCATTTATCAACTTTGGCTTTTGTTGCAATTGCTTTTGATGTTTCAGTCATGAAGTTCTTGCCCATGCCTATGTCCTGAAAGGTATTGCCTAGGTTTTCTTCTAGGGTTTTTATGGTTTTAGGTCTTACGTTTAAGTCTTTAACCCATCTTGAGTTAATTTTTGTATAAGGTGTAAGGAAGAGATCTGGTTTCAGTTTTCTGCATATGGCTAGCCAGTTTTCCCAGCACCATTTATTAAATAGGGAATCCTTTCCCCATTGCTTGTTTTCATCAGGTTTGTCAAAGATCAGATGGTTGGAGATGTGTGGCATTATTTCTGAGGCCTCTGTTCTGCTCCATTGGTCTATGTATCTGTTTTGGTACCAGTACTATGCTATTTTGGTTACTGTAGCCTTGTAGTATAGTTTGAAGTCATGCCTCTAGCTTTGTTCTTTTTACTTAGGATTTTTCTTGGCTATACAGGCTCTTTTTTGGTTCCACATGAAATTTAAAGTAGATTTTTCTAATTCTGTGAAGAAAGTCAGTGGTAGCTTGATGGGGATAGCATTGGATCTATAAATTACTTTGGGCAATATGGACATTTTCACGATATTGATTCTTCCTATCTATGAGCACAGAATGTTTTTCCACTTGTTTGTGTCCTCTCTTATTTCCTTGAGCAGTGGTTTGTAGTTCTTGAAGAGGTCCTTCACGTCCCTTGTAAGTTGTTTTCCTAGGTATTTTATTCTCTTTTTAGCAATTGCAAATGAAAGTTCACTCAGGATTTGGCTCTCTGTTTGTCTATTATTGGTGTATAGGAATGCTTGTGATTTTTGCACATTGATTTTGTATCCTGAGACTTTGCTAAATTTGAGTATCAGCTTAAGGAGATTTTGGACTCAGATGATGGGGTTTTCTAAATATACAATCATGTCATCTGCAAACAGAGACAACTTGACTTCCTCTCTTCCTATTTGCGTACCCTTTATTTCTTTCTCTTGCCTTATTGCCCTGGCCAGAACTTCCAATATTATGTTTAAAAGGAGTAGTGAGAATGGGCATCCTTGTCTTGTGCCGATTTTCAAAGCAATGCTTGCAGCTTTTGCCCATTCAGTATGATATTGGCTGTTGGTTTGTCAAAATACCGTTCATTATTTTTAGATACATTGCTTCAATACCTAGTTTATTGAGAGTTTTTAGCATGAAGCATTGTTGAATTTTGTCGAAGGCCTTTTCTGCATCTATTGAGATAATCATGTGGTTTTCGTCATTGGTTCTGTTTATGTGATGGATTACATTTATTGATTTGTGTATGCTGAACCACCCTTGCATCCCAGGGATGAAGCCAACTTGATTGTGGTGGATAAGCTTTTTGATGTGCTGCTGGATTTGGTTTGCCAGTATTTTATTGAGGATTTTCACATCGATGTTCATCAGGATGTGAAATTTTGTTTTTTTTTGTTGTGTCTGCCAGTTTTGGTATCAGGATGATGTTGGCCTCATAAAATGAGTTAGGGAGGAGTCCCTCTTTTTCTGTTATTTGGAACAGAAATATTTCTGTTATTTGGAACAGTTTCAGAAGGAATGGTAGCAGCTCCTCTTTGTACCTCTGGTAGAATTTGGCTGTGAATCTGTCTGGTCCTGGGCTTTTTTTGGTTGGTAGGCTATTAATTACTGCCTCAATTTCAGAACTTGTTATTGGTCTATTCAGGGATTTGACCTCTTCCTGGTTTATTCTTGGTAGGGTGTGGGTGTCCAGGAATTTATCCATTTCTTCTAGATTTTCTAGTTTATTTTTGTAGATGTGTTTATAGTATTCTCTGATGGTAGTTTGTATTTCTGTGGGATTGGTGGTGATCTCCCCTTTATCATTTTTTTATTGAGTCTTTTTGATTCTTCCCTCTTTTCTTCTTTATTAGTCTTGCTAGTGGTCTATCTATTTTGCTAATCTTTTTGAAAAACCAGCTCATGGATTCATTGATTTTTTGAAGGGTTTTTCATGTCTCTATCTCCTTCAGTTCTGCTCTGATCTTAGTTATTTCTTGTCTTCTGCTAGCTTTTGAATTTGTTTGCTCTTGCTTTTCTAGTTCTTTTAATTGTGATGTTAGGGTGTTGATTTTAGATCTTTCCTGCTTTCTCCTGTGGGCATTTAGTGCTATAAATTTCCCTCGAAACGCTGCTTTAGCTGGGTCCCAGAGATTCTGGTATGTTGTATCTTTGTTCTCGTTGGTTTAAAAGAACTTATTTATTTCTGCCTTAATTTCGTTATTTACCTAGTAGTCATTTGGGAGCAGATTGTTCAGTTTCCATATAGTTGTGCGATTTTGAGTGAGTTTCTTTATCCTGAGTTGTAATTTGATTGCACTGTGGTCTGAGAGAATATTTGTTATGATTTCCATTCTTTTGCATTTGCTGAGTAGTGTTTTACTTCCAATTATGTGGTCAATTTTAGAATAAGTGCGATGTGGTGCTGAGAAGAATGTATATTCTATTGATTTGGGGTGGAGAGCTCTGTAGATGTCTGTTAGGCCTGCTTGTTGCAGAGCTGAGTTCAGGTCCTGGATATCCTTGTTAACCTTCTATCTCATTGATCTGTCTAATATTGACAGTGGGGTGTTAAAGTCTCCCACTGTGTGGAAAATTCTAAGTTGAATCTTCTTTTCTTTTAAGAATGTTGAATATTGGCCCCACTCTCTTCTGGCTTGTATGGTTTCTGCAGAGAGATCCACTGTTAGTGTGATGGGCTTCCCTTTGTGGGTAACCCGACCTTTCTGTCTGGCTGCCCTTAAAATTTTTTTCCTCATTTCAACCTTGGTGAATCTGACAATTATGTGTCTTGGGGTTGCTCTTCTCGGGGAGCATCTTTGTGGTGTTCTCTGTATTTCCTGAATTTGAATGTTGGCCTGTCTTGCTAGGTTGGCATACTTCTCCTGGATAATATCCTGAAGAGTGTTTTCCAACTTGGTTCCATTCTCCCCATCACTTTCAGGTACAACAATCAATCATATGTAGGTTTGGTTTTTTCACATAATCCCATATTTCTTGGAGGCTTTGTTCATTAATTTTCATTTTTTTTCTCTAATCTTGTCTTCATGCTTTATTTCATTAAGTTGATCTTCAATCTGTGATATCCTTTCTTCCACTTGATTGATTTGACTACTGATACCTCTGTATGCTTTCCCGTGCTGTGTTTTTCAGCTTTACCAGGTCAATTATGTTCTTCTCTAAACTAGTTATTCTAGTTAGCAATTCCTCTAACCTTTTTTCAAGGTTCTTAGCTTTCTTGCATTGGGTTAGAACATGCTCCTTTAGCTCGGAGGAGTTTGTTATTACCCACCTTCTGAAGCCTAGTTCTGTTAGTTTGTGAAACTCATTCTCCATCCAGTTTTGTTCCCTTGCTGGCGAGGAATTGTGATCCTTTGGAGGAGAGGAGGCATTCTGGTTTTTGGAATTTTCTGCTTTTTTGCACCTTTTTTTCCCTCATGTTCATGGATTTATCTACCTTTGGTCTTTGATGTTGGTGACCTTCATATGCGGTTTATGTGTGGATGGATGTCCTTTTTGTTGATGTTGATGCTATTCTTTTCTGTTTGTTAGTTTTCCTTCTAACAGTCAGGCCCCCTGCTTCAGTTCTGCTGGAGTTTGCTGGAGGTCCACTCCACAGCCTGTTTGCCTGGGTATCACCAGCGGAGGCTGCAGAACAACAAAGATTGCTGCCTGCTCCTTTGTCTGGAAGCTTTGTTTCAGAGGGGCACCTGCCAGATGCCAGCCAGAGCTCTCCTGTATGAAGTGTCTGTCGATCTCTGCTGGGAGATATCTCCCAGAGGAGGCATGGGGGTCAGGGACCCACTTAAGGAGGCAGTCTGTACCTTAGCAGAGCTCAAGCACTGTGCTGGGAGATCCGCTGCTCTCTTCAGAGCTGGCAGGCAGGAACGTTTAAGTCTGTTGAAGCTGCATCCACAGCCGCCACTTCCCCTAGGTGCTCTGTCTCCGGGAGATTGGAGTTTTATCTATAAGCCCCTGACTGGGGCTGCTGCCTTTCTTTCAGAGATGCCCCACCGAGAGAGGAGGAATCTAGAGAGGCAGTGTGGCTACAGAGGTTTTGCTGAGTTGCAGTAGGCTCCACCCAGTTCGAACTTCCTATCGGCTTTGTTTACACTGTGAGGGGAAAACCACCTACTCAAGCCTCAGTAACTGCCGACACCCCTCCCCCCACCAAGCTCAAGCGTCCCAGGTCGACTTCAAACTGCTGTGCTGGCAGCGAGAATTTCAAGCCAACGGACCTTAGTTTGACGGGCTTCTTGGGGGTGGTATCCACTGAGCTAGACCACTTGGCTTCCTGGCTTCAGCCCCCTTTCCAGGAGAGTGAAGGGTTCTGTCTCGCTGGCATTCCAGGTACCACTGGGATGAAAAAAAACTCCTGCAGCTAGCTCGGTGTCTGCCCAAATGGCTGCTCATTTTTGTGCTTGAAACCCAGGGCCCTGGTGGTGTAGGCACCTGAGGGAATCTCCTAGTCTGTGGGTTGCAAAGATCGTGGGAAAAGCATAGTATCTGGGTGAGATAGCACCATCCCTCACAGCACAGTCTCTCACGACTTCTCTTGGCTAGGGGAGGGAGTTCCTTGACCCCTTGTGCTTCCCAGGTGAGGCAACGCCCACCCTGCTTCTGCTCGCCCTCTGTGGGCTGCACTCACTGTCTAATCAGTCCCAGTGAGATGAGTCAGGTACCTCAGTTGGAAATGCAGAAATCACTCACCTTCTGCCTTGATCTTGCTGGGAGCCGCAGACCAGAGATGTTCCTGTTGGGCCATCTTGTCCAGGAATCCATCTTAACTATTTCTAAGTGTACTATTCAGTAGTATTGAGATATAGCTTTTATTTTCTTTAGCTTGCATTTAAAGTTGTATGTTAATAACAATATATATTTGCTTTTTTTTGCTAGATACAGTATTGATTGATTTACATGGATTATATCATTTAGCACAATAATTTTATAAGTTAAGAACTATTATTTCATCCTGTTCAAGAAGTATAGATCTGAGTCTTGGCTAACTAACTAGTTTAATATTACACAGTTAGTAAATAGGAGGACTGAGGTTCAATGTGTTTAAATTGAACCCAGATGGACTGTGGAACTCATCTTCTTAAATATTCTTTTGAACCATATTTTTATTCTGTTTTTGAAAATAACAAATATGCTAATACAGATAAGATATTCACTATGTTTTCTAGTGTGTATGTAAAATGGGGACATTATAGATGCCTGATTTGTACTTTCAGTGATGGAGAAGTAATCAAAGCAATGAACAGAAACTTAATATGGAAAGGTATTTGCTTACTCCTGCTAAATGTGTTTTCATAAGGTGAGTGGGCATAGAACAGGATTTCTCAACCTTGTCTCTATTGATATTTTGGGCTGGATAATTTTGAGAGGCTGACCTGTGTGTGGTAGGATGTTTACTGGCATCCGTGGGTTTCCACTAGCTGGCAGGAGCACTGCTCCAGTTGAAACGAACGAACAAAAATACCTTCAGACGTTGCCAAATGTCCCTGGGAGGCAAAATCTCTTCTCATTGAGAACCACTAGCCTAGAATACAAAAATATTTCATTATTTATATCCGAACAAGTCATCTGAATGTTCTATGGTTTAAAAAATATATATTGTGTGCATAATATGTGCCAGGCACCATTTTTCTAAGTGCTTTGCAGGTACTAATTCATTTAACTCCCCAAATAACAACCTCATAATGTAGTTATTATGTAGTGGGTACATGGGAAAGAGAAATTAGAAACCCTACTAGTCTGATGGAATAAACCCTAGTTCCTATCCACAATGCTTATCCACCTCCTCTTTGGCTCTGCTAGTGATTTCCAATTGCAAGTCCTTGATAAATTTTCAGTAATATGTGACAATTTGAGAAAAGTAATTAAATTATGATTTTTTTCCTTAAAGAAAGAAACTTACGTACTAGATTTAATAGAAAAAGATATAATAGAATAAGTGAGTTGGCTGCTTATGGTTCTGCACCATTCATCCTTCCAGAACAATGGCTAGAGGAAGAAGTGTTCAGTTTCTGTTGGTTAGAGAACTTACAAATGTCAGTCCCCCAGCTATAGCTCTAAGATAATTTTTCCCCTAGATGCAATTTTATGGTTTATTAAAAAGGAAAGTTTCCAGTCAAAATGACTACTTCTCACCCATTGGCTTATCAAAGCTACTGTTGTAGACACATCTTCATTTGATAGGAAGAGAAGAGGAAGTCAAGTCTACTGGCTGGACTTCAGGCATCAGACTATGTTAAATTTTCTTCGTATTTTTAAAAAAATTTTTATTATGAAAATGTTAAGCAACTACAAATGTAAAGAGAATAGTTGAATAAACCTTTTGCCCACCATTTATTATTAATATATACTTTAATTTATACCTCCACTCAAACCAGATTTTTTTTGAGGCAAACATCATCATATTATTTCACTTGTAGTATTTTATTATGTATCTCTAAATCTAAAGGATAAAAAATAATTTTTGAACTTAACTATAAAGCCATGATCACATCTAAATTTTAGAAAAACTTGATATCATTAAATATCTAGACAATGATGACATTACTCTGATTGACATACAATTATGACATATCTATTATTTTTATAGTGCTTGAATTGAATCCAAATAAGAAGTATGTGTTGTTGTTGGCTGATTTGCTTTTAAAATATCTTTCTTATAGTAATTTTTTTGAGGTAAAATTTATATCTTGTTAAGTCTCTTTTGACTTAAAGGTTCTCCTTCCATTTTTTATCTGCAATTTTTATTCTTTTACTGAAGAAAGGAGCCATTTCTCTTGTAGAATTTCCAATACTCTAATATCTGATTTTCCTGTAGATTAGCATTTTGCTGTAGAGGCTTGTTTCAAGTTCCTTTCAAAAATGTTTATTTATTTATTTATTTTTCGCAAGAATACCTTGTGGGTGGTGGTGTGTTCTTCCCTGGGGAGGCACATAATTTCTGGTTAGTGGCACTGATGATCACTTACCAGATCCATCAATTCATTAGGAGTTACAAAACTGATAATTTAATTATGTTAAATTATGTTATTTCTTCTTCTTTTTTTAACTGGAATGTCTATCAAAATAAACTTCCTTTCCTCAACTGCTTTGTTACCCTGAGGTACAGGTTACATTCTACTACCATTTTCAAAACAATCAGTTGGTTTCCTAGCATCTTCTGAAAGTATTCATTGAGTTGTGTAGTTTTTTAAAAAGTTTTACTATGAATATGAATCATATAAGTACATATATTTGATATGTTTCACCTATTGTGTGCATGCTCAAATTGTCCCAGTTTGGGCCAGTGGGAGTCTCTTCAGTTTGACTCAGGAGACCCTTGAGAATGGTCCTGAAAAATTGTGATAGTTTCCTTGCTGTCTGGTTTGACAAACTGCTTTAAGGTCACATTTGTACATTTCCTGCCTGCATTAGTCTGTTTTCACACTACCATAAAGAACTACCTGAGACTGGGTAATTTATGAAGAAGAGAGGTTTAATTGACTCACAGTTCCGTAGGCTTAACAGGACATGTGACTGGAAGGCCTCAGAAAACTTACAATCATGGTGGAAGGTGAAGGGGAAGCAAGCCTTTTCCTCACATAACAGCAGGAGAAAGAGAGCAAAGGGGGAAGTGCCACACACTTTTAAACCATCAGATTTCCTGAGAACTCATTCACTATCATGAGAACAGCATGGAGGAAATCTGCCCCAATGATCTAATCACCTCCCACCAGGTCCCTCCCCCAACATTGGGAACTGCAATTCAACATGAGATTTGGGTGGGGAGACAGAGCCAAACCACATCACTGGCCCAGACCTGAAATTAACTATCTCCTTAAGGATCCTTGGTTCCTTTTGGTGGAAAATGACTTTTAGATAACATAGTTTAGGTATTAGTGGTGTTTATTGCTACTGAGTTACTATTATTTGGGGGCTTTTCAATGTCGTAAGTTAGAAAATATGTGCTACTTTAAAAGATAAAATACATCATAAGTTCATATTAGTATTTCCTATTCAAATGCAGAACTTTCAGCCCTACAGATTTTTTACTTTAGTGATCCTACATTTGTATTTCCTTTCAACAATACTGAAAATCCTGGTTCTCAGCAATGCTGGTATAATCATTCATTTAAATTTTCCCATAATACTACACAACTGTCTCATATTAATAATATTAGCATTATTACCAATAATATGCTTCTTAAAACCTATGTAAGTTTTTTCCAGAGTTTTTTTTTTCTGTTCTTAGGCTTTATCCCTGAAGGGATATACAGTCAAATTACTGTATTTTCATATTATTTGGAATAACTTTTCTTAGTCATTATGCCAAATACTTCGAATTTCTTTATTTCCTTAATTTTATCTTATAGTTAGGTAAAATATTTGCATGGTTTCAACGCTAAATTTGCAAAACAAGTTATATTCAAGGGAGTTCAGCTTCAATCCTTGTCCACCACCCAATTCTCTCCCCTCTTATATAGCTAACCATTAAGAAAGTTATGATTGGCTGGCTGTGGTGGCTCACGCCTGTAATCCCAGCACTTTGGGAGGCCGAGGTGGGTGGATTACCTGAGGTCGAGAGTTTGAGACCAGCCTGACCAACATGGAGAAACACTGTCTCTACTAAAAATGCAAAATTAGCCAGGCATGGTGGTGCATGCCTGTAATCCCAGCTACTTGGGAGCCTGAGGCAGGAGAATTGAATTCTTGAACCTGGGAGATGGAGGTTGCGGTGAGCCGAGATTGCACCATTGTACTCCAGCCTGGGTGACAAAGCAAGACTCCGTCTCAAAAAAAAAGTTATGATTTATCCTTCTTTGCATTTTAATATCAGCAAACATGTATATTTGTATCCCTTCACTTATATAAATGGTAGCCATAATAAATGGTGTAAATAGTAGCCATTATAAATACTTACTCCCATCTTTTTTCAATTAACAATATATCTTGAGAGGGTCTCCATAGTATATTAGTATATAGTATATTAAAACATTCCCCATTCCTTTTTATGGCTGCATAGTACTCCATTGCATGGATGTACCATAGCTTACTCAATAAATTTTCCACTGATGGGATTTGGGCTATTTCTAGTCTTTCCCCATTCCGCATAATGTTGCGACTAAAAGCTTTGTACATACATCTTTTAATTTATTTTGTTAGCATGGTTTTGAACATGTATCTTTTATTTTTGCCACTATATTTTTATTTATAAATATCACTTAAAAATTCTTTAGTGAGGATCTAGGAAGGATAAATTCTTTCATTTTCTTCTTTATTTGAAAATACATTTTTTTGTCTTTACTTTAAATGATAGTTTGGGCAAAAAGTTCCAAATTAATGATGATTTTTCTCCCAGCACATTGAAGACAGTATTTCATTAGCCTCTATTGTTGCTATTGAGTAGTTTGCTGTTAAAATATATCTATTCCTTTATAGGTAACCTCTTTTTTCTTTCTGATTGATTGCTTTAAGATATTTTTTTAGTTTCAGGTTTACTATAGTTTCATTAAGGTGTGCCTGGAATGGATATATTTTCATTTACCTTGTTTGGGATTTATTGTGATACCTTAATCTGAAGAGTCTCATCTTTAATCAATTCTGGAAAAGTTCTTAGCCATTTTCCCCCTATATTTCCTCTCCTCCACTCTACCTCCTTTACCCTCCCACCTTTTCCTCTCAGTGCTCTTATCAGGTGCATTTGTACTTTCTTATTCTGCTCTCCATGTTCCTTAATTTCTCTTTAATAAGTTTTAAAAATTTATTTTTAGTCTCTCTTTAGCAGGCTTAGCAATTTACTGCAATATGTATTCCTGTTTACATTTTGCAAAAAATGCATTCATGTTTTTGTTAAGCTTCTTTTATAGTGCAAAGTAATTGCGTGTGTAATAGATGTTCACTGGGACTTGTGTTTGCCCTCAGATGGTCATGAAAGGATAAAAATTGAGAATAAGGAGGCATCAAGTACACGACATTCTAAAGACAGCCCCTAGCAATTGGTTTATTAAAGAATAGTCTAACGGACTCTGCTACGTCCAGACATACCCAGGAGTTTCACTATGCAACCAGAATGTAAAGGGGAAGAAGGAAATGACAGGGGCCATGAGTCATCAGTGTAGTAGAAAGTCCTTCCCTGCCCCTTCAAAACCAGGGGATGGGGGAAGCACCAAGTATCATTGGCACCCCATTCCTCAGTTGGGTAGCAGATATGATGTGTCTCTGTGCCTAGCTGAGCAGCAGGTAAAGAGAACCTGAAGACCTGAGAATGATGGCAGAATGGAGAAGCATGGGGGCTTCAGGGAGGAGCTGGGAGCCCTCTCCACTATTTGGTGGGTCAAATTCACGTGGATCAAGTAGACACTGCGCAAAATATCCTTGACTGAATATTTTGCCAGTTGTCACCTACAAGGGCTGGCCACTGGGTGAGGAGATTGCAGCGGCAAGAGGCTGTGGAGTGAACCTGCCAGACAGAAGCTAAACTGAGTGTTGCCATCAGCTCTCCAACAGAGGGGAAGGAGCCCCAAAGGGTGTTCTGGAGAACTCACAAAGGTGTCCAATTATGCTTTACCTTTCTGTTCCTCTCCAGAATCCTTTGTTTCTTTTGCTTTGGTTTTGATGTTACAGCATTAGGGTAGACCTCTTTTCTTTGTTTTTTTCTTGTGGGTTAATATATTTATTGTTGTTGGTCTTTACTATTCTGTATTCGTTTTGTTTGCCCTATTAATCTCAATACTGACCTTTTAACCTCATGAGGCTGTATTTTGACATACAGCTCCCTTGTGTTTTACCTGACCCTTCATAGTTCAATGAGAGTCTATTCTGGTCCATCCAGCATTTGTGCCTGGTTGCCTTCTCTGTACCAAGTGCCCTGTCAACACCCTTTTTTTCTGTGCTCTGTGTTTGTGGCCTTTGCAGTTGTGGCCACTGTTTGTCCTCCTGCTCTTCATGACCAGCCCTCACATGTGCTTCATGCTCCAATGAAGGGGCGACTCATACAATCAGGTAAGGAGAGAGAGATTTTTCCACCGTGATTTATACTTTCTGAAAATTGAGCTATCATCAGTGACACTGTTGAACATGCAAAAGAAAGTGGCACCTCTAGTCACATGAAAGTTCAGTCCTTGGGAGCATCCAAAAGTGGTGACAGGACCATCAGGATATCAAAATGAAGTTCCAGCAACATTAGGGGTCTCTGGGCAACATACATGAATTTAAAAGAAAGAAACATTCTGTAGTCATGGGAAATCCTGCTAATTAGAACTGAGTTTTATAAAAGGTCATGGTGTGAAGCCAAAGAAATAACTTTGAACCTTGATATTATGCCCATATTTTTTGTGCTTCTTTCTATAGACAGAGCTTATTAGGCAGGGAGGATGATATGCTCTCCTCTCCTATGGTCTTACTGCATCCCAAAGTACAGATAAATGCCACCAACCATGATGTAGCACAACAAACAGGAGGATTAGACTTCGCAGTCAGAAAGGCTTGGGTTTGAATCTTAAAAACATTGCTGTTTACTTGTTGTATGGCCTTGGGCAAGCTACTCATTCTTTTTGAGCTTTAATTTCCTCATAATAATACTCATCTTACGGAGTTGTGGTAAGAATTAAAGGTGAATTACGTACAGAAACACTTGGCACCTTGCCTATAGTATTGTATTAACCCACAAGGCTGGCTTCTCTTTGGACCATGCTGACAAAACCCACATTGGAAGGAACTTTGATTTGTATTTATCTTCTCTTTGCTTTTTTGCTTGATTCCATTAACCAGAGAGGAAGTCATACCAGTTAAATTGCTGGAGAAAGGTGTGATGGCTGAATTTAATAAATATTGAAAATATAAATTTAAACAGAAGTTGCAAGAATTTTCTGGGTAAACAGTGAATCATGGGAGTGGATGGAACTTTCATATTTTAACTGGGTTTCCAGGTTATGTGCCCTCTTTTTATTGTCTTACCTTAGGCTGACCCCATTTGATGACAGCACTAAGAATTGATGATTTCTTTATCCCCAGAGCAGTTGAAAACAGAGGGGGAAGGAGTAAATCTCTAGATTAGAATTTTTAAGGTTGGGGACCATCAGCCAATGGTTGTCTTCCTGGGTGGAGGAATATGAAACTTTGAGTTCCCTTCCCCCTTGCTCATAAAACCCACCAGCTCAGAACCTTGGCAATCTCACTATTTTCCCTTGCTTTCTGCAGTCAAAGTCTGAATGCAGCTTAGAGTGGAAATGTTGAAATAAAGAACATGGCTTTAGAGTGAGACAGACCTGGACTTGGCCCTGGTAAATGGTCAGTGCCCTGTCAATCGTGTCCATTATTACTTTTACTCCTAATTCAGCTTTTGTACTTCAGATACATTGATCCTTAATCCTCCCTTGAATGTTCTGTATAGAGAAGCCTTTAAGTGATTAGTTTTGGATTATTAGCTTTTATATTTTGCGTTTTGAATTCTCTCCATGTAGCCAACTTACGAGTGCTAATTGCAGTATTCTTACTACAGAAGACATTTCTTAGATATAGAGCCTATTCCAAAGCATTCAAGGAAGATTGATAGGTCATTCTGGAATGGGCTCCATTCTACTTCCCCAATTTATTTTTTTTTTTCTCAATCTGTTCCATAATCTGTCACTTTAAAAACTCGCACTTTAGTAGCAGGATTTTATGCAACAAATCCCCTTTCCCCCAATATATTCCACAATTTGGCCAGGAATCCTTACAGGAAGAGGTCAGAGGACTCTGATGCCTGGTTTAGAATATGTACATATTAGTGCTTCTTTTCTTCTTGTCTGTTGACAAGAGCTTTGCTACCCTACAGCTAATGACTTCTTTAGGATTTTTGCCAGCTTTTGGGTTGTTTCATTTTGGCATTTTCCTTGGCTCCAGCTTTTTTTCTCCCCTCTTCTTAACATGTTTTGTTCTAGTAGACACCCTCCTTTTCTGGCTATATCTTAAGTCATTCTTCCTTTGGGATGAGATGTCATTACAAGCCCAATAATAAGTTTAAAGATGACGATAATAGTAATAGATAAGGTTTACTGAGTATTCACCATGTACTAGACACTACTGTAACCACTTTTAATATATGAACACATTTAAACCTCACAACTGCCCTATGAAATAGCTACAACTTTTATCTCCATTTTACAGGTGGGGAAACTGCTGCAAGAGAGGTTCAGTCCCTTGTGCCGGGCAGCACAGCAGCAGTGAGTAGACAGCAGTTAGCTTGGCTTCAGGTGTGCCTGAACATTCAGGAGCTGACTGTGGAGAGATTTTCTCTGTAGGCACCTCTAGGCTCTGGACACTGATGTCCAGGATCCTGTCTTTGATGGTACTGAATAAGGTGCTGTCATCATCAGCAAGGGTACAACAGAATAATGTTTCCTACTAAATTAACAAAATGCTGGAATAATGTGTAGTTTCTGTGAATTTCTTTAGAAGCAAGTCGGCCAGACAACCTTTATGATCTTACCTTTGTACTCAGGAAAAAATATAAAATTACGAAGGAATTTTTTAGGAAGCTAAAATAGGTCACCTTCCCACTCTTAGTACTGAGAAAGACATTTTTAGAGCTTGCTTTCCAAACAAGCAAATTGAACTGAAGAAGTAACTTTCATTTGAAAATCAGGTGAAAGTCAACAACATTGATGATTACAAAATTAACAACAATAATTCCCTGGGAGAGTACCTTCACATGTCAACTAATTCATAGGGTGAAAAAAAAAATAGACAAAATTCAGTTCAACAACAGGTAATTTTGAAAATAGTCAATTTAAGAATTACCCACTAAGTAGGAGTTAGAAGTCTATGATTATTTTTTGGTTTATTCTAAAAGTGACTTGTGTAGACACAGCCTGTGTAGGGAAAGCAGACCGTGATTTGAAACATGCTGCTGCCAACCAAACAATAAAATGAAGAGAACAATAAACAAAGGAAACCTTTCCAAAGGCTCTCTTCATTTACATTCTGAGATTACTGGCCTCATCTCTCTGCTGAAATAGCCTTGCTTTACCAACGACCATCCAAATGCATAATCAGGTGCTACTGGCAGCTTTTGCTCCAACAAACTGCATGGAGAATATTTGAATGCTGCCAAGACTATAGGTGCCTGTTTCAAGTTGTCACAGAATATGCTATAACATGTCATAAATAAGGGAGGTATATTTATAAATCTGACATTAAAAATGTGTTCCTAAAATATCTCGCGTGTTCCTTGGCCATGTCAGCATAGAAATAATGTTTAGTATTTGTTTATTTTACTGGACCACCCCATGAACCTGGGGGAAACATGTTAGAAAAAAAATTATAGCTACGCCAACTATTCTGGGAGATACACGAGCCCTCCATGTTTATCAGGTTGAGGGCACTGTATTTTGATGTCAATAAGCAATTTTTCCAGCCCGGTCTCCTGCCCGACCCTTTTAATCCATCAATATATTATTAGAGATAAAGTTGGTGGATGCCTGCTGCAGTTAGAAGATAAATGACATCTCTGAAGTCAGGCATTAAAGACTAGATTAAGGCCTTGTGACACCGTTTTCAGTGCTCATCTGTGCACTTCTGTTCAACCTATCACACTGAGTGACAAGAAAGAAAAATAATGAACTGGGCCAGGGGAAGAAGAAGGAAAAAAAAAAAGGCAGAAAAAGAGAGAGATTTTTTTCCCCCTAACACACAAACTACATCAGTTCACACTCGGGATTAGACTGCATTTAAAGAAAGGAAAAAAGAAAAGAAAATGGGGAATTGGGAAGGACAGGGAAGGGACTGTTCTGTAAAGATGAAAATAGGTAGACAAAAGGGACCTGAAAGCAAAGAATTCCATTTCTGCCTGGCCCATGTTGCCTTTGGTTCCCCCACCTGCCTCCCAGCCTCTCCCATGCAGATATCCCCCAGTTGGCTTCCAGTTGCTTTAGGAATCTGCTCCATCCCTGAGTTCGGAGTGCTGACACAAGTCTTGTTAAGAGGCAGCACTCGGTTCTCAATCTTGGTGAATCGTGTTCTTCCCTCCTCACCAAAGGATTTCCTTCATGCTGCTATCATTGGTCTGGTTGGAGGTATTAAAGATTTTTGTAACTCTGTCTTCTGATAGTGATTTGAATATGGCTACTGAGTTGACAAGTACAAATGTTGAATTTTCTCCAATTGTGTGGAAAACAGGAGCCATAAATGAATTGCTTGGGGGAAGTGAAAGGAAAGCGAGATGCTGGGCAGGTGAGAGGGGATTAACCAGTGGAAAGCACCCAGGTTTGTGGGGAGGAGGCTTGGGCCAATTAATTCCAAGTTCTCTTTCTCAATCACTTATGCAGGATCAAAACCGCATCCCCTCCCCATATGATATGCTGTGTTTGTGAGTTTAGAAGGACACCTCTTTTGTAGATCTCTTTTGCTCCCAGCACTTCAACAGTCCTTATTAGAATGCAAGTCCAGAAGACATTTATGTGCATTGGTGGTGTTCCTGGTACCTTTCACTGTGGAACACATAGGAGGTCCTCCATTGATATTTGGTAACTGATTGATAACTCTTGCAGCCCCAACCTCTTTTCTGTGCTCCTGCTGAATGTATCGTATAAATTATTCTGCTGTTGTAAACATCCCCCATCTTTGATCCAACGCTGTATGGCAAGCCTTCTTGGCTGTTCATGTCGCTATCCACTGTCTATAGGTTCAGTTTGTTTCCAATTCCTGGCTTTTTTTTCTTTCCCTCTTGCATACCCCTTGTTTATTTCTTCCTCCCCTTTTCTTCAGCCCCAATTCAAGGCATCATTGTTGCAGGCTTTATCCCCAAATTCATTTTCTGTTCTTAAAATCCATTATGCCAACCATCACAAGATTGATCCTCCTCAAACTCTCCTTCAACTGTGACATTCCCTGTTCAAAATCTCCTACCAAGTATAAAACAAAGTTCAAATTCTTTATTATATCATTAAGACTCTGCAGATTCTGATCCAACTGCTTTTTCTGTCTCATCTTTTTCTCGTCCTCCTCTAAAACCTAGCCTTCAGCAAAGTCATTCATATGCTTTAGACATGGTTATCATTTACTCATCTCTGTTTGCTTTTGCTCTTCCTTGTTTTGAAATTTCCTTCCGTGGACATCTTCACTTGTCCGAACACTGTACTCTCCCTGGCTCACTCTTCTTTTCCATGTGGCTGTCTCTGTCTTCTCTTAGTGGCAGAACCTAGCTTGGCTCAGAAAGTCAACTGATTACAAGGCTTGGTAATCATAGAAAAGGCATAGGCAGCTAGGTCTCAAGGAATCTAACCAGAGAATTGGCATATCCTTAAAATTCTCTTTTTTTTGCCTCTGCTTCTTTGCAAATGTTGAGTTCCTTCTTTCTAACTATCTTTGTCTGTTTGGGCTGCTATAATAAAATATCATAGAGAGAGTACCTTATGAACAACAGAAATTTATTACTCATAGTTCTGGGGGCTGTAGAGTTCAAGATCAAGACTAGCACATTCCAAGTCTGATGAGTGCCCTCTTCCTGGTTCATAGATAGTGCCTTCTTGCTGTGTCCTCCTGTAGTAGAAGGGTCAAAGCAGCTCTCTGGGGCTTCTTTTAAAGGGTTGTAATCCTGTTTATGAGGGCTCCACCCCCATGACCTAGTCACCTCCCCAAAGGCCCCAGTCGACTTGGGAATTAGGATTTCAACCTATACATTTTGGGGGAACACACAAACATTCAGACCATAGCAGCAGCTGATGGTAAGGATTTTTCCACATCAAAGGTAGAGTTGTGAGATGGACAAACACATTGCCGATAGCTCTAGTTTCATATTTTCCCCACCAGAGACAAACTGATACCTGGGCTCTCTGACCCCAAAGGGAAAAGTCCTGAGCAAGAAGATACCTGATTAATCTAGTAGTTATCAGATGTCTATTCCTGAGCCAAGAAAGCGAGCCGTGGTTGGGGGATACAGAGGCATCAAAGGTACTAGGATTGGCCAAGTCTGAGCACATACCCTCCAATCTGGCCAGGGAGGGAGATTGCAGAGGTGACCATGATCTTTCCCACCTTGTGACTTTGTACCTCCTTCTATCAAGAGGTAGAGTCTACTTCCCCACCACTTGAATCTAGGGTGGACTTAGTCCTTGATTGAGTGTCAAAAGAATGCAGCAGGAGTGACGTGGTACCAGTTTCAAGCCTCGGTCTCAAAAGATCATGCACAATTCCACTCTTTCTCAGAAACCTGCCACCACCATGTGAACAAGTCTGGGCTAGCCTGTGTGATAATGAGAGATATGTGGCTCAGTCATCCTTGTTACCCCAATTGACAACCAACCAATCACAAGAAGCAGAGCTGCCTAGTGAGTCATCAGTGCCATCAGTATATTCAGTTGAGATCAGAAGAACCACATAGATAAGTTCAGACCAAAAAGCCAACTCATAAGCACATAAATGGTTGTTTTTTTAAGCCTCTAACTTTTGGGTGTTCTGTTATACATCAAATCTAACTGACACAAAGGTGGAATATGTATGACAGCTGCTCCCCTGGTAACTGTATAGTTTAGAGTAGAATATTTTCCAGAAGCAGGAAGACTGTGTTCTGGGCAAACAAAACCATGGATGGCAGGTACAGCCACTTCCATGCCCTAACACAAGACTATTGCATTCTTTTTTATTTCTGAGTAGACAGTGAACCGCTGAGGGCAGTGGCTGGTCTGGTTCATTTCTCCTAGTAATTAGCAGAGGCTCTCATACACATTAGGTACTTGGTGAATCTTAGTTAAATGAGTGACTAGATGGGATATTATTCCATCATCATTCTCATTTGTGGGTATATGAGACTTGAACATTTTATCACTGATATACCACTAAACCTTGGAACCTTAAGAATATTTTTTGGGAAAAAAATCTTTCATATATTACACAAAAATGCAAATCTGATGCCATACCCCAGTGATAGGTTTGATAAAATTCAAGACTAAACCACTTTATAAAAAGGACATACTTCTAGCAATGCTCACAGAGCAGCTTTTATTCATGCTTTCTGCAGAAACTGAGCCCTTTCTTTGTCTATGAAACATCCATGACTGCCATTTGTTGATATCCACTATCAGCCAGACAATGTGCTTCTCATTATGTAAACATATCTCATTTAATTCAGTCCTCCAAGTGGCCCCATGAAGTAATCATTCTCATTTTACAGAAGAGGAAACTGAAACTCAGGGAAGTTAAATATAATTGCTCAAGTTCATACATATAGTAAGCGTCCAAGCAGTGATTTGAACACAGGGCTCTCTTGCTCTACAGACCTTCTGTATTTGGATAGTGCTGCTGGAGGATGGGGATGACTTCCAAATTGAGACAAAATCTCTCTATTTTTATCTAATTTTTACTCTTGGGACTATACTATTCACTAATTTCTTCATCCTACATGTTTCTACTTTTCTTTTGCTTTTAAGATGTGTCTTAGACATAATATTTTATTTAGCTTACCATAGCCACTATAGCACAGGGACAGTTGTCCATTTAGAGTCATGTCCAGCCATGGCTTGGTTATGGGCTGTAAGTAAAAGTTAGCATTACTAAAATGCTTGAGGAGTTACATCTAAAGATATTTAAACATATACAAAGCTTCGGTGAACACCTTTCAGCATGTTGGGAACACAAACTGTGCAAGTTCAGGAGGTGATCATAAGACATGACCTCTGCCTTTATGGACCTTATAGTCTGGTGGGAAAGAGCTATGTACCCAATAGTTTCCCAATGAAGGGGTATGTATTAAATGCTAGGGGCACATGCCCATCACAAGAGGGCACAGAGGAGGAAGAGACAACTTCCATTGGCAAGAACCAGGACATGTTTACAGGAGAGATGGGCACATGAGCTAAGTATTGGAGGACAAATGAGAATTAGAAAGACAGAGCTGGTGTAGCATTCCAGTTTAGTGTCCCTTTTCAAAAATGCTTAGTATGAGCTGAGCGCAATGATGCCCAACTGTAGTCCCAGCTACTTGGGAAGCTGAAGAGGGAGGATAGCTTGAACCCAGGAGTTTGATGCCAGCCTGAGCAACATAGCAAGACTATCTCTCTTAAAAAAAAAAAAAAAAAAAAAAAAAAAGCTTAGTATGTCCCTGAGAGAGAGAAAGAAAACAGCATTGTCTCCATCTTCATTACCTTCAAGCACTGTATGAGGACACTCACAGTGACAGAAAAAGAGAGTAATTATAGGCTCAAGGGAGAGAAAATTGGAGATTCTCTGAAATGTTGGGAGTATCCGGGTCTCTGTGGATAGTTTAGACTGATTTTCTGTGAAGACAAACACACAGACAATTTCAAGGTATGTTTATAAGGAAGATATTTTCAATTCTGGAAGTATAAAATTATGAGAGTATAAAATTGATGAGGGAGAATCATCAAGTTACATGAGGTAAAATGCACAATGTAACGAAAGGAACTTTCAAGGAAATAGACTTCAATGGAAATCAGAAACCAATTTAAAATCTTCTATAAGAAAGTACTGCCAGTTGTGATGGCTCACACCTGTAATCCCAGGACTTTGGGAAGCCAAGGCTGGAGGATTGCTTGAGGCCAGGAGTTCGAGATCAGCCTGGGCAACATAGTGAGACCTGGTCTCTACAAAAATTAGAAAAAATTAGTTGAGTGTGGTGGCATGCGCTTGTAGTACCAGCTCCTCAGGGTGCTAAGGAGGGAGGCTTGCTTGAGCCCAGGAGTTCAAGGCTAAAGTGAACCATGATTATGCCACTGCATTCTAGCCTGGCTGGCAGAGTGAGACCTGCCTCAAAAAAAAAAAAAATAAAAAAAAAAAAAAGAGTGAAAGTACTAAAAACAACAACAACAGCAACACACACACAACTGAATGTTTCTTAATAAAATTTAAAAGAATTTAAAAAATCTAAGTTTATCCTCTGCTTTAGTTACTACCAGAGATTCAGAAGTCTCTTACACAATTCGCAATTTTATTCTGAAAACAAGGCAAACAGATTTAAAATAAAGCCAAAACAGTATATGATTGTAGTGAATTGAGTGGTGTCTCCCAAAAGAACTCATGTTTACCCAGAATCTCAAAAGGGTATCTTATTTGGAATAAAGGTCCTTGCATATGTAATTAAGGTAAGATTAGTAATAAGATCATATTGGCTTAGGGTGGGATCTGATACCTGGTGTCCTTTTAAGAAGAGAAGAGAACACAGATAGGAGAGAAGGCTGTGTGAAGAGGGAGTTAGAGCCTGAAGTCAGGCTGCTGCAAGCCAAGGAAGACCAGAAGCCACCAGAAGCTGGAAGAGGCAAGGAAAGATTCTCTCCCGGAGCCTTGGAAGGGAGTGTACCCCTGCTGTCACCGTGAGTTTGGACATCTGGCTTCCAGAATGGTGAGAAAATAAATTTCTTTTGTTTTAAGCCATCTGGTTTGTGGTAATTTGTTACAGCAGCCCTAGGAAACGAATACAATGATTAAAGCATTGGGTTTCAGAGGAGGGGTTCTGGAATACGTAGGACTTCCTAGAGGAGGTCACGTGGGAAACTGAGACGTTAGGGAAGTAAAGAGGAGGGAAGGACTTTCTTGGAACAAGGAACCAGCAGTAGCAAAAGTGTTTAGGTGGGAATGGACAAGAAAGGGCAGACCTTCTGCACGGAGAACTAAACTTGCCTTGATTTGTACCTGGTAGGGAACTCCTGGCTTTTCTTTCTCTTGACATGGATGCATCATTAGAAATAGTCTCATATTTAAAAATAATAATAAGGAGAAGATTTCTAATTCCAGTATAGACCAAAGAAAATTAAGAGAAAATCAGTGAGGAAGATCATGAGAAATGAGGTGGAGACTTTCTTAAGAGGGGAACAATATGAGCAAAGCTGTTAAAGCAGATGTTGGTATATATGTGAGAAAAATATTTCCTGATACTATATATCAGAATATGTGTAAACAAACTAGCTCACTAACTTACTAACAAAAAGCAGGGGAGTACTGAGAGACAGAAAACATGGATTCAGCATGTGCACATTTCTGGTTGGGTAGGAAAGGCAAGGAAGTAGGGAAGACAGATTAAATTAAATTAAGTTTTAATTATTAAAACTACTGTAAGCACTACTGTTCCCTGCTCCAAACAGCAGATGGTGTCATCAGTTTATCATAGCTGGGTTGCAGTTCAGAATGGCCAGAGTGAGGACAGTGGAAGTGAGTATGTTCTTTCAGAAGCTGGGGAGTTATGGGTTATTTGCAGGCTATGTATCTATGTCTTAGGTACGAGTCTGTAAAATACATATGTTCCCTAAAACATCTGGCCTCCAATTTTACAATAATTAAAAATGGCCATGGATTTTCCAACTGGCTGATGAAAGGGAAAAATAATAAGAAAAAGCAAAAGAAGGTTTAATACATTTATAATTTAACATGTGTGTTGTTCTACATTATTAGTCATAAAGAATTTTTGGGCTGGAAAATCCTGAGTGTTTTTGTGTCTAATTTTCTGAATGTAGTCTTAGGTCCTGAGATAGATAATCTCTTTTTTTTTTCCTCTTAGATTGCTTTTTTATTTTAAGTAAAGATTTGCCTTGCTTTAAAGAAACTGTGCCTTTTGATTATGGTTTATTACAAGAAAGCCGAGGAATCAGTGGACTAATGAAAAGATGGTGAATTTTAATGTATGTTTATATATTTTAGTTAAAATAAAATGTAGGTCTTCATGTGCATTTTTAAAATTTAAAATTTTTATTATACTTTAAGTTCTGGGATACATGTGCAGAATGTGCAGGTTTGTTACATAGGTATACATGGAGATAGATAATCTTGAAACCCAAAGACTAAGTTATTCATTTCAACATTGAGCAGGCACAGAATATAGGTGCTTAATCAGTGTCTGTAGAATGAACTAATTAATAGATCCTATAAAATTGGTGAATGAAATTGGGAGTATGGTCAAACATGCTGTTTCTAAATTGTGGGCATGGCTAAAATAATTTTTATGAAGAAGTAGAATATAAGAAAGCATGTCAGAAATTGGATAAGATATAAAAGTCCCGTGTCCCCTTTCTGCTAGAAGGAAAACTGTAAAGAAGGTAATGGGGGCTGATATGGTTTGGCTGTGTCCCCACCCAAATCTTATTTTGAATTGTACTTCTCATAATCCCCATGTGTCCTGGGAGGGACAGTGTGGAAGGTAATTTAATCATGGAGGCATTTACCCTCATGCTGTTCTCATGATAGTGAGTGAGTTCTCATGAGACCTGACGGTTTTATAAGAGGGTTTTCCCCCTTTTACTTGGCACTTCTCCTTCCTACTGCCATGTGAAGAAGGATGTGTTGTCTTCCCATTTTCCCATGATTGTAAGTTTCCTGAGGCCTCCCCAGCCATGCTGAACTGTGAGTCAATTAAACCTCTTTCCTTTATAAATTACCCAGTCTCAGATATATTCTTATAGCAGCATGGGAATGGACTAATACAGTAAATTGGTACCAAGAGTATGGTGCTGCTATAAAGATACCTGAAAATGTGGAAGCAACTTTGGAACTGGGTAACAGGCAGAAGTTGGAACAGTTTGGAGGGCTCAGAATAACACAGGAAAATGTGGGAAAGTTTGGAACTTCCTAGAGACTTGGAGGGCTCAGAAGACAGAAAGATGTGTGAAAGTTTGGAACTTCCTAGAGACTTGTTGAATGGCTTTGCCTAAAATGCTGATAGTGATATGGACAATAAAGTCCAGACTGAGGTGGTCTTAGACGCAGATGAGGAACTTGTTGGGAAGTGGAGCAAAGGTGACTCTTGTTATGCTTTAGCAAAGAGACTGCTGGCATTTTGCCCCTGCTGTAGAGATCTGTGGAACTTTGAACTTGAGAGAGATGATTTAGGGTATCTGGCAGAAGAAATTTCCAAGCAGCAAAACAGTCAAGAGGTGACAGAGCATGAAAGTTCAGAAAATTTGCAGTCTGACAATGCAATAGGAAAGAAAAACCCATTTTTTGAGGGGAAATTCAAGCTGGCTGCAGAAATTTGCATAAGTGATGAGAAGCCAAATGTTAATCACCAAGAAAATAAGAAATATGTTTCCAGGGCACATCAGAGGTCTTCAAAGCAGCTCCTCCCATCACAGGCCCAGACTAGGAACAAAAATGGCTTCCTGGTCTACATCCAGGGTGCCCTTGCTGTAAGCAGTCTCAGAACTGCATCCCAGTCACTCCAGCCATAGCTAAAAGGGGCCAAGGTACAGCTCAGGATGTTGCTTCAGAGGGTGCAAGCACCCAGCCTTGGCAGCTTCCACGTGGTGTTGGTCCTGGGGGTGTGCAAAAGACAAGAATTGAGGTTTGGGAACCTCTGCCTAGATTTCAGAGGATGTACAGAAACGCCTTGATGTCCAGGCAGAAGTTGGCTACCGCGGTGGGGCCCTCACGGAGAACCTCTGCTAGGGCTGTGTGGATGGGAAATGTGATGTTGGAGCCCCAACTGGGGCACTGGTTAGTGGAGCTGTGAGAAGAGGGCCACTGTCCTCCAGACCCCAGAATGGTAGCTCCACTGACAGCTTGTACCATGCACCTGGAAAAGCCACAGACACTCAATAGCAGCCTATGAAAGCAGCTGGGATGGGGGCTGTACCCTGCAAAGCCAGAGGGGTGGAGCCTCCCAAGGCCATGGGAGCCCATCTCTTGCATCAGCATGACTTGGATGTGAGACATGGAGTCAAAGGACATCATTTTGGAACTTCAATGTTTAATGACTGCTCTTTTGGATTTCAGACTTGCATGGGGCCTGTAGCCCCTTTGTTTTGGCCAACTTCTCCCATTTGGAATGGGTGTATTTACCCAATGCCTGTCCCCTCTGTTGTATGTAGAAAGTAACTAACTTGTTTTTGATTTTACAGGTTCATAGGTGAAAGGGGCTTGCTTGTCTCAGATGAGACTTTGAACTTGGAGTTTTGAGTTAATGCTGGAATAAATTAAGACTTTGGGGGACTGCTGGAAGGGCATGATTATGTTTTAAAATGTTATGAGATGAGATTTGGGAAGGGCCATGGCAGAATGATCTGGTTTGGCCATGTTCCCACCCAAATCATATTTTGTATTATAGTTTCCATAATTCCCACATGTTGTGGGAGGGACCCAGTGGGAGGTAATTTAATCACGGAGGCATTTACCCTCATGCTGTTCTCATGATAGTGAGTTCTTACAATATCTGATGGTTTTTTAAGGGACTTTTCCCCCTTTTGCTTGGCACTTCTCCTTCCTGCTGTCATGTGAAGAAGGACATGTTTGCTTCCCCTTCCACCATGATTGTAAGTTTCCTGAGGCCTCTCCAGCCATGGTGAACTCTGAGTCAATTAAACCTCTTTCCTTTATAAATTATCCAGTTTTATACCCTGTATGTCTTTATTAACAGCGTGAGAACAAGCTAATACAGGAGCCTTGGCTGCAACATTTGAACTTTATACTCCCAAATCAGGACTTGACCCTTTGGGGCTCCCCAAGGATGACCCTCCCCAACAAAGTCTCAAACAACCATATTATTATTGCTGTCTCATCAGTAGAAATCCTTGAGCTTCTAGGATAAGTTCCTAGAATTTAAGCTTTATCATACCTCACACACCACGTGGCTGTCACCTGGCTTCTGGGAGTGTTCATTCCTAATGAATGCTTATTGTCTTTGCCTGGCCTGAAACAGTCACTTCTTGATTTGCAGAGACACATCTGAACTGGGGATGTACCTTGCTTTCTATAGTCCAAGGAAAGGTCTCAATATGTCTATGAAAAGAGAGGACTTGGGAATGGGAAGAGGAGCCTATGAAGCTTTTCGTGATTCCTGAGCTGCAAGTATAATCCTGCATAGGATTAGTACCTATGACCACCACTTTGATGTGTTGGACCAAGAATAATGTACTGAAGAGCTCAAGGTGGAGAGAATGGGTCTTGGTGTGGCCCATCATAAGGAGCAAAAGAAGTGAAAGTTAAAATTTGGTGTTGGCCTTGATCATATCAATCAAACCCAAATTCTGTAAATAACCCTCCACAGTCCAATACATTATGTGCCATAGCCATCATGGCCCTCTGAGAAGATGCTTATGTGTGTCCCATTGTCCCAGCCATACACACACACTTTGGCTCAATATGGCTAAACCAAAATAGAGTGTCAACCTATTCTACCCCTTACCACTAGGTAGAAACCTGGGGGAATAGTTTTGCTTCTTAAAAGTCTCAATATGGTGCTTATCCAAAGATGGGAGTTGTAATAAATGGAGCCCTACCCCACCCGTTATGCCATCCAAAATTCTTCAGTGTTTCCTGCCAGATTTTCAACTATTTTATCTCACGTGTTCATGTTTCAGATATTCTGATCATCTTATTCTGGAAGAAGTGAGTTATCAGTTGTCCATAAAGTCCTGCAGACTTTTCATAAACTGAACTTTTCATTGATCATGACCCTTATCCTACATAACCCAAGTCATCAAGACCTATGCAGTGGAGAGGCTAAATTATGGCAGGACTGTGCTCCACAGGGAAGAAATGTGGTCCCTCAATACAAGCCGTGTCCTCAATAGAGGTAATTTTAACAAATGGGACCAAGATTCCAGCAATAGAGGCAGCCTCTGTGAGTCAATAAAGAACAGGAGAGACCTTTGTAGGAGGAAAATGGGAACAAACATAATCAATCCTTTCACAGGCAAAGACCTTTTTTTTGGAGGTAGTGTCTTTGGTTTAACCCCTTAACTCTGCCAGTTCCCAGAACGAGGTGAAATTAGAAGCATCTTCTGCATAATAGGCATAATGCCAACTGCTTTGAAAATTTGTTGTAATAATTAGAGAAAGTAATATATTATCACACTTTGGAAATAATATATTATTGACAAACATTACATCCTTTACCCCTTTTCCTTCCCCAAATGGAACCCAATTTAATTAATAAGTATATTGAGTCTTCACTAGACTAATAACTTCTGGAATTTGGGATATATAAAAAAAACTATCTCTACTGTGAAATCAGAAATAAAGGAATGCAGATGCTTTCCTCTTGGGAGCTCAGACTTTGTAAAATCAGAAGTAGGTTTAGGCCTCTGCAGGGCAGACAAAGCCAGAAGCAGCCATTCCATTTCCTTGGGTCAAGGGGAGGCAGCCAGGACCACTGCACTGTCTGAGGCTGGGGCCTCCCTTTTTCCCCCTGCATCCCCTGGGAGCCTCTGGAACCAGTGCCTCTATTGTTACGCATCTCAGTTTTTTCATCTGCATGATTGAGAACTCAATCATGTTGACCTCATAGGCAGGAATACTAAATAATTTTCATAAAGATCTATGAAATCAACTAAGTTATGTCTAAAAGCCACACTATTTGTTTTACAGATCTGCAGTGCAATTGTGCCCATGTGTGTGCTTTCTACATGATTTCTGGTCATCTGTGAGCTTGATTTCTCTTGTCTTGCCATGGTGAGTTACATCAAACATACCTGCAGATTTCCTGACTGACATAGAGTCTCCTTCTCCTTCCAGCGCCTTCATGATCACTGTCCCCTTTTGAAGATTCTTTTTTCAACTCTCTCTTTTTCAAAAGATTACTTTGTCACAATTATTCAGGAAAGGGTTTTGCGCCTGTAGGAAATATTAATAGACTATTATGAGGTCCTACAACTAATTTTTCCACACATATCATCTGTCTTTGCATGGTTATTAAACTTCAACAATATTTCATGCAATGCTTCCCTGCTAAATTAATTTGGTTCCTTCTTTTCTG